>NC_000002.12:15838363-16145119 GCF_000001405.40 Homo sapiens
CACAGGTTCCAGTTAGATGAGTCTGTGCCACTGCATTCCAGCCTGGGCAACAGAGCAAGACTCTTGTCTCAAAAAACAACAACAACAACAACAACAACAAAACACCACATTGGCTATTGGCTAGCAAGGACCGTTGCAGGTTTTCAAGTCCTTTTGATGGGCTGGGTCTTTAATAAGCCCATGGGTTAGGAAAGGAGGATTTGCTCCTGCCCAGGAATGACATTCATCAGCATGCAAGACTTCCCTCATTTCGCCAATCACGAATGCTTCCAGCGTGCAGGCACTGTGCCCCCATCCCTACCCCTCATGTCTGTGTGACAAGTCACGGTCACAACATTTTTGCGCCTTATGTCCTTTGAGCCTCTCAGAAACACTGCCAGGGAACTATTATTGATTCCGTTTTACAGACGAGGAGAGTGCAGTTCTGAGTTGTGCCTCCAGTCCGGGTATCTTGATATTATAACTCCTTGCTCTTCTTACTACACAATTCCTCCTGGGTCTGGACCCAGCTGGCCTCTCTAGTCCGAAGTCCTCCTGGGGCCCTACTGGGTGATGTACATTCCCAAACACGGCTCGTAATATTTTCATCTGCACGCCTTTGCTTGTGCTTTTCCTTCTACCTGATTTGCTTTCCTCATTTTAGTCTTTCAGGGATCAGCTCCTTCTTCAATGGGGACTTTCTGGAGTAGCCCCAAAGGGACAGGGCTTAGCTTCTTCTGATCACCTCCACTTTCCTCAGATCTCTCTCAGGGCCATGGCCATGGCCTGGAAGAACTTTTCCCACTCAATACACAGGAAGAGCCCTGGTCCCAACCAGGAGACCTCGGCTGGTGTCTTGGTTCTGATGGTCTCTACGTGTGGTCATGGCTGAGCCACCAATTTGCTCTGAGCTTCTGTTTTTGCCTCTGTAGCAGGTGAGGATAATGCTTGGCCATCCCAGGACAGATTTTAAATCAAAATGAGATGATGTACAATACACCTACCAGAATGGCTGAAAAGAGAAAAAACAAAGCAGAACCTTTGCCAATTCCGAGCATTGACAAGGATGTGGAGCAACTGCAACTCTCATGCTTCACGGCCAGGACAATGCAAAATGGTGAAGCCACTATGGAAAACAGCTGGGCAGTTTCCTGTAAAGTTAAACATACAGTTATCGTAAGATCCAATAATCTCACTCCTAGGTTCTGACCCAAGAGAACTGAATATTTATGTTGTCATAAAAACAAGTATGTGAATGCTTATATGTGGCCTTACGCCTGATCTCCAAATACTAGATGCAACTTAAATGACCTTCAGCTGGCGACAGGATAAACAAATGGTGCATGGTGCACCCATGCAATGGAATATATTCCCTAGGAGAGTAAAACTATAGGAAGAGAAAATAATCACTGATTGCCAGGGGCTGCGGTGGACAGAGGGGTTCGCTACGAAGGGGAGCAGGGGAATTTGGGGGTGATGAACTGTTCTGTGTATTGATTGCCCTGGTGGTTTCACGACTGTATGCATTTGTCAAAACTCATAGAAATGTATATTAAGAATGAATTTTCCTGTACGTAAATTATGCCCCAATTTAAACCATGGAAATAATTAGAGGGTGGATGTGAGCACACTCTGGAGCTTTGGCAGATGGGAGGAGTGAATATCTGCCATCACTAGCCTCATGTTGTTGACAGTGGGCATGGGATCAGATCCTCTCTCCCCTTCACCCCTCCTCACACACTAGGCTAGAGACTCTCCAGGGCAGAGTCCTTCTCAGATCTCTTCCCGGGCCCAGCACCCTGCAGGCACCTGGTGCTCAGGGAGCTCATGCTGACCACTGTTTGAAGAGATTCCCGCTTGATAGTCTACCTGTCAAAACCCTCGGGTGTGAGGACCATCAGGGGAAGCACTTTTTCACCCCACGTGTATCTAAAATCAATGCAGAAGTGGGGCAAAGTGGAGAGGAAGGGAACATAGATGTAGAAAAGAATGAGGGCCAAATCTCACAGCTGACTCAGGCCTGAGTTTCCTGCTTGCTGCACCTTTCCATCTACATGGGTGAGTCATGAAAGTAAGAAGAACCAGTTGCACCAAAGGGAGGCAAAGGGCATTAGCTGCCTTTTTCAACCTGCATTTGCAGACAGTGATTCCAGCTCCCCCTCCAAGCTTGGGGAAGACCCTTTGTTTTCTGGGCCTCAGTTTCCCCAGGTGGAAGACGTAATGGAATAGGTGATGGCCAAACTCCTGGGATTCTGGCCACCCCTGCTGCAAGCTCCTAGTGCCCAGAGTTCCACACATAGAGCTGCCATATGGCATCAACTCACTCAATCTCAGATGTGTGGTTGAGGTTCGGGGACCGAGGTATGTCCGTGCTAATAGACTGTTACCCCTTCAGAAGCCTAGCGGAGTAGACTGTGAGCTGAATCTGGTGCTGAAGATGGTTACAGGCCTCAGCAGACAGATGTTTCTGCAGCTTCAAGCTCCTTCCTGAGAGAGAGCACTTCGGACATTTCCAAGATTTTTTGGGTGATCATCAAAGACCACATTTGCCTGGGAAAGCCAGAAATACCTTTGTTAAGGGGACAAATAACAAAGGGGCATGGCACATGCCACCGCAGTTCCTGTGGAAGGAGGAGAGCGAGGAGAATTGCCACGGATTGGGTGCCCGTTCTGTGCCAGAAAACTTCTCATGAGTTCCTTACATTCTTCTCTTTAGGTTAGACAAGCAGCCCTCACCAGGGCTCCCTCAACAGTTCCTCCAAGTTCCAACCCAAACCCTCATGCTCTGAGCCTTCATCCTCTGTTTATCCTTCTCATGCATCACACACTCTCCCCAGGGGCACTGTCACCCGGAGGCTGTAGGATCTCTGCCCATGATGCCGCAACCCCCCTGTCCAGCTCTCATCTCTCCTGACTGCTCCTGTCACCCTCCCTGCTGCCCAGGGTGCACCATCCCGGGACGTCCCCTCCATAGGCTCTCCAAACCCAGCCTCTGACTCTCCCGTCTTCCCCTCTAGAACTTCCTAGCTCATGATGCTGTCCCCATCTTAGCAACTGTGCAAGCCAGAAACCTGGGCTTTATCCTTGCCACCTCCTGCTGGCCACATCTGCTCAAGTATCTCAGGATTCCTTCCCCATAGGTCTAGCATCTCTCCACTTCTCTCCATCCCAGTTCCCTCTGCCATAGGTCTGGCCACATGTGCTTCTCACTGGGACTAGGATTCCAGCATGCCTCTAACTGGTGTGAAACAGGGGTCGGATTATCTCTCTAAAAGGCTACTCTTGATCAATGGCTTCTCCAGCTAAATCTTCATCAAGGACTGTCCTGGGGAGGCTTCTGCTTTTGTTCTAACACTCTCAGAGATTCTGATCCTGGGGTTGTGGATGGAGCCGAGGGAGCTCTCTTTGGGGGACCCTAGAGCATATCTAGGTTTAAAGTTGTTGGCCTGTGTAGCCCTTGCATATCATCCAGCCTTCTGCCCGGAGCTCCCAGGGCAGACTGCCTAGCTCTGGACATGGTATCCCACTGGGCACAGCTTCCTGGAGTGCACCCTACATGCCCACACCACTTCGTGTACTGGGACACCTTTCTCCCCTCCTGCATCCCACAGGAGCCTGCACCTGGAGACCCAGGCTGTGCCTCAACTCCCTCCAGGAGCAACCTGGGCCCTCCCTGCTCAGTGCTGCACACACCCCTCTGGCAGAGTACTCACTCTCTGCCACGTCCAGCTACCAACCATGGCCCAAGCCCCTTCTAGTTAAGAACTCCGCCTTTCTTCTCTGAGCACCCAGCAAGAGTCAGAACAGCGCAGGTATTCAGTAAATATTGCCTTAAAAAGACAGTCTCTCCCAGCTTTCAGATTGTTACAAACATTTTATTGAAGTATAACATACATAGAGAAAGGTAGAAACTCTATGCATATGGCTCAATCCATGTTCACACAGGAAACAGACTCGCGGATCCAGATCATGACGTGACCTGTACCCCAGCAGCTCCGCCTGCTCCCTCACTCACCACCTCCCAGCAAAGGCGGCTGCCCCTGCCTTCTAGAACTAGAGCTGTTCTGTCTCTTGACCCTTGCACTGATGAGATCATATAGCGTGCACTCTTTTGTGTCTATTTTTTTCTTATCATTATGTTTGTGGTGCTGAGGCTCACCCATGTCGTGGGGAGCAGGGATCTGTTCACTCTCATTTTAACCTTCAGTTTTTTAATAGCAGAATGGGAAGAAAAGATATTCCTTGCCTGTGTGGGTCCTGGGGCCCTGATCCCCCTGCTCCCCACTCTGCAGGGACCCACACCTCATGACCATAGCAAGGGTGAACCCACCCCTCCCTGGGCCTCAACCCCTGTGTCTTTGGAGAGTGGGCTACCAGTGATTTCTTGGGGCCCTTCTGGCTCTGGCCACCCCTGCTGCAAGCTCCTGGTGCCTTGCACCCAGCTCCCCTCCCCACGGAGATGACTTCAGGCCAGGAGAATGCCAGGCTGGAGATCTGATTTGATTAAGGAGGAAAGAGGAGCCTTGTGAAGCCACAGGGCAGGCGTGCCACCACACTGACCCTGCAGAGGCCGGGGACAAAGCAGTGCGGGGCCGCACTGCTGCTGAGGCCGGCCCCAGCAAACCTGATTATGGGGCCTCTGCCACGGTCTGCCCGCGTCTTTCAGAGAGAGCAGTCTTTATTCCCCCAGGCAGGTCCCTGGACAGACAGGTCTAAATTGAATCAGGCCCTGGTCCATGGCACAGAGCGGGCTATTCACTGGCCCTACCGTCCCCTAGCAAAACAGGCCCCCGGCCATATGGTTGTGCGGGTAAATTGGGCGGACGTGTGGCTGGTGGCCAGCCCTCGCAGCAGCCTGCACAGCCAGCTCTGAAGGGCCCACGCCTGGGCTCAGCCAGGAATGCGGGACCAGACAGCCGCTGTGGGTTGGGTAAGCAGAGGGAGCACAGGCAGAGAGGCAGGAGCCCTGGTTCTAGTGCCAGCCATGCCATGTAATAGCGGTGGAACCTTGGCCGATGGCTCAGCCTCCCTACCTGGGGCCGCACGCGTGATATGAGTGAGAATCATGATCCTCTTATTCCGACAGCCTTGCAGAGCTGCTGTAAGCTGAGGTGCGGTGAGGCACGTGACCGAGGAAGGGCTGGGCCTGTGGCAGGGTCCATGTCAGTCTGAAGCATCTATGAGGGGAGAAAAGGCCCGCAGATGCCAGCAGGGCCACGGAGGCCCCAGCAGAAGCACCGGCCGCAGGTCCCCCTTTTCGGCAGAAGACACTCTGCCATCTGGGCTGCCCATGGGGCTGGCCGGTGCCTGCCAGAAGCCTACTCCTATAACATTATCCACAGTGGGCAGGGCTGGAGGGACCCAAGATACCACTCCCAATTTATGGATAGAGAAAGTACCCCTCCGAGAGGCTAAGTCATCTGCCCCCATGTCAGTGACAGAGAGGGAACTAGAAGTCAGATCTCCTGGTCCCCAGTAGAGCAGCTTTATACTAATTCTTATTGTAGAGACAAGGAACCCGTGGCCAGAGAGGGAAGGTGATTCTCCAAGGTCTTCTGTGAGGCACCCACCTTATGGCCTGACCCCAACTCTCACGGCTTTGCCCACAGCATGCTCCAGGGCCAGCCAAGGCTGCAAGGGGCAGGAATGATTCATGGTGAGGGGCTGGTTTATGGGGGGCGTTTGAGCTGAGTGCATGAGCAGTTTGTGGAAAGCCCAGCAAAAATACAAAAATAAATTATGAAATACATAGAGGTTTAGCTGCTGCAACAAGTGTGCTCAACTCAGACCTTGAGGCTCAAGTGCCAGGCAGGCCAAGGCATCTCTGTCTCTCCCTCCGCTTGGTCCCCACATGGGGTCTGGCCCCCTCTTCACCCGCCTCCAGGTCTCTGCCCTCAGGTGGAACTGATGGATGGGGGGCGGTCACACCAATGAGCACCCGGAGTATCACCTTGGTGCACTGCCTTCCTTCTCCTGTTTCCATGGAAACACCTGGGAACACATTGATCAATGCTCATTTGAGGCTTTCATGAGCCCGAAGGTTGGAATAAGTTTTGATTCAAACATGACACTTTTTAACACAGTGAAAAACTCATTTTGTACAAAACCCCATTATGTGGAACAGACACGCAGGTTGATGGCCAATTTAGCTAATAGAGCTTTGCAGCTGACATTGAATTAAATCTGCAGGAAGCAGCCTCCGTCTTCCTGAGAAGAGTCACATGCAGACCCACAGTGGGTGGAGACGCAGAGGGAGGGCCACCCCCCCTCCGCCCCACCCCACCCAGCTTCGGCCACTCCCTCATCCCTCAGATCAGAATGGGCAGGTCCTCCTTGCTCCAAAACCTCACAGGATTTCTGGTGCTCAAGGATGAAGTCCAAGTCCACCTCCTCCTGCTTCGCTCCACGCTGCTTTCTGGTCTTTGAACACACCATGCTTTTTCTGGTATTTACAGGTGCCATCCTCACCTCATCTACCAGGCAAAATCCTCTGATCTTAAAGGAGGCAGCTCCGGGTCACCTCCCCCTTGATGCTTCCCACGATCCCTCTTTGAGTCTCCTTGACCCTCCCTTCCATTCCTCTACAAAATGCATTTCATAGGACGCAAAATATCTATGCACATATGTATCTATCTCCTCATTTCTAAGTGTCTCAAGTCATTGCTGATTCTATCTGAGCCTCAGTCTCCTCCTGTAAAATGGGCACAATAACACCTACTGGAAAACTCGAAGAAAAGTATGTGAAACAGCTCGTGCCAGGTGGCACAATTCAGGACCCACTTCTTACCAGCTGAGCCCCATGGTTCCCTACCCTCTCTGTGCCTCTGTTTGCTCCTCTGAACAAAGCTGGTGATGGGAGTGCTTACCTCACTGGATTGCCGGGAGGATTAAATGAGTTGATAGACATAAGTTACTTGGGATAAGGAGTCACCATTGTGTGCACTTTGGAATGAAGCCTCATTTCCCTCACTCTTGATAATGAGAAGACCCTGCAAACTGCAGAGGGCAGTGCCAGTGGTACTTGGGCCCTCCTGGCCTGAAACAGCTCCAGCAGTGCTTACAGGGGTCTCATGCATTCCTGGAGGGGCGCACCTGGACAGATGTGCCCCTTCCTTCCAGGGGAGAGGATGACAGCTTTTCTCATGAGTGTCTCTGTGCAGGGCCAGGACCAGGGAGCAGGCTCATCAGGAGGTGCTGCCTGGATGACATGATGTTGGCGCTTGGCTGACAGGGGCCCCCAGCTCTCCCCTCTCATTGTGCCCTCTGAGGCCTCCTCCCAGCACACTTGCTCATATTATGGGATGCCTCGGTCTGGTTCTTCCACCAATCTGTTGTGCAACTTCAGAGAAGCCACTCCCCCTTCTCCATCTCAGTTTCTCCTCTTATGAACATATAGCTGGGAGGGAGGATGGCAATAAACCCAGAAGAGTTACTTTAAACTTTAGAGTACGTTACAATCGCCCAAGTCACTACTGAAGATTTCTGGGCCGCAGCAGGGAGGTTGTATGATTTAGGGGTCTGTGGTCCACACAGTGAAAAACCCAGACTGGGTGAAGATGAGGGGCTCTGAAGTGGGTGCTATGAGCTGGTGTGGCCCCCAGACCCCCTCAGGCCTGCAGCACTCAGGCCCTGGCTCCAGGAGTGTTGCAGGCTCATAGCTGGTTGTGGATGCCCCAACATAGCAGCTGCCAGCTTCACATTCCCTTTCAGAGCAGCCCTCATCCAACGCCTGGTCAGGACCCAGCCCCTTGCCTGGGTCAGGGGCAGCTCCTAAGAGACAGATTGAGGCCTTTGCTGTGACTGCATCACAGCTCAACGTCTCTCGTGCCCAGCCCCATGCTCCTCACTCCCCAGTGAGTTCCCTGAATATTCATCTCTGGCTCAGAGCTGGCCTCCAGGAGGCTGGCCTGCAGCTGTGCCTCTCCAGACCCCACATGCTACTTACTGGCACTCCTGGGGCCTCTTGCACGGAGGTGAGTGCCCAGTGCTGGAGGGCTGCAGACAGGCATGAAAGACACTCGCAGTCCAGTCGGAGGCCGACAGGCAACCAATAACTGCAGGACAGTGAGGTCAGGGCTCCAGAAAGGTTTGCACAAACTACACGGAGCACACGAACACGCAGGATAGAGGCCCTAATCCCGCTGGGAGTGACCGACCCACTGAGAGTGAGTTTCCAGGAGAGAAAGCAGCGCTGAGCCTGGCTTTGAGGATCATCAAGATGTTGTCAGGTATGATGTTAGGAGGAGCAGGCCCAGGGCAATGCTAAAGCCAACTTGACTTTACCCTAGAGAAGTTCCCCCTTCTTCTAGGAAACCAGAGGCTCAGGGAGGCTGAGGGGAGAAACAGAGGCAGGGACAAGTGCTCACAGCAAGAAAACATTGTCTGTCTGTTGTTTTGACCCAAGCAAAGCACATGCGAGAGAAAATGGTGCCGAGGCAGTCAGCCAGCGCAGGCAGGAGAAGCAGGCGGGATCTGCGCACAGCCTGCTCCCAGCACAGCCTGGCCGGTGATCACGTGACTGTCTTGCTGGAAGATGCTTTGGCTGGAGACTGAGGAGCTGTGCTACAAAACAGCATGTCTGGGAGCCTTGGCACCATCTCACAGTGGAGGGGCAGACCTCACCTGCTGCAGGGTGGAGGATTCAGCCTGGCCATTGAGCCCCAGAGGCAGAGGGTCCGCACCTGAGCCACCACCTTAGGTATCATGGTGCCACCTGGAGAGTCCCGCCTCCCCAGGAGTATTGATGCTCCTCAGAGAAGACGGTGTGCCATGCAATCAGCTCTGACTAACCTATTGCAAAGTCTATCCATGATCAAACCCTGGTCTGCTGGGCTAGGCCCCGTGCTGGGTCAGGCCCCGTCCTGGGTCAGGCAGATACAGAAGTGCGTGGCATATAGTCCTCGTCCTAAGAATGGGCCAGTCTGGTGGCCTTCTCCTGACAATGGGCCAGAGAGGGAAGATTTAGCAACAAGAGTGGAAAGGCCAAGGATGGAGGCCACACAGGGTCCCAGTGCATTGTGGGAGCACAGCAGGGACGTTGAAGATAGAGTAAGAGTCAGCAGCCAGAGAGTGTGGGTGGGTGTTAAAGGGAGAGCATCTCCACAGGCGGAGTCCTGGAGGGGAAGAGGAGACACAGAGTGAGAGACTGGAGAGGGGTAGAGTCCAGGCAGCCGAAGGCCTGAGCGCTGTACCCTGGGAGCCTCGAGAGGACCTCAGGCAAGCCACAGCAATGCCTTTTCGTGAGGGTCACCGGGGTTTCTGTAGTGAAGATGGCTGCCAGAGCTTGAAGCCCAAGCTGAGGAGCCTTGATTTAACCTCACGAAGAGAAAAAACAGCCGGGCACGGTGGCTCATGCCTCTAATCCCAGTGCTGTGAGAGGCTGAGGCGGGCGGATCACGAGTCAGGGGTTCAAGACCAGCCTGGCCAACATGACAAAACCCCATCTCTACTAAGAATACAAAAATTAGCCAAGCGTGTGGTAGGCACCTGTAATCCCAGCCACTGGGGAGGCTGAGGCAGGAGAATCGCTTGAACCCAGGAGGCAGAGGTTGCAGTGAGCCGAGATCGCACCACTGCACTCCAGCCTGAGTGACAGAGTGAGAATCTGTCTCAAAAAAAAAAAAAAAAAGTGAAAACAACCCAAATGTTCATTGATTAACAAAATGTAGTATATACATGCCACAAAATATTACCCAGCTTTAAAAAAATAAAATTCTGATGTATGTTACAACATAGATAAACCTTGAAGACATTATGTTAAGTGAAAGAAGCCAGGCCGGGCATGGTGGCTCTCACACCTGTAATCTCAGCACTTTGGGAGGCCAAGGCCGGTGGATCGTGAGGTCAGGAGTTCAAGATCAGCCTGGCCAAGATGGTGAAACCCCGTCTCTACTAAAAATACAAAAAATTAGCCAGGCGTGGTGGTGGGTGCCTGTAATCCCAGCTACTTGGGTGGCTGAGGCAGAGAATTGCTTGAACCCAGGAGGCGGAGGTTGCAGTGAGCCCAGATTATGCCACTACACTTCAGCCTGGGTGACAGAGCAAGACTCTGTCTCAAAAACAAACAAACAAACAATTACTTGAGTCACCTACAGCACAATTCATGCTAAGGCCATAGACCTCAGTCCGCTTCTTTTTTTTTCTTTTGAGAAAAAGAGCGCAGTGGTGTGATCTCGGCTCACTGCAACCTCCGCCTCCCAGGTTCAAGTGATTCTCCTGCCTCAGCCTCCCAAGTAGCTGGGACTACAGGCACACGCCACCATGCCTGGCTAATTTTTGTATTTTTAGTAGAGATGGGGTTTTGCCATGTTGGCCAGGCTGGTCTTGAACTCCTGACCTCAGGTGATCCACCTGCCTTGGCCTCCCAAAGTGCTGGGATTACAGGTGTGAGCCACTGCGCCTGGCCCCCTTGATCTACTTCTGTTGGTTCCTCCCATTGACACTTGTCCCAGACGAGGTTGGAAGGCTCTACTGGGGTGGTTGTGGCCCAGTTTCCTGAGGGCAGAAATAGCACCTTCCCTTTTGTTTTCATTACCTCCTGTTAGAAGCAGAAAAATCCTAGAGTGGCACTCCTTGCAAAGTTAAAGTTGCTAAGCTTTTAAAGAATTTTTTTTTTTTTTTTGAGACTGAGTCTCACTCTGTCGCCCAGGCTAGAGTGCAATGGCACAATCTCAGCTCACTGCGGCCTCCGCCTCCTGGGTTCAAGCAATTCTCCTGCCTCAGCCTCCTGAGTAGCTGGGATTACAGGTGCATGCCACCACGCCCAGCTAATTTTTGTATTTTTAGTAGAGACAGGGTTTCACCATGTTGGCCAGGCTGGTCTTGAACTCCTGACCTAGTGATCTGCCTGCCTCAGCCTCCCAAAGTGCTGGGATTACAGATGTGAGCCACTACAGCTGGCTTACAGAATGTTTTGTCCTTTCTCTTGGTTGGATGAGTAGAACAGGAATGGTGGCAAGGGGGAGGACAAAGAGGGGGAGGTGGAGAGAAGATGGGAAGAAGGAGGGATGGAGGATGAGGGAGTCAGAGAGAGGAGGTTTGAGGGCAAGAAGAGAGGATACTCATTTCCCTTAGAAGAAAATCAAGTTTAGCCCCAAACTCCTGAAGCTATGGAAAGGGGGTTGGGGTTGGTCTCTGCCTTTGAGGAATCCTCCCAGGACCTTCCTAGCAGCTGGGTGGGGGCTTTCCGGCTGGGTTGCGACAAGCTGCTTCAGTCAGGGTCCAATCAAGAGACAAACCACACCAATTACCTGAGCACAGAGAATTTCATATAAAGAATTGCTAAGTATAAAGTTGTTAACCAGATGACTAAAAGGTAAAAATGAACTCTAAAGTGTCACAAGGGTAATCATACAGGAAGCATCTACCACCCCTGAGGCTGCGGGAAGAGAGGAAGAGTTTCGGGTTTAAAGGACGGGTCCAGTCTTCTGAGGTGGGCCACTGTTTGGCTGGTGCTGGGGTCTCTGAGCTAGAGGAGGGCTTCTATGGAGCTGGGACCCAGACCTCTGAGGAGGGGATCTGCTTGGCTGCTGGGGAAAGAGGAAGGCAAATTGGGGCTGCTTCTGCGAGAGGTTAGAAAACCAAATACTGGATCCAGCTGCTGCTATCTATCACAGGAGCTGTGGCTGCCAAGGTGAAGAAGAACAGCTACGTGACAAGGGAGAGCAAGTCCTTTCAGCCTCTCAGGCTCCCCACCCCTGCCACTGGCAGAGCCTAATAGAGAGCCAGCTGGTGACACAGAAGTGGGGTTTGCAGAGTTCCAGCCCCAGACCATGGAGCTGATCCTAGAAGTGAGCTTGGAGCTGATGGAGGATATGGTGCTGTGTTTATAGCTCAGTACAGAAGCCTGAGCCTCTTGTGTATGTGGGGGGGCTTGGGGGGGCGGGCGGGTGCAGGCAAGCCTTGCCCTCAGAGGAGAACTATTACTAGGTCTCAGCATCCAAAATATGAGCAAGATTGGGGGGAAAACAATCACTCATAAGTGGACTTCCCAAAATGGCCTTTGTTAACATTTTGGTGTATTGTTTCCAGTCCTTTTGGGTAGTGGGAGAGGGACAGAGTCTCACTCTGTCACCCAGGCTGGAGTGCAGTGGCATGATCTCAGCTCACTGCAACCTCTGCCTCCTGGGTTCAAGCGATTCTTCTGCCTCAGCCTCCCGAGTAGCTGGGATTACCGGCATGTGCCACCATGCCCAGCTAATTTTTGTAGTTTTGCAGAGATGGGGTTTAGCCATTTTGGCCAGGCTGGTCTCAAACTCCTGACCTCAGGTGATCCACCTGCCTCAGCCTCCCTAAGTGCTGGGATTACAGGGTGAGCCAGTCATTTTCTATGCATTGTCTCAAAACATGGCTTTGATATCACATATATGGTTTTACATCTTAATTTCCTTTTTTTGTATGTAAAACATCACTATATGTTATGGATTGAACTGCGTCCCCTGATAAGAGGTTGAAGTCCTCACCCCTAGTATTTGTGAATGTGATCTTATTTGGAAACAGGATTTTTGCAGATGACTGAGATAGGATGAAGTCACTGGGATGAGCCCAATTCCAATGTGTTAGGTGTCCTTATAAAAAGGGGGAATTTGGATACAGACACAAACCCAGGGAGAACGCCATGTGAAGACTGAAATTATGCTGCTTCAAGCCAAGAAACACAAAGAATGGCCAGCAGTTACCTGCAGCTAGGAGAGAGGCCTAGGGGAGGTTCTCCCTCAGAGGCCCAAGAAGGAACAAAACCTACCAACACCTTGATTTCAGACTTTTAGCTTTCAGAGCTGAGGGCAGTTAATTTCAGTTGTTTAAGGCATCTAGTTTGTGGTAATTTGTTATGGTGGCCTCACCAAACTAACAGCAAGCTGATAACAAACAACCGTTTACGTATGTTCCCATGTCGTCATAAGCTCCTCCTAAATACAGTTTTAATTGCATGTAGTACTCCACTAAGTGGATATCATCTCATTTATTTTGCACATTTTTGGCTGTCGTAAATAGCATTGTGTGGATCATTTTTTTGGTCATCATCTTTTCTTTTTTATAATTTTTATTTGTAAAAATGTATGGGGTACAAGGAGAGGGGTAGAGTCCAAGCTGCCAGAGCCCCGAGGGGTTACATGTATATAACGCATAGTAATTTTGTTACACGTATGTAGTGGGTAGTGATCAAGCCAGAGTATTCGGGGTGCCCATCACCTGAGTACAATACATTTTGTAAACTCTATCACCCCACTCTCCTATCAAACAGTGAATTTATTCCTCCTATCTGACGGTGTGTTTGTACCCTCTAACCTATGTCTTTTCGTCTTCCCCTCTCCTCCACACTCACCCTTCCCAGTCTCTGTTATCTATCTCTGCACCCTACTTCATGTGATCAGATTTCTTAGTTTCCTCATGCGAGAGCATGCAATACTTGTCTTTTTGTGCCTGGCTTATTTCGCTGAACATAATGACCTCCAGTTCCATCCATGTTGCTGCACGTGATTTTGTTTATATAAATAAATTTATATAAATTTAATTTATAAACATTTAGTCTTATAAATATTGTAATATTATAAACATTATTTGGCCATAAAAGAGAATAAAATCATGTCAGTTGCAGCAACATGGATGGAACTGGAGGTCATTATCTTAAGTGAAATATATATATATACACACACACACACAATGGAATATTATTTGCCCATAAAAGAGAATTTTAAAAATATAAAATATATAATATATAAAAGAGAAGTATATATTATATATTATATAAAAGATAAAAAATATATATAATATATATATAAAATGTGTTCTTTATCCATTCATCTGTTGATGGACACTTGAGGTTGAGTCCATATCTTTGCTCTTGGGAATAATGCTGTAATAAACATGTAAGTGCAGGCATCCCTTTGATACATTAATTCTTTTTTTGGGGGTTGGGGATAGATAATAGTGGGATTGCTGAATTGAATGGTAATTCCATTTTTAGTTTTTTGAGAAATCTCCATACTGTTTTCCATAGTGGCCACACTAGTTTACGTTCCTGCCAACGGTGTTCAATAGTTCCCTTTTCTCTGCATCCTTGCCAACATCTGTTTTTTTTTGTTGTTGTTTTTTGTTTTTTGTCTTTTAAATAATAGCCATTCTGACTGGGTTAAGGTGATATCTCCGATAGTGCATTTCTCTGATGATTAGTGATGTTGAGCATTTTTTCACATAATTGTTGGCCATTTTTATATGTCTTCTTTTGAGAAATGTCTAATCCTGTCCTTTGCCCATTTTTAAATGGGATTTTTTTTTTTCTGTTGAGTTGCTTGGTTCCTTGTATATTCTGGATATTAGTCTCTTGTCAGATGAATAGTTTGCAAATATTTTCTCCCATTCAACAGGTTGTCTCTTCACTCTGTTGGTTATTTCTTTTGCTGGCAGAAGCTTTTTAGTTTAATATAGTGCAATTTGGTCATTTTTGTTTTTGTTGCTTGTGCTTTTGAGGTCTTAGTCATAAGTTCTTTGCCTAATGTCCAGAATAGTTTTTCCTAGGTTTTCTTCCAGTATTTTTGTAGTTTTAAGTCTTCAGTACATTTTGAGTTGATTTTTGTATATGCTGAGAGATGGGGGTTCAGTTTCATTCTTTTGCATTTGGCTATCAAATTTTCTCAGCACCATTTATTGAAGAGAGTGTCCTTTCCCCAGTGTAAGTTCTTGTTGGCTTTGTTGAAGATCAGTTGCCTGTAAACATGTGGCTTTATTTCCGGGTTCTTTATTCTATTCCAGTGGTCTATGTGTCTATTTTTATACCAATACCATGCTGTTTTGGTTACTACAGCCATATAACATATTTTGAAGTCAGGTAATGTGATGCCTCCAACTTTGTTCTTTTTACTCGGGATTGCTTAGGCTATTCGGGCTCTTTTTTGGTTCCAAATCAATTTCAGAACTGTTTTCTCTAACTCTGTGAAGAATGAAATTTTTTGTTGTTGTTGTTTGTTTGTTTGTTTTCAGACAGAGTCTCGCTCTGTCTCCCAGGCTGGAGTGCAGTGGCACGATCTCAGCTCACTGCAATCTCTGTCTCCTGGGTTCAAGTGATTCTCCTGCCTCAGCCTCCTGAGTAGCTGGGACTACAGGCACCCGCCACCATGTCTGGCTAATTTTTGTATTTTTAGTAGAGACAGGGTTTCACCATGTTGACCAGGCTGGCCTCGAACTTCTGAACTCAGGTGATCTACCCAACTCGGCCTCCCAAAGTGCTGGGATTACAGGTGTGAGCGACCATGCCCAGTCTTGACATTGGTATTTTGATAGTGATTTCATTGACTCTGTAGATTGCTTTGGGCAAGATAGTCATTTTAACAATATTAATTCTTTTGATTCATGATGTTTTTCTATTTGTTTCTGTCATCTTCAATTTCTTTTATCAGTATTTTGTAGTTTTCCTTATAGAAATCTTTCACCTCCTTGGTTAAATTTGTTCCTGGGTATTTGTTTTTAGCTATTGTAAATGGGACTGCCTTCTTTATTTCTCTCTCAGTTAGATCATTATTGTTGTATAGAAATGCTACTGATTTTCAAACATTGATTTTGTATCCTACAACTTCACTGAATTAATTTATCAAATCTAAGATTTTTTTTGGTGGAGCTTTTAGATTTTTCTAGATATCGTATCATTAACAAAGAGGGACAATTTGACGTCATTTTTTTCAATTTGGATGCCTTTTATATTTTTCAATTGCTTGATTGCTCTGGTTAGGACTTTCAGTACTATGTTGAATAGGAGCCGTACAAGTGGCCATCTTTGTCTTGTTCCACTTCTTAGAGGAAAGATTTTCAGCTTTTCCCCATTCACTATGATGTTAGCTATGAGTTTGTTATATATGGCCTTTATTATTTTAAGGTATGTTCCTTCTATGCCAAGTTCATTAAGAGCTTTCATTTTGAAAAAATGTTGAATTTTATCAAATGTTTTTCTGCATCTATTGAGATAATCATACAATTTTTTGTTTGTTTGTTTTTTTGAGACGGAGTCTCACTCTGTTGCCCAGGGTGGAGTGCAGTGGCACAATCTCGGCTCACTGCAACTTCTGCCTCCCGGATTCAAGCAATTCTCCTGCCTCAGCCTCCCGAGTAGCCAGGACTACAGGCGCACGCTGCCACACCCAACTAATTTTTTGTAATTTAGTAGGGATGGGGTTTCTCTGTGTTGCCCAGGCTGTTCTCGAACTCCTGAATTCAGGCAATCCAGCCACCTTGGCCTCCCAAAGTGCTAGGATTACAAGCGTGAGCCACTGCGCCCGGCAATCATATGATTTTTGTCCATCATTTTGTTGATGTGATATATCATGTTTTGCATACGTTGAACCACCCTTGCATCTCTGGTATAAATCCCGCTTATTTATGGTGTATGATCTTTTTGATGTAATGCTGGATTTGGTTTGCTAGTATTTTGTTGAGGATTTTTGTGTCTATGTTCAACAGGGATATTGGCCTGTGGTTTCCTTTCTTTGTTGTGTCCTTGTCTGGTTTTGATATTAGGGGAAATTCCCTCCTCTTCAATTTTTTGGAATAGTTTTGGGAGTATTGGTATTATTTCTTTTTTGTACATGTGGTAGAATTTGGCTATGAATACATTCAGTACTGTGCTTTTCCTTGTTGGAAGACTTTTTATTACTGATTCAATCTTACTACTTGTCATTGGTCTATTCATGTCTATTCTTATTTCCCTTAGATAGATTTCTTTACATGAGATGATTGGGTGAGTTTTTGTAAGGTTTCTAACAAAACAAAACATTTTGCTTGTTATAAATTTAACATATGTTATTTTTGATAATTTCCAAAATAAAGGATAAATATAAAAAATTAAACCACACTTACATTAAATCACACCAGCCAGCAATGTCCCAAGTAATTTTAACCTACTTTTTGGCAATAATTTTTAAGGCTCTCAATACTTACTACCAAATTCCTTTCTATAAAGTTACATTTCCACCAACAAATCTTCCATAAAGTTACATTTCCAGCTACAAACAAAAATTGTATATGAGAAAGTCTATCTTACAGCATCCTCACCAGTAACAAATATTATCACCTTTTAATTTCTTTGAAAATTTGAGGCCGGGTGCAGTGGCTCACATCTGTAATCCCAGCAATTTGGGAGGCCAAGGTGGGCAGATTACTTGAGGTCAGGAGTTCAAGATCAGCCTTGTGAACATGGTGAAATCCCATCTCTACTATAAATATAAAAATTAGACAGGTATGGTGGCGTGCACCTGTAATCTCAGCTACTTGGGAGGCTGCAGAATAAGAATCGCTTGAACTAGGAGGTGGAAGTTGTAGTGAGCCAAGATCGTGCCACTGCACTCCAGCCTGAGCAACAGAGCAAGACTTCATCTTAAAAAAAAAAAAAAAAAACAAAAAAAACTGAATGTTGAAAATCATGTCATAGTTTTACTTGGTATTTGATTTCTTGGGGATTTAATACTTTAAAGTACTTTTTAGCTATTTGTTTGCCCTCAAGTACATTGTTTAATGAAGTACATTGTCCTGGTTAGTTTTTTAAAATCAGGGTCTTAGTGTTTTTCTTGTGCACTTGTGTAAACTCTTTATATACCATGTATTGACTTTTTGTTAAACTGGTTACAGGTTTTTTCCTTTTTTTTCTTTTTAACCTTTTAATATTGATCATTTAAAATGCCTATTTTGTGTATTCACATCTATTGATTTTTCTCTTTGTGTTTTCTTCCACTGCTTTAACTTTAGGTGGTTCTCTCCATTCCAAGCATAAAGTTATTTATATGTCCTTCTAGATTTCTTATGTTTTCATGTTTTTATTTTTAATTATTTAGTTCACTTAAATTTATTTTGGAGAATGATGTGAAATGAGAATTTCAAGCTCAGGTTTTTATCAGCTTCCAAATTCTCCCTGCATAATCTACTGAATGGTCCTTCCCCTTGTGATGACTACTGTAGCATACATTAAGTTCTTATGTACTCTAGAGCTAGTGTTAGTCTAACCCTTCTGTTTCACTGATCCACATGTTCATATTTATGATAGTGCCTTACTTTCCAGCATGATATTTTGTAGTTTTTCTTCATTTCTCACACCCTCTCTACCTATCTATATGAGAAGAAGGCAGAGCAAAGACGAAAACCAGGAAGCCATTTTGGACTACCCAGATGGCAAAATGGCCACCGTGAGCCCAGTGGAGAGAAAATCCTGGGAAGTGTCTAGAAGAGTGTCAGATTTCAGCAGAGATCTTTGAGATAGGATGAAATGGAAGGAATGATAACCATCATGGCAGAAAGGAGCAGGTGGGGTTTGTCAGGTCTACGTGGGGCCAAAGGAACATGTCAGGAAGCAGAGAAGGATTCCAAGAGGCACAGAGACAAATAGGGCATGGCTGTGCCCTCAAGGAGCTCAAAGGCAAGTAAATAAAGATTACAATAGTATGTAATAAGTGTCATAATAAAGATGTAAACTTTCGGCCGGGCGCGGTGGCTCACGCCTGTAATCCCAGCACTTTGGGAGGCGAGGCGGGCGGATCACGAGGTCAGGAGATCGAGACCATCCTGGCTAACACGGTGAAACCTCGTCTCCACTAAAAATACAAAAAATTAGCCGGGCGTGGTAGCGGGCGCCTGTAGTCCCAGCTACTCGGGAGGCTGAGGCAGGAGAATGGCGTGAACCCGGGAGGCGGAGCTTGCAGGGAGCCGAGATAGCGCCACTGCAGTCCGGCCTGGATGAAAGAGCGAGACTCCGTCTCAAAAAAAAAAAAAAAAAGATGTAAACTTTCTTTGGAAGCATGGAGGACATCCACATTTGTCGGGTCCAGAGCAGTCCAGAGAGACTTCAGAGGGAAAATGAGCTTAAGTTGGGCTGGAAGGATGCATAGTAGATTGCCAGGTGATGGTTCGGTGGGGCTGGCAGGCGTGGAGAGTAAAGTTGTAGAAATTCTGGAAGCAGGATCAGATTGAGGAAAGTAGGGAAGCTAGAAAACGCTTGGTGTTTTGGGAGAAGTAGAAGTAGTTCAGTCCAAGTAGTGCCCAGTGTTTTGTGCACAAGCCAGGCTAAGAAGCTTGGTCTTAACTCTGACTGCAATAAAAAGCCACCAGAGGGTTTACATGGAACAAAGAGGTGATCAGATTTAACTTACAAAGAGACCGCTCTGGCAACAGTGGTTAGATTGGATTTAAGAGGAGCAAGATTATAGGAAGACTGTTTAGGAGGTGGCTATAAAAACCCAGGCTTGAGCCAAGGAAATGGGAATGAGTAGTGGTGGGGGTAATGGGTGAGAGAGACAGATCAGATTTGGAAAGCTTGGTCTCTGGGCTTGGAACTTCCCTTAACACTTGCCCATCTGCATGGTTTCCAGCTATAGGGGTTCCCTGGGTGTTACCCCAGGCTGAAGTGACACTCCTCTAGAGCACCATTTATTCTTTCATGCTTAGATGGAAGGTAAGACCATGTTAGGACCACTGAAGGTGTCATCTGGTATGCTCTAAAAAAATGAGAATAAACCAACATTTATTGAACCTTGTCCTAGGAACCTATATCTTCTTAACCCTCAAAGCAACTCTATAAAGAACATACATTTGCTGCCATTTCGTAGATAAGAAAACTGACCCAGGGAGACTAAAAAGTTGCCTAAAGTATATAGAAATATAATTGATTTTTACATATTGATCTTGTATCCTACAACCTTGCAAAACTCACTTATGAATTCTAGTAGTTGTTTTGTAGGTTTCATTGGCTTTGCTAATAAATTATCATGTTGTCTGCAAATTAAGAAAGTTTTGCTCTTTCTTTTCTATCTCAATGTTTTTTTCTTTTCTTGCCTCACTGCACTAGCTATAAACTACAATGTACAATGTACAATGCTGAATAGAAGTTTGAGAGGGGGTTTCCCTGTCTTAGTGATGGTTGCAGGGGAAAAATACCCAGTCTCTCACCATCAAGTACAATGTGAGCTGGTGGTATTTTCTAGATGCCCTTTGTCAGGTTGAGGAAGTTCTCTTCTATTCCTCATTCACTGAGAGCACAGTTAGAAAGGGCAAGTGTAGGATTTGAACTCAGTCTCTAAGACATGAAAGCCTGGGTGATTAGCCCTTCCAGCAGCAAGAATGAGTACTCTTTCTTCATCTGTTGGCAGCTCATTTTACAAAAAGCCACTTTCCTGCCTCCCTGAAAATATTTTTTTAAGCTAGGCAATGGGAGGGAACAGATTTCTCAAAGGCTGTTTCATCAGAAACTTGATGAACGTTCTGTGTTGCTCTCATGTACAGGTTCTTATTTCTCATCAGCTAGACTCTTCATTAATTTCATGTAAGTGGTGTAATTAAAGTAACTGTTAATTGGAGTATTACTGAGGTGCCATTATGGTATGTGACAAGCTTTAATTAGCGTGTGGTCTGGCACTCGATGTTCTCAACGAATCGCTCAGAAACAGAGATTGTTCTCTCAAGAGCGGCACTTGATCTGAACAGAAAGGTAATGCAATCTTAAGGTAATGGGGGGAAAAAAGGAGAGAGAGAGAGAAATAACCTCTAGTGTTTTTATGTTATAAAAGTGGAACTCTTCACTGTCCCAGCTAACAGCACCGTCACAGTGAAATGAACAGTACTGGAGACCACATGCTGGAACTGAAGAATGATGTACAAAGAAACCACCTCCCATTGTTTCAGCACAGACATGTCCTTAGCCAATGTGGCTGCTCTATAAACCAGGTGACCTCTAAAAGCACAGTGACCTCACTATTTCCTCTGCCTGGAATGTCTTGGGAAACTCCTATCCACACTGGGATCCAGGAGTCACCTTATTCATTCTTTCTTATATCAACACGCCTTCTCTCCATCCAATAAGTATTTTCTGAGCACACACTATGTGTCTAAGAGTCTAAGGCTATTAGAAGAAGATGTGATATGGCCCCATCCTTGAGAGGCTCGCAGGGTTCCATGACAGTGTGTTCATGCAGCAGCAATGCTTGCTCCCACCAGGCACTTTCATATGGTGGTAACTGCCTCTCTACCATCAGTATCCCCCATGGATGCTGCAGGGATGTCTTATTCTACTTTGTACCCCTGGGTCTCAAACACCTGGTACAACACCTGAAACATTAATTAACAAGCTGTCAATATGAATCATTCCATTTTCATTCACGACATAAAAATGCATAAAGCAGTGTGGTGGAAAAAAATATTGTTTTAGAATTGAAATGCTTGCTAGCTGGGTAAATATGAATCAATCAGTTGTGTCTTTTTGAGCCTCAATTTTACTCATCTTCAAAATAGGAATTTAAAAAAAAATCACGCAGTTTTGAGATTTATGTGAGGCTCAAATGATACACTTTATACAATTACACATGTTTAACTGAAAAGTGCTCATAAAGTTAATTATTAATAAGTGAGTCTATTAGTTATTAATAAAAAATTTTACCCTGATTCAATTTAAGATTATATCTCAGGTTGAGCTCAGTCACTCACATCTGTAATCCCAGCACTTTGGGAGGCTAAGGCAGGCAGATCACTTGAGGCCAGGAGTTTGAGACCAACCTGGCTAACATATTGAAACCCCATCTCTACTAAAAATACAAAAATTAGCCTGGTGTGATGGTGCACGCCTGTAATCCTAGCTATACGGGAGGCTGAGACAGGAGAATTGCTTGAACCTGGGAGGTGGAGGTTTCAGTGAGCCAAGATCACGCCACTGCACTCCAGCCTGGGTGACAGAGTGAGACTCTGTCTCAAAAAAAAAAAAAAAAAAAAAAGATTACATCTCAAACTTCCAAAGAACATTATTGCCTCTTCTATTCTGAAATTTTTCTAAGAAATCAATTCCCATAACTCAGGAGCTCTTCTTGTAGCTAACACCCTTGTTGGTCAGAAAGAAAAGCTTTAAGATAAAGATTTCCTACAACAAATTCCCTATGGATTTCTATGAAATACAAACTCATAGGTTGTGTTTGTTTAGTTGTTTTAATCAATTCAGATCAGCATTTGGATTAAATGTGCATCAATCTATTGTTTCTACTGCAAAACCAATACAAATAAATCACAATCTATTTAACTACCTAGCTTACAAAATTTCAATTTTAATTTTGTTAAGAAAACATTAACTGAGTTTGTGCCAAGCATTGCACACTAGGTGCTGAGGGTACAATAGTAAGAGAGACATGGCTGGTTTATCAATTAGCCTGCTAAATTGCAACACTATGGCCAGTGGCCAGAAGTCCCACTTTCATGGTAAAATATTGGGAATGAACAGTAAGTTAATGGCAACAAAAAATTAGAGAGGCATTTTCCAGATAGGATGCAATCTAGAAGATTCTTTCTCTCACTTAGAGTCACAAATACCCAATTGTATAATGTTTCACAATCCTTGCAGATTTTGGGGTACTTAGACTATCCACAGTCAAAGCAATGGAAAAAAAGAGCTGCTATACTCTATTGTTTGGGTAGAACACAACTACTCTTCAGAGATTGATCTTAGAGCATTTGCAAATGGAGAGACTGAGAGCACTCCACAGGGAGCTTGTCAGCACTGACACTGGGAAGCTATTGGACTGAAAATGATGAAAAAATATTGTCCAAAGAGAGGAAGAGATAAGCCCCAGGGCTGCCAAGTTGCACAACTTGATTGGGCACCATTCACATTATAGACTCCAGGGGACGCCATTCATACAAACATCAACTTTGCCAGGCAGTGATTCTAGTTTTGGATAAGGACTTTACCCAGTAAAGATAGGATCAGTACTTAACATCAGAACTATTTCACAGTATATACATATACTATTAGCAAATCTGTACATAATTCAATCTGTAAACTAAACCAAGTGGTTGAGTACCAAGTTAAACCCTCAGATACCACCAAAGACAGAAACCTGAACTGGATAGGCATGTAGTTGGATTTCCTCGTTGGGTAGGTCAGTGATCGAGGTCTCATTGAGTTGGTGAAACCAGGCTTAGGTCAGCCAAAATTTACCCTGTGAAACCATTAGAAAAGCAAGCATGGTGTCTTCCCATGTAATTCATGACAATTCTGAATTTGTACATTAAGAGGTTACATATTAGAATACTTGGCACTTTGTCCAATAGTTTCCAAAAAAAAGAAAGAAGCATAGAATTCTGATCAAAAGATTAGTGCTAAGACTTTTATTTGGCTATCAAATTATTCTAAGCCAAGACAAGAGAATTCTATAAATATATTTTATTATGGCAGCCTCTCTCTGACCCTCAGAAACTTCTCTCAATGAACATCATTATTCAAGGCTGCAATTGTCAAACTGCGCATGCACAGATAATAGCTCTTCATTCATTGTATAACTCTCGGTGAGGAAACAGTCTCCATTTCTTTCTTTAAAAGCGCTACGAGCTAGAAAAAAGTGATTGAAGACTGTATCTTTTAAGTTCTCTCTAAAGGGGCATGATTTTCCTGAAGCATTTTCCTTAACCCTGTAACAATCCAGTGTTGCTTCTGCCCAGGTGAGTCTTTCAAACCTTTTTTACTAGGCAGGTATTCTAACATTTTACTTTAGATATAAATCGACAAAATAAATATACATATACCCAAAATAAAATTTCAGTTTAGCCTCTAGTACTCCATTGAGAAAGGCAGGATTGGACTTTATCGATTCTTTTTAAAAAATGGTTATGCCATAATTCCAATGGGACCTTTTTTGTATTAGTTGGGTCCAGATTCCTCCAATCTATTATTCTTGTAATAAATGGAGTCCAAAGTTCTCACTGCAGGAAAAAAAAATAGTTATGCAATGTTTTTTAGATACCACATAATGTTCCAGGTGCTGGAGATTCAGCACTGAGTAAAGAAACAAAGTTTCTGTATTTGTGAAATTTACATTCTAGTAGAGAAAGCAGAATGGACAAATAAATACATTTTAATGTGTCAAGTGATGAAGGGCTACAGGGAAAAACAGAGCAGGGTGAGGTGATAGTGACAGATTTTTTTTTTTTTTTTTTTTTGAGACAGAGTTTCACTTTGTTGCCTAGGCTGGAGTGCATGGGGCAATCTTGGCTCACTGCAACCTCCGCCTCCTGGGTTCAAGTGATTCTCCTGCCTCAGCGTCCAGAGTGGCTGAGATTACAGGTTCCTGCCCCCAAGCCCAGCTAATTTTTGTATTTTTAGTAGAGACAGGGTTTTACCGTGTTGGCTGGGCTGGCCTCGAACTCCTGACCTCAGGTGATTCACCTACCTTGGCCTCCCAAAGTGCTGGGATTACCGGCGTGAGCTACCGAGCCCAGCCCAACAGAATGTTTTTAAAAGCATGTTTTTGGTGTTTGAGGCTTCACGAGCTGTGGGGCATCACAATTAAGAAGATCCTCTAGCTGCCATGAGGAGGATGAATTGGAAGGAGCCAGCATGGCTGAAGGAGGTAGAGGTTTTAGGAGTCTGTTGTAGTTGCATGGGCAATTAGTTCCTGGAGGATGTTCGCTGCCAACATGGAGCCAGTGCTGAAAAAGGAAGACATCAGGAGCTCTAACACAGATGACGGGAATCCCCAGGATGACATGGAGAGCAACCAGTCCAGATTGTAGCAAGTCAGATGTTCTGGGGAAGGGCTGCTTCATAAGGATGAACAACTTGAGAGAGATTTAGACAATCAGCAACGAGTCTGGAGTTGAATTGGTGATAAACACATGAAAACTAAGCCAATGGGACAATTAAACAATATTATATGAGAAAGGAAAAGTATTGAAAGGTTACTACATGGCTCAATTGTGCAGTTTCCACATAATCTCAATAATGTAAGTTGAATATTGAGCTAGACAAAATTATGGCATAACTATATTGGAAAGATGGGGGGAAGAAAAGAATATGTGTGTGCACAGGAAAGAGCTAAACCCTCGTCCTCCATGGTGGGAAGTCAGAGGGTAATACTAAACCAAAGTTCACCAAAAAGCATGTCATCTACAGTCGAAGAGGTAAACTTAAAAAAAAAAAAAAAAGAAAAGCTAAAAGAGGTGCCTCCAAGCACTCTGAGAGTAGTGTCTGCTTTTCTTATCTTTTTAAAAATAACACAATTATAGAATTGTTTGATTCTTAAATCTATGTGCTTGTATGTATAACTTTAATAAAAATAAAAACAAACAATTAAAAAAAGCATTTTTTTAAATGAAAGGACAGAGAGAAAATATTTGCAGTGGATATAGTTAATGAAGGACTTATATTTAGACTATATAAAGAAGTTTACAACTCAATAAGAGGACAAGCAACCCAATTTTAAAACTGGCAAAAGATTTAACAGACGCTTTAAAGAGAAATTACATGAGTGGCCAATGAACACATAAAAAGATGTTCAACATCTTTAGTCATGGGGAAATGCAAATTAAAACTATAATGAAATACTACTACAGAACAAGTGGAATGGGTAAAAGGTTTTTAAAAAAGACTTACAATACCAAGCATTGGCAAAGATGTGAAGCAACAAAATTTCTATATATTGCTGGTGAGAGTATAAAACGGGACAAACGCTTTGGAAAATAGTTTGGCTTTATACAATTAAACATAAACTTTCCTTATCACTCATCAATTCCACTCCTAGGTAATTACCTAATTACCCAGAAAGAATAAAAACACATGTCCCCAGAAAATATTTGTGTGCAATATTCATAGTAGCTTTATTCATAATAATTAAAATCTGTGGGAAAAGCCCATAATGTTTATTAATACTAAGTGAATAAACAAATTGTGTTATGTTCATACAATCAAAAGAACTACTGATACTCGCAACAACATGAATAAATCTCAAAATTATTCTGCTGAGAAGAAAAGAAACCTGACACAGAAGAGTGCATACTGAGTGATATCGTGTGTGTGAAGAAGTTCTAGGGCAGGTAAAGCTAATATATAATGATAGAAACCAGATCAGTGGTGACCTGGGGAGAAAGTGCTGGCTGGTATTGACTGCAAAAGAAATAAATGATGGATATACTCTGTACGTTTTATAGTCCATATAAAATAGGATGTACTCTATATAAGTAAATTGATAGAAACGTGTATGTCCATTGCATATACATATATGGAGTAGATGGAATATAGATGGATACTTCATCTCATATATGGATATACAGTTGACACTTGAATTGTGTGGGTCCACTTATAAACAGATTTTCTTCTGCCTCTGCCACCCCTGAGACAGCAAGTTCAGCCCTTCCTCTTCCCCTTCAGCCTACTCAACATGAAGACAATGAGGATGAAGGCTTTTGTGATGATCCACTTCCGCTGAATGATAGTAAATATATTTTCTCTTCCTTATGGTTTTCTTAATAACATTTTCTTTTGTCTGCTTACTTTAATGTTATAATACAGTATATAATACATATAACATGCAAAATTTGTGTTGTTTATATTATTTGTCAAAGCTTCTGGTCAACAGTAGGCTGTTAGTATTTAAGTTTTGGGGAAGACAAAAGTTATATATGGATTTTCAACCTCATTGGAGGGTTGACACCTCTGACCCCCATGCGGTTCAAGGGTCAACTGTACTCTCTATTTTAATTGGGATAATGGTTACAGATGTGTATGTATTTGTCAAAACTGACCAAATTGTTCACTTAAAATATATGCATTTTATTGTTTGCAAATTATACTGTAATAAAAGTCAAACAATGCTCTAGTTTCTCTTCAGATCATATAAATCTTTTGCCTTTTACTAAAGAGTCCCATGGAGAGGAACACCTCAGACTTTTTAAACTAATTTTTTGAGGTCTCGCTTTAGCAGGGCTAATGATTAAAAAAAAAAGTCAAACACATTATTGAAAGAAGCAAGTTAAAATTGAAGTTAAAAACTGAATATGTGGGCTGGGCATGGTGGCTCACACCTGTAATCCCAGCGCTTTGGGAGGCCAAGGAGGGCAGACCACTTGAGGTTAGGAGTTCGAGACCAGCCTGGCCAACATGCTGAAACCCCCTCTCTACTAAAATTACAAAAATTAGCTGGGCATGGTGGCTCACACTTGCAATCCCAGCTACTCTGGAGGCTGAGGCATGCGAATCTCTTGAACCTGGGAGGCGGAGGTTGCAGTGAGCCAGTATGGTGCCACTGCACTCCAGCCTGGGCGACAGAGTGACTCTGTCTCAAAAAAAAGAAAAAGAAAAGAAATCAGCCAGGCATAGTCCCAGCTACCAGGGAGGTTGAGGCAAGAGAATTGCTTGAACCCAGGAGGCGGAGGTTGCGGTGAGCTGAGACTCTGTCTCAAAACACACACATACACACATACATATACACACACACACACACACACACACACACACACACACACACACACACCCTGAATGGGTGGGTTTAAATGAAGATTAAATCCAAGAGGGAAAATAGGTAAATTGGAATATCAAGAAATGATCTAGAGTGCAGCACAGAAACAAAGAAAGAAAGGCTAAAAGATGTGAAAAAGTGGGTGAGAAGGACTAAAACATGCTCAGACTGGAGTTCCGTTAGGACAGGAGTGAGAAAATGCCCTAACTGACGCCACAGGAGCAGCAGAGACGCATCCTCACTGGACCTCACCCAAATCGCAAATTCATGAGCAAAACAAATCATTGTTGTTTTAGGCCACTAAGTTTAGGTAGTTTTTTATGAAGCAGTAGATAACTGGAATAAGTTGTGATACCAGGAGTGTGATGTCGCCATATTAAAACACACACACACACACACTCACACACATACAACCTAAAAATGTAACATTGGCTTTGGGACCAGATGGTGAGTGGAAGCCAAAAGGGCTTGCAGAGGCTGCTGGTGAGGACTTAAAAGAAATGCAAGAGAGGCTTATTGGAATCTAGAAAAAAGACTCTTGGGTCCAGTAACATAAAGTTTAACAACATTATCACCTGTAATAACATATAAATAGAAAATATACCATGAGTTTGGTTTAATTCTGCACATTGTACTCATAAATCATAACACTACTCTGTACCCCATAAGTATATACAATTATAAACTGACAATTTACATTAAAAAAAAAATTAGAACTAAGTAAAATGGTATGAATAAAAAAATAAAATAAAATGTACCTATTTACCTAATCAACTGATTATCTAGCTAAGAAAATTTCCAGGCAGAGTGCTGCTGCCTGGTTTCTCCAAGTAGTCTATAAAAAATGAGAGAGCAGAGAGATAAAGTAATGAATAACTTTAAAATATAAAAAAGGCTACTCAAGTGAATTAAAACATCCATGCAAAAACCTGCACACGCATGTTTATAGCAGCTTTATTCATAATTGCCAAAACTTGAAAGCAACTGAGATGTCCTTTAAAAGGTAAATGGATAAATAAACCAGTACATAGATAAAATAGCTATTATTCAACAATAAAAAGAAATGAGCCATCAAGCCATGAAAAGATATGATGGAATCTTAAATGCATATTGCTAATTGAAAGAAGCAAACTTGAAAAGGCTACATACTGTATGATTCCAACTATATGTCATTCTGCAAAAGGCAAAACTGTGGAGACAGTAAAAAGATGAATGGTTGCCAGGGGTTTGGGAGGAGGAAGAGATGAATAGGTGGACTACAGGGGAGTCTTCGGGCAGTGAAACTATTCTCTGGTACTATAATAATGAATGGATGCTATTCTACACTTAAAACCCAGAGAATGTATAACACAAAGAGTGAACCCTAATGTAAAACACGAACTTTGGTTGATAATGTGTCAATGCTGGCTCATTAACTGTAGCAAATGCACCACACTGATTGGGATGTTGATGGTGGGAAGGTTGTGTATATGTGGTCAGGGAGGAGTATGTGGGAACTCTCTGTATTTTCCATTTAATTTTGCTCTGAATCCAAAACTGCTCTAAAAAAATAAATTCTAGTTTAAAAAAAATCGGGGGGCAGGACTTACTATGTTTGGAAATAAAAATGTTTCTCATTCCAGCCTCTCTATTATAAATGATATAAATGATTCTCTAATTAAGAATGGCTTTCAGGCAAACAGCAAATTCAGAGCACCGTCACAAGAATATGGTGTAAAGATGAAGCCAAGGATTTAACTCTAAAACCTTTGTTAAAACCTCAGTTAGATTTAAGGTGGTGCACCATAGACCCTTTCAAACACACCAAAGGCCCTTTTAAGGGTCTTCATACTGTGCCTCACTGGCCTTCTCTGTTAAACAACTGGGCTTCTGAAAATTTCACAAGGAGCTCAAAGTAGAGATGATCTCTATGAAATCTGTGGGCATGGCTTTTGTCTAAAGGAGTGAATTTATAAACTGATTCATAAGAAGTCCACAAAGTTTTAAAGGAATTTCATCAGTTTGGACTAAAAGAGACAGCGAGAGTACAAAATACAAAGAAATCTTTGAACTTCTGAACTGCTATTCTTAGAAAACAGGCAGAGAAAACCACTCAACATCAACATCTGTTTGCTGGCCCTGAGCCATCCTAGCTATTCTTTCCTGAGCTGCCTCTGTGCCTCTGAGGCACGCTGTCCCCTCAGACACCTATCCAAACTGCAGACTTGTTTGGATGACAAAATAGATGGTGCTATTGTTTTCAGCCACTAAGTTTGGGGGCAGTTTGTTATGCAGTAGTAGAAAACTGATATTGGGGCCAGGTGCGGTGGCTCACACCTTTAATCCTAACACTTTGGGAGCCCAGAGTGGACGGAGCACACAAGGTCAGGAGTTCAATGGAGACCATCCTGGCCAACATGGCAAAACCCCGTCTCTACTGAAAATGCAAAAATTAGCCAGGTGTGGTGGCGGATGCCTGTAATCCTAACTACTCGGGAGGCTGAGGCAAGAGAATCACTTGAACCCAGGAGGCAGGGGTTGAAGTGAGCTGAGATCATGCCACTGCACTCCAGCCTGGGCCACAGAGAGAGACTCCATCTGAAAAAAAAAAAAAAAAAAAAAGAATAAATAAAAAGAAAACTCATATTGGTTTTCCAGAATTGATGAAAGATATCAATCCAGAAGATTCCAGAAGCCCAGTGAATCCCAAGCAGGAAAACTAAATGAAATAAATAACAAAATACATGATAATTAAACTAGAGAACATCAAAGAAAAAGAGATCTTAAGATACAGTCAGGAAAAATTGTTAACAATGGCTAAACCTTGGGATAAGTGTCATCATGTTCACTGTTCTGTTCTTTTAACTTTTTTTAGTGTTTGAAAATATTCATACATACATACATACAGCCAAAATGTTGTAGTAGGTGAACCAAAAAGAAAAGAGATGACTTCACAAGAGAGAAAATGAAATTGGCACCTGACCTCACAACAGGAACAACGAAAGCCAAAGGGCAGAGGAATAAAATTGTGCTAAGATAAAGAATTAATGTGTTAAGAAGTTTACATAAATAAAAATGAAATGGGTGAATGTCTTTATAGCTTCTGGGTAGGGAAAGATTTCTCAATGAGATTAAAAAAGCATTATCTGTAATGAAAAAATGATCAATATGAAAGTATTAAAACACTTCAGTTCAAAAGGCATCATTAATAGGAAAATCCCCTGCCTGGGTGGCATGGTGAAACCATGTCTCCACAAAAAATACAAAAAAATTAGCTGGTCCTGGTGGCTATAGTTCCCAACTACCCGGAGGCTGAGGTGGGAGAATCACATGAGCCCGAGGAGGTTGAGGCTGCAGTGAGCCATGATCATGCCACTACACTCCAGCCTGGGCAACAGAGTGAGATTGTATCAAAAAATAAAAATAAAAAGGAAAATATAAGCCAAGAAATGAGAGAAAATTGCAGTATATATAACCAACAAAGGGCTTTTATCCAAAATATTAGAAAAAGAGAACTTCATATCAATGAGATAGACAACCTAGTGTATTAGTCCATTTTCATACTGCTATAAGGAACTGCCCAAGACTGGGTAATTTATAAAAGAAAGAGGTTTAATTGACTCACAGTTCAGCATGGCTGGGGAGGCCTCAGGAAACTTACAATCATGACGGAAGGCGAAGGGGAAGCAAGGCACCTTCTTCGCAAGGTGGAAGGAAGGAGAAGTGCCAAGTGAAGGGGGAAGCCCTTTATAAAAATATCAGCTCTTCTGAAAACTTACTATCATGAGAGCAGCATGGGGGAAACTGCCACCATGATTCAATTACCTTCACTTGGTCTCTCCCTTGACATGTGGGGATTATGGGGATTATCATTCAAAATGAGATTGGGTGAGGACACAATGCCTAACCATATCACCTAGTTAAAAAAAAAATAGGCAAAGACCATAACAGATATTACATAGAAGGAAAAACACAAATGTAGAGATTTTCAATCTCATTCATCATCAAGATTTTGCGACCATTCCAATTTAATATTTTCCCATTAAACTGGAAAAAAAAAAAGTCTGACAAGAACAAGTATTAGAGAGGGCATGTGGCAAGAAAAACACTCACACATTGCTGGTGGGAACGTAAACACATACAACACTTTGGAAAACAATTTGGCATTACCAACGACAGCTGAAAACACATATCTTATGTAAGACCCTGCAAATCCATTCCTGGATGTATACTCTAAAAAAAATTCTTGCCTTTCCTCAGCTGCCATCAAGGTGCTCAGTCCTTCCGAGGAAGCTAAAGCCGTGTTAGGGTGAGGTCCTCACTTCATCCGGCGACTAGCACCGTGTTCAGCAGCACCAGCCCCACACTCGCCCCCACCATGGCCTCCATCTCCCGGCTTACCTGCATCTCCTCGGACCTCATTCTGCACAACGATGAAGTGACCGTCACGGAGGATAAGATCGATGCCCTCATTAAAGCAGGCGGTGTAAATGTTGAACTGTTTTGGCCTAGCTTGTTGGCAAAGGCCCTGGCCAGCGTCAACATTGGGAGCCTCATCTGCAATGTAGGAGCTGGTGGACCTGCTCCAGTAGCTGGTGCTGCTCCAGCTGAGGAAGAAAGTGGAAGCAAAGAAAGAAGAATCCGAGGATCTGATGATGACATGGGCTTTGGGTTTTTGACTAAACCTCTTTCATAATGTGGTCAATAAAAAGCTGAACTTAAAATAAATTTAATTTAAAAATTAAAAAAATCTTGCATATATACACAAGACCCAGTGTAAGAATGTTCATAGGTACACTGTTTGTGATTAAAAAACCGAGAACAACAAAAATATCCATAAACAATGGAATGGATTAAAGATGTCATACATTCATACAATGCACTTCCATGTAACAATGAAAATTAATGAAACCCTGTGAAATGCAATAGAACAGATGAATTTTAAAAGCATACTGAGTGAAAAAAAAAGACTTGAAGTGCATAGATAGTATGATTGCTTTAATACAATGTTTAGTCAGGCAAAACAAAGCTACATTGTGTATACACACACACACACACACACACACACACAGGTGGTAGAACTATAAAGAAACAAGGAACTGTTTACCATAAAAAGTAACCATGGATATGGTTACTTTTAGGCGTTAGGGAAGGGGGTGTAACCAGGGAGAGAGCACCCAGGGGGCTGCTAGGGCCATCCCGATGTTCTAGCTCTTGCCTGGGTGATGGGCACACAGGTGCGCACTGCAAATGTATTTATTTTGCTCTACATTGATACACTGTGTTCTTTTGCATGTGTTTGTTATAGTCCACATTTTAAACCAAAGTTGAGAAGTGTGTGTGGTTTTCTCATGGTCGAGGCGCTAGTTCCTCACACATTCAGACAGGGCAGTCTGTCACCAAGACCTTGTGTCACCTGTACTGTGGGGTCTCCCAGCTAATGCCTGTGTTGTTCTGCCCACTCCTCTTTCTTCCCTCCTGCCCAGTGCCCTTCATCTAGGTGTCATCTCTCCTTCTATTGTCTGGAAAGACGATTTGCAAGACCCTAGTTTGGAAGTAATAACACAAGAAGCAGATATGGTTTCGTTCTCTTTGTGTTACTGCTAACCCTCATCTGGAGACGTTTGGATGCCTATGTCTAAAAGAAGAAGGCCAGGTAGTGTGGGAGATGGCAAAAAAGGAAAGCTCCAAGATTACTATTTCAAAGTTTTATCTCATCACATATGTGTCATTTGGATGTCAATCTGGAAGTGACTTATTCAGCCATCAGGAGCTAGGATTTAGCAAAATGACCCCCATCATCAGAATATGAGCAGGACCAAGAGAAAACCAGGTGGATACTCAGCCCTCAAATGGGAGGGAAACAGGATCACTCAGCCCTCAGATTGGAGGGAACTAGGATTAAAAAGAGAAATGGCACAGAAAAGGGAAAGAAAAGTCATTTTCTGTTAATTAAAAACAAACTCCTGATATAGTAGCAAAACTGGCTCCCGATGTAGTAGTGAAAACAGAGCCTTCTCAGCAAAAGGAAGGAAGTTATAGATTTAAAGTTACCTGTAAAAAATAGGTTAGAAAAGAGGTCCTTCTTATGTCAAAAGCAACTGATATGGTTTGGCTACGTCCCCACCCTAATCTCATCTTGAATTGTAGCTTCCTTAATCCCCACGTGTCATGGGAGGGTTCTAGCAGGAGCCAATTTAATCATGGAGGCAGGCTTTTCCCATGCTGTTCTCTTGATAGTGAATAAGTATCATGAGATCTGAGGGTTTTATAAAGGGGAGTTCATCTGCATATGCTCTCTTGCTTGCCACCGTGTAAGATGTGACTTTGTTCCTCATTCACCTTCCACCATGATTGTGAGGCCTCCCCAGCCATGTGGAACTGTGAGTCCATTAACCCTCCTTCCTTTATAAATTACCCAGCCTCGGGTAAGTCCTTATAGCAGCATGGGAATGGATTAATATAGTGACATCCTCCTAGATCAAGCAGGCCCAGGACAAGATAAGCATGGAATACCCGGAAGAGGGGATGCAGGCCAGGCACCCACAGGAAACCAGAAACTTCCTCTCAGGGACAAATATATTCCTTCAACAGACATCCAGTAAATGCTCATGATGTGGCAGGTTCTGTGCTGAGGACACAGTGGGAATCAAATTAGCCATAGACTTTCTGAGGAGTAGTTCCTTTCAGGAGCCTTACCTTTGTAAAGGTTTCCAGCAAAATCCAGCTGGAATTATAAAGTATTAACAGGATCAGATTCTAAACTGATCCCATTCAAGAGCATAACTCAGTCATTCTGTCATTTTTATAAAGTTCTGAGTTAAAGAACTCCTTTAAGTGAAGACGTACATACCGTGAAGCTTACATTTAGGGTCTCTCACTTGTCATGCCTCTTCTAGGGCCCTGGGAACCTCCAGGGAATTTCTGGCATAGTCATGGGCCTTGATAACATTTTCAAAAGAAAGATAACTTAATCCCAATCAGGCAAGACTGTCCCCTTTCTTCCACCTCAACTTCCCCTCCATCACATTTTCCTTGTGTTAGACTACCTCTTTTTTCCAGTTGAGGTTACATTTGGGTTTACTGAAATATACTATGTGATTTAGAGTCCCCTCTGGATACACTGGGTTATTAAAAGCCATCCTGGTGGAGGCGGGCTGGTGGAACTCTCCCTATCGGCCACAGTGCCAACTCCCCACATGGTGTGGCTGTATTACAGTGTACACATGTGTTCAACATCAGAAGTATGTGGGTAGTGGAGCAGAAGCAAAGTTTGAAATACACAGAGCCAGAAGCTAGCCTATGGGAACATCTCCCAGTCAGCACATGTATAAGATTGTAATCAGGTTCTCACTGATGCCTAGTCAAATTTTTCCCATCAAGAATATTCTAGCTCAGCGCGGTGGCTCATGTCTGTAATCACAGCTACTCAGGAGGCTGAGGCAGGAGAATCACTTGAACCCAGGGGGCAGAGGCAGTGAGCTGAGATGGCGCCACTGCATTCCAGCCTGGGCGATAGAGTGAGACTTTGTCGCAGGAAAAAAACAAAAACAAAACAACAACAACAAAAAAAATAGAATATTCTAAATAATACAGCATATACAATTACAAACACACCATATCCTTTTTTCATTTTTGATAGAAGTTGCATGAAATAAAATTCGTCAGAATTCCCCTGTTTATAGGACACAAATCTGGGGTAGTAACACCAATAATCAATATATCTATAATAGTAGAGAAAAGAAATTAGAAATTTTCTCAGGTTTGACCACAATCCTAAAGATTTACATAACTTTCCTAATTGAGTTCTAAAGCTTAAAGAAACTTTTTGGCTGGGCACGGTGGCTCATGCCTGTAATCCCGGCACTTTGGGAGGCCGAGGCAGGGGGACAACCCGAAGTCAGGAGTTTGAGACCAGCCTGGCCAACGTGGTGAAACTCCGTCTCTACTAAAAACACAAAAAATTAGCTGGGAGTGGTGGTGGGTGCCTGTAATCCAGCTACTCGGGAGGGTGAGGCAGGAGAATCGCTTGAACCCCGGAGGCGGAGGTTGCAGTGAGCCTAGATCATGCCACTGCACTCCAGCCTGGGCAACAAAAGTGAAACTCTGTCTCAAAAAAAAAAAAAAAAAAAGTATTCTAAACCTAGAAAAATAAAGCCCAAAGTTTGATCAATTATGTTATAGAAAACAATTATCCGGCCAGGTGCGGTGGCTCACACCTGTAATCCCAGCACTTTGGAAGGCCAAGGCAGATAGATCACTTGAGGCCAGGAGTTCGAGACCATCCTGGCCAACATGGCAAAACCCTGTCTCTATACGAAAAATTAGCTGGGCGTGGTGGCGTGCACCTGCAGTCTCAGTTATTTGGGAGGCTGAAGCAGGAGAATCACTTGAACCTGGGAGGCTGAGGTTGCAGTGAGCTGAGATCGTGCCATTGTATTCCAGCCTGGGCAACAGAGTAAGACTCTGTCTAAAAAAGAAAAAGAAAAAGAAAACAATTGTCTATTTTCCCATAGAAAATACTACAAAATCACATGGGATGCAGCAAAAGAATATAAGAAAAGGGTATTATAACAGTTGTAGGATAATTAATTAATAAAAGTATATTATTTTTCTGGATTTTGAAGTGTTTGTTGTGCTTTTCAGATTTTTTAAAGATTTATAATTTGACGTGATTTCTTTTCTCATTCAGGATAAATGCTCACTTTTGTACGCATTTATTAAATTTGTAATTCTATATTCTTTTTTTAAAGAGGATCTCCCAAACTGCATAAGCTTCAGACACCACAAAAGTGGATCTATCTCTATCTCCAGATGTTATGATATGGGTCAGGTAGACCCCTAGACAAGAGCAGGTAAGATTCTAGCCACCAGGAGGATCAGGCAGGTCAAACCGTGCTTGATGGCTAGGGTATTTCTCCCTACACACACTGCATGTTTAACACAATGAACCTTCCACATAGCCACCTCCCACTTCCCCATACCAGTCACTACAGCTGCTTCATTTCTTCCTAGGAGCCTGGAGAGACAATTCACTTCTCTGATTCACCCAAGGTGATCGCCTGGTCTGACTGAATCATTTACCTGCTGGAGAATTCTTCACTGGCTCCCTGATGACAACTCTCCACCTCTCCTCCCAGGCAGCAAGGAGACGCCAGTGCTGGAAGGGCAGGTCCAGGGAGACAGTGAATTTGCAAAGAGCACAGTATGCCCATAGGCTTTTGTGGATAAAAACTAAAAGAACCATTCAACGGTGACGAAAATAAAAACCCAGGCAGAGTAAGCAATGAGGAGTCCATGTGAAGAATAATTCAGGCATAAAGCAACAGGCGTAAAATCCCAAGGGGAACCTGGAGTGCCAGGAGTGGGAGATAGAATTGAAGGTCATTCCCCAGGTCATTGAACCTGGCCACAGGCATCGTTATCAAAGTGCCCACAGTCTGGGCTGGGAAGCAAGTGAAAATGTTTTAGTAAAGAGAGTTAAGCTGAATCAAACACAGCCAGAATAAAGTCCAGCTTCGTAAGTCTAACATTCAAAGTTCCCAAAATTTGACCTTAATAGTCACTCCCAGCATCACTTCCAACTATGAATGCCCCAGGTACACATATCCACATATCCACACCACCCCCAAAATGAACCATTACTTAGCTTCACCACCCAAACATGCCTCACACTTTGCCCTGTCTCAGTTACTCAGTCACCATTTACTGAGTGTGTTTGGCCAAAATGATGACCTAGTGCACACTAGGCCCCACGCCAGGTGCCTGACAGGCATTCTTGCAGAAGATTAAGTAGTACCATCCCCATTTTTCATGAGGGAAATTACAGACAGTAGAAATCATATGCCCCTAGTCACAGAGCCCAGAAGAGCAAGAGCCGGGTCTGGAATCCAAGTCCTTCTAACTAACAAAACATTGTTCTGCCTCTCCAGCCCCCAGTTGCATCCCAGGGTTGTCTCAGGACTGGGTGGGGTCCTGTGAGAGAAGTGAGCACAGTGATGTCTTCCAAGAGCTCTGCGGACCAGGAGCAAAGGTCCACCAGCTGCCCAGAGGAACAGGCAGTCCAGGCGAGGGAGAGGTGCTCAGTGATAAGTGTTGGGACCATAGGCTGCTGGGTGAGCTTGGAAGCATCTCAAGGGCAGCTGGAAGTTGGGGAGCAAAGTCAACTGTACCACAATATTTGATTTTTGTATCAAAATTCCTATCCTTATAGTTCAGGAACCAGGAAGCAACTACTGGCAACCATCTCAGTGAGCTAAGCACATGTGTGTCACTGGAATAAGAAACATGTGCAGGTAGGCTGAGCACAGTGGCTCAGGCCTGTAATCCCAGCACTTTGGGAGACTGAGGTGGGCAAATCACTTGAGGTCAGCCTGGCCAACATGGTGAAACCCCGTTTCTACTAAAAATACAAAAATTTGCTGGGTATGGTGGTAGGCACCTGTAAGCCTAGCTACTCAGGAGGCTGAGGCAAAAGAATCGCTTGAACCCAGGAGGCAGAGGTTGCCATGAGTCAAGATGATGGCGCTGCACTCTAGCAGGTAAAGGCCTTCACAGTACTCATAAAACTAAAAAAAAAAATTTTTTTTTTTTGAGACAGGGTCTCACTCTATAGCCTAGGCTGCAGTGCAGTGATGTGATCACAGCTCATTGCAGCATTGACTTCCCAGGCTCAAGTGATCCTCCCATCTCAGCCTCCTGAGTAGGTGGGACCACACGTGTATGCCATCATACCCAGCTATTTTGATTTTTTTGTAGAGGCAGGGGTCTGGCTATGTTGCCTAGGCTGGCCTTGAACTCCTGAGCTCAAGCCATCCTCCCCCCTTGGCCTCCCAAAGTGCTAAGATTACAGGCCTGAGCCACTGCACATGGCCTAGAAACATTTCTTAAAAAGAATGTGACCATGAAAATTGCCCAAGTTTGCACAGTATTTGGTGAGGCCCCAGTGTCAATTCTCATTCATCCAAGGACTTTGTAATCATATTGATAACAGCTTGATAATCCCCATGGGACCAATACAAAGTTCAACTTACAGTCTGAAAACTATTCTCACATCTCTTCTCTCACCTATACTCCCACATCAACTCTGTGGTATATGAAAGGAGCCAGTGTCAGACCATGCCACAGATGCAGAGCAGGCCCAGAGAGTGGAATACCTTCCCCAAGGTGACACCACCAGCTTATTTCCCCAGCCTTTTACCAAGTACCTATGAATTATGGTAGACACTTTCCATACATCATTTGATTAAATCCTCACAACATCCTGGGAAATAGAAATTACCCTATTTTAGAATAGTATTTGATTCTAAAATGTATATGGAAGAGCAAAAGGCCAATATCCCAGACAATACTGAAGATGATGAACAAAGCACTGGACTTGTCAGATCTTATCAAATAGCAAGCATTGTCATAAAGCCATGATAATGAAGCCAATCTAGCACTTGTGCAGGGAAACTCAGATTGACTATCAAGAAGACAAGTAAGATCAGACTAGGGAGGCCAGGAGCAGACTCACACACATATATGGAGCTGGATTTGTGACAGAGCAGGCATTGCAAATCAGAGGGGAAAGGAAGCAATTTTCCATAAGTGGTGTTCACACAATTGGTTATTTATATGGCAAATATGGCATTGGACCCCCTACCTCACACCATACACAAAAATTAATTCCAAATGAATTAAAGCTATAAAGTGACAAAACTATAAGATTTAGAATGAAGTATAGGAGAATATATTTTTTATCTTAAGAAAGGCAGCTTTCTTGAATAAGTCTCATAATGTACAAATTACCAAACATACAAGTCATAAAGAAAAGTTAAATACATTTGACTACCTTAAAATGGAAAACTCCTGTTTGATGGATACTATAAAGAGAAAGCATTGATTATTATCCACATAATAAAATCAACTCCATAAGTAATTCAGTAAGACTTCAAGAGCCACTTCACCTAACAAGGATCTTCCATGACAAAAAAAACAGGCAACCTACAGAATGGGAGAAAATTTTTACAATCTACCCATCTGACAAAGGGCTAATATTTAGAATTGACAAAGAACTTAAACAAATTTACAAGAAAAAAACAAACAATCCCATCAAAAAGTGGGCAAAGGATATGAACAGACATTTCTCAAAAGAAGACTTTTATGTAGCCAACACACACATGAAAAAAATGCTCATCATCACTGGTCATCAGAGAAATGCAAATCAAAACCACAATGAGATACCATCTCACACCAGTTAGAATGGTGATCATTAAAAAGTCAGGAAACAACAGATGCTGGAGAGGATGTGGAGAAATAGGAACACTTTTACACTGTTGGTGGGACTGTAAATTAGTTCAACCATTGTGGAAGACAGTGTGGCGATTCCTCAAGGATCTAGAACTAGAAATACCATTTGAACCAGCGATCCCATTACTGGGTATATACCCAAAGGATTACAAATCATGCTACTGTAAAGACACAGGCACATGTATGTTTATTGCGGCACTACTCACAATAGCAAAGACTTGGAACCAACCCAAAGGTCCATCAATGATAGACTGGATTAAGAAAATGTGGCACATATACACCATGGAATACTATGCAGCCATAAAAAAGGATGAGTTCATGTCCTTTATAGGGACATGGATGAAGGTGGAAACCATCATTCTCAGCAAACTATCGCAAGGACAGAAAACCAAATACCACATGTTCTCACTCACAGATGGGACTTGAACAATGAGAACTCTTGGACACAGGGTGGGGAATACCACACAGGGGTCTGTCGGTGGGTGGGGAGCTGGGGGAGGGATAGCTTTAGGAGAAATACCTAATGTAAATGATGAGTTGATGGTTGAAGCAAACCAACATGGCACATGTATACCTATGTAAAAAACCTGCACGTTGTGCACATGTACCCTAGAACTTAAAGTACAATAAAAACAAAACAAACAAACAAACAAAAGAGCACCTTTTATGATCAATAAATGCATAAAAAGCTGTTCAATTTTCTTACTAATTAGGAAAATGCAATTTAAAATTATAATGAGTTTGTCTTAAGATAAATTTTTAAAAATTATAATTTTTAAAAATTATAATAAAACAATTATAAAACAATTTATTTTAATTATAATTAAAATAAAACAAAAAGATACCAATAAAATGGTATTGCCAATACTGACCAGGGTGGCAAAAATTAAAAAGTCTGAAAACATCAAATGTTGGAGAGTTTGGAGCAGCCAGAATATTTACACATAGGAATAAGAATTGGTATAAGTACTTTGGAAAATAATTTGGCATCATCTAATAAATATCGACATGGATTCCAACACACCTGCTCCTTAGTGAACACCCTAGAAAAACTCTTAACTGTGCATGAGGAGATAGCTAAGGGTGTTCCAGCCAGCACTGTTTGTAATAGCAAAACTGGAAACAACCAAAAGTCCACTAACGATAGATAATAAAATGTATGGTATACTGGTCTAACAGAACAGCATGTAGAAGTAAAAATGGGCTGGGGGTGGGCCTATAATCCCAGCACTTTGGGAGGCCAAGATGGGAGGATCACCTGAGGTCAGGAGTTCGAGACTAGCCTGGCCAACATAGTGAAACCCCGTCTCTACTAAAAACACAGAAATTAGCCAGGCATGGCCTGTAATCCCAGCTACTTGGGAGGCTGAGGCAGGAGAATAGCTTGAATCCTGGGGGCTGAGGTGGCAGTGAGCCGAGATCGAGCCATTGCACTCCAGCCTGGGTGATGAGCGAAACTCTGTCTCAAAAAAAAAAAAAAAAAAAAGTAAAATGGAATGACTTACATCTGTTCTTGGATAAGTCTCAAAAACTTTACATTGAAGAAATGAATGAAATCACAGAGAAATACATGAAGTGTGATTCTATTTACCTGAAGTTCAAATTCGTGGAAATCCAATCAAGGTATTGTTTAAGGACACAAATGCATGTGGTAAAATTCTAAATAAAAGCAAGGGAAAAATTAAAGCAAAATGCAGGGTAGTAGAAAACTCTGAGGTGGGAAGAAAGGAGATAGGATAAGCGGATGGGCACAAAAGGACTTTAAAAATAGTGACACAGCTGTGAAATGAACAGTGCTATATACTGCAGCATTATTTGTTATAGCAAAAGAAAAGAAATAACGTAAAAATTCATCAGTCAGGGAGTGGTTAAATAAATTATACTGTGTTCCTAAAATGAAGGCGTGCGTACTTATAAAAAAGAATGAAGGAGCTCTTATGAACAAATATGGAAAAATCTGATATATTATTTAGTAGAAAAAAGAAAGCTTCTGAACAGTATTTATAATATACTACCATTTGCGTAAAGAAAGTAGGAAAAAAATGTATGCTTATATACATAAAATATCTTGGGTGGAACATGCAAGAACCAGAGAAGAACATCAGTTGCCTCTGGGAAGGGAACTAGGTAGGTAAAAACTTGCACTTTTGGTCATGTAAACTAAGTACCTAATTCTAAACTTAAAAATTGTGTTAAATAATTCATGTAAGGTCGGGTGCGTTGGCTCACGCCTGTAATCCCAGCACTTTGGGAGGCCGAGGCAGGTGGATCACCTAAGGCTGGGAGTTCGAGACCAGCCTGACCAACATGGAGAAACCTCACCTCTACTAAAAATACAAAATTAGCTAGGCATGGTGGCACATGCCTATAATCCCAGCTACTCAGGAGACTGAGGCAGGAGAATCACTTGAACCCAGGAGGCAGAGGTTGCGGTGAGCCAAGATCGCACCATTGTACTCCAGATTGGGCAACCAGGGCAAAACTCTATCTCAAAAAAAAAAAATAAATAAAAATGCATGTAAAATTCTAGAACACTCCAGCAAGTTAAAAAAATAAAAGTCTGGACAAGATGAGAGAAGACTGGCAAAATATGTTGTTGAAGCTAGGTTATAGGTGTGTTGAAGTTATATAAAGAAACCTGCAAAGTTCTGGACTAAGACTCAGAGTAAGCACATGTGTTTAAATCCTCTTCACCTCAAGACCTCATGAAATTAACAGAGGATACAGTTTAAAGCTATATTCACAACATAGCTTGCCGTTTAAAATTACAACCATAACAACAAACAGAATCAACCTACAGAGATGGTTCAAAAACTTATAGTGCAGCCACATGAAATAAAATTATGTGGCCAGAGCCCAGGCTCCAAGCTCCAAGCTCCACAGTCTTTCAAAGGGATTTGTTACATTTGGGGGACGAGGGTTTGGGAAAGCATTTCCATTCCATCCCTCTCCACTTGCAAATGGCGGCTGGGTAAGGTAATGGGCAGGTCCTACCTGTCCTAGGATAAGAGCAAGGTCTCTTTCCCCAGGTTTTAGTTGACTGAACTCAGAGGGCAGAGAAAGTGTTCACACCCTGGAAGAGGAGTCATGTGTCAAAATTGAAACAGATCACTATTTTTAATACCAAAATGCTCGAAACAATCCCTATATCCATCAATAGGGAGCCAGTTGAATAAACTGTGGTATATCCACATAGCAGAGTATTACACAGCTGCAAAATAAGAACTATCTCTATAACTTAAAATAGACACATCTCTGAAATATATTATTAAGTGAAAAAGCAAAATGGAGGGAATCATGTGACACTATTATTTATTGAAGAATAGGGTAGATTGACTATATATACCAATTTGCTTATATGTAGTTTTCTAAATGAAAGAAATAACAAAAAATGGCTGAGCACGGTGGCTCATGCCTGAAATCCCAGCAATTTGGGAAGCCGAGGCCGACGGATCACCTGAGGTCAAGAGTTCAAGACCAGCCTGGCCAACATGGTGAAACTCCGTCTCTACTAAAAATACAAAAAATCAGCCGGGCCTGGTGGCTCGCACCTGTAGTCCTGGCTACTTGGTGGTGGGGGGTGGCGGGGAGGGTGGAGGGAGGTGGGGGGAGGGATCCTGAGACAGGAGAATCTGTTGAACCTGGGAGACTCCTGGGCCAAGATCGTGCCACTGTGCTCCAGCCTTGGCAACAGAGTAAGACTCCGTCTCAAAAAAAAAAAAGAAATAACAAAAAACTAATGAAAAGTTTAACCTATAGGGGAAGGAGAAAGCATGGAGAAGACACAGAAAGCAGACATCTCTGAATATATACCATGTTTAGTATATTCTATTTTGGAACCCTGTAATTATTTTACATAAATAAATTAAACTAAATTAAACGTAGCTTAAAATTTTTTAAAGCAATCTCAAAATTGGAATAAAAATGAAACAAGTGGATCTAATTGCTGGTGGCAAAACCCCACAGAGAGGAATTCTTTCCAGGGATTTCAAACCACAGTAATTTGATTGCATATCCCCAGTGGGAGATCCCTTGAGAACAAAAGGAAACTGCAAGCAATCTTAGCTTCTTTTCAGTAATTGTACATTTGTGGTAATTGTTGGCATTGTTTTTGGAGACTGCAAATAAATAATTTGAGTGAAGTTAATAGAAGTCAAGGTTTTTGGCATCAGTGAAAAAAGATACGTAAGTGTAAGATCAATGAAATTAAATAGAAGGCCCTATAGTCTTACATTTAAAGCAGAACTATCAGTTTGAACTCATGATGTGTTTTAGAACAAGAGGAGGAGAAGGAAGAGGAAGAAGAAGAATGAGATGAAGAAGAAAAAGAAGGAGAAACCCATATATCCTAGTTCTGTCTACCAAAAAGGCTTAGAAACTATGAAACAATAAACACATGGACACAGGAAGGGGAACATCACACTCTGGGGACTGTTGTGGGGTTGGGGGAGGGGGGAGGGATAGCATTAGGAGATATACCTAATGCTAAATGACGAGTTAATGGGTGCAGCACACCAACATGGCACATGTATACATATGTAACAACCCTGCACATTGTGCACATGTACCCTAAAACTTAAAGTATAATAATAATAAAATTAAAAAAAAAAAAGAAACTATGAAACAATAGGTGGGAGAATTGCTTGAGCCCAAGCTCAATAGCAGTGGGTATCCTTGTGGTCTAGATTACGGTCATGAAACATCATTTATCTCTAAAAGAAACTAAGGTTCTCAAAGGAGCCCATTTCTTCAAAAAAAAAAAAAAAAAATTCTGTCCACTTTGAGGACAGAAAGTGCACAAGGGAGAAATCATATAGAAAATGTATTATTTGAAACATACCCCAAATTAAGGAAGCTATTAATGAGATCATTTTTGAAGTACTTAGGAAATAACCTGAAGAGGTTCCGTGGCCAAGGATGGGATAGCTTGAACATCAAAAGAACAATAAAACCAGATTTAATGAAAACACACCAAATGCACTTAAATCCACAAGTTCACAATGATTCTAAATAAATTAAAAAGCACAGAAACAAAAATAATGGATTACTTTGGAGGAATCGAATTAACATACACACTGTTTTGAACACTGGCAGATGCAGAGTTAAAAGACAACATTTAACCTGCCTTTCCCATGCATCCTGGGGTAACCAAGTAGCTGATGATGAGATGTTTCTCTCTATAGAAATATTCCGGTTAATAAATAAAGAAGGACTAATAGAACATAACCATTTTGCGACCCTTGATGAAATAAAAGATCTAGGTAACGACTATCAAAAATTGCAAAAAGGAGAGAAAATCAGGTATTATGTACATCCAAATGGAAGTATACATTCCTAAGTATGAAGTATGCTTGTGATAGGTAAGTAGATAATAGGTAGATGATGGATGGATAAATAGATGGATGGATGGATGGATGGATGGATGGGTGGGTGGATGGATGGAAAGTTGGAATTAACCTGAATCTGACCAAGTCTCTAGACTTAACAATCATTGTCCAGAAAGTAGAGATGGACAAACAGATTAGAGGACATTATATGGATGCAATCAGCATGATTTGGTTTGGAAAGCTCCACAGGAGACATACGCTGGTGTCTTCAACAAAAAAGAAGAAATTTTTTTAAAAATTAAAAGAAGAAAAGGAAGGGGATTTGATAGATTAAAAGACTGAAAAGATATGTCAAACAATTGCAATGATGGTTCTTATTTGGGTCTTGATTCATTTAAACAAATTATAATTTTTTAAAAAAGAAATCTTTATGGGCCAATGAAAATTGAAAATTGATTAGATATTTTATAATCTAAGGGATTACTGTTAAATTTATGATATGATAATGATATTGTGGGGTTTTTTGTTTTATTTTTTAAAGAGTTATTTTCTTCTAGAGAGGAATATGGAAATATGTATTGATAAAATAAATTCTACATGGAAAACATTTGACACAAAAAGAAAACTAAATACATTGGGAAAAATACAAAAAGCTCATATCTACAATGTTTTTGGGATTTCTTCAAATTGACTTAAAAAAGAGCAATAACCCAGCTACAGTGGCCAACCATCCTGGTTTACCTGAGACTGAAGAGGTTCTCAGCACGAGACTTTCAGTGTTAAAACTGGGTCAGGCCAGGCACAGTGGCTCACATCTGTAATTTCAGCCCTTTGTGAGGCTGACAGGATGAGAGCTTCAGCCCAGGAATTAGAGACCAGGCTGAGCAACACGGCAAAACCCCATCTCTACAAAAAATTTAAAAATTAGCCAGATGTGGTGGTACGTACCTGTAGTCCCAGCTACTCAGGAGGCTGAGGTGGGAGAATTGCTTGAGCCTAAGAGGTCGAGGCTGCAGTGAGGTGTGGTCGCAGCCTGGGTAACAGAGTGAGATCCTGTTTGAAAAAAAAAGAGCAAAGGGCAAAAAACTAAGAGTTGCATATGAAAGAAATACCAATGAATACCACGGAAAAGATGTTCAATTCCATTCATAAGATGAGATATACACATTTGGTTTATAAAAAGATAGTGGTCTTCACCTAAAAAAAAATAGCAAAAGTTAAAAGTCTCAGTATATACTATATTTGTTGAAGCTGCTTCAGGGAAAGAATCCAGCCTTGATGGTAGAAGTATAAATTGATACCACCTCTTCATTTGTAATACAGCTATTAAAGTAAGTGCCTATACCCTTTGAACAATCCAATTTTTAGAAATTCATCCTACAGGACAAAGATATAAGTACCGGGATCTTCATTTATGGTATAATTAATGACAAAAGACTAAAAATGACCTTATCTTCAGGAAGAGAGGACAGCTTGAATAAATTACGTGACCAGGTGTGGTGGCTTATTCCTGTAATTCCAGGACTTTGGGAGGCCGAGGCAGGCAGATCACATGAGGTCAGGATTTTGAGACCAGCCTGGCCAACGTAGCAAAACCCTGTCTTTACCAAAAATACAAAAAAAAAAAAAAAAATAGCTGGACATGGTGGTATGTGCCTGTAGTCCCAGCTACTGGGGAGGCTAAGGCAGGAGAAGAGAATGACTTGAATCTGGAAGGCAGAGGTTGCAGTGAGCTAAGATCGTGCCACTGCATTCCAGCCTGGGTGACAGAGCGAGACTCTGTCTCAAAAATGATGATAATAATAATAAATAAATTATGTAATGCACATAGGTTGACTACAATTATGCACTGAAAATGTGGGTCTGTAAGTTCTAGTATGATGCTATCACCAGCAATCACAGAGTAGAACAGTGTGTAGTGTGCCAATAAAGGCAGTATGTCCATATGCATACATCAGGGCTTGGCAAACTTTGCCTGTAAAAGACTAGATATGGTAGACTTTGTGTGTCATCCAATCTCTGTCACAGTTGGACATGAGTGGAAATGATATGGGTCATTCCTGGGCCAATGGAGTTAAGAGGCAGGTGCCCCATCTTACTCTCATTCTCTTTCCACTGGCTTGATGCCCATGTGTAGATGAAGGGACATGATTAAAGATGCAGAGCCACAAGACAGAAAGAGCCTGCATCTTGAATTAGAGCTTGGAGGGGAGTCATGAGGAATATCCATTTTGTGCTTTACATGGGCATATCCATTTTGGACTTTGCATGAATGAGAAAGAGACAAAAAATCAAGCCAGGCACAATGGTTCACACCTGTAATCCCAGTGCTTTGGGCGGCTGAGGCAGGAGGATTGCTTGAGGCCAGGAGTTCGAGACCACCTTGGGCAACATAGCAAGACCCTGTCTCTACAAAATATAAAAAAATTAGCTGGGTGTGGTTGTGCACACCTATAGTCCTAGTCGCCCTGGAGGCTGAGGCAGGAAGATAGTTTGATCTTAGGAGCTCTAGCCTGGGTGACAGAGCAAGACCCTGTCTCTAAAAGAAAAATCACACTTTATTTGAGCCACTATACTTTTTTGGTTTATTTGTTAATAACCAAATTATGACCCAATCAATAGTAGTTGGCTTTACCCAATGTAGTACACACATAGCTTTTAATAGACATATTCATAACCTTGACCCTAAAAGAAGAGAGTGAGCTTTTTCTGGTGAGTTCCTTTATCAACCAAAATCAGATGATGTGCCCAGGATGTGGTGATTCAAGATCAACCTTTTCTTCCACCTGCTTATTAACTCTCCAGCTAACATGGGAGGCAGGCGGGGCACCTATTATTGTTCCCGTTCAGCAGTGCAAAACTGAAGCTCAAATAGGTGAAACGACTTGTCCTCACTCCTCTTGCTTGACCAGAGACAATATAGTGTCCACTAGGATATTTTAGGATGCTTATCTTTGAGAGTGGTGGGGACAGAGTTGGCCTAATCTAGAAGCCTCCATCATCAGTGAGCACGTGCTGGAGACCACGCCTGTTGAGAAAGTGAGGCTGGCTCTCTGGAGGAAACTTCATCAGGATTTGACTTGAGGATTGACCTAAAATGGCTGCAGTATCAACAGGCACAGAAACCACTTGGGAGACAGCAGGGTGTCTGGGGGAAGAAATCACAGAAACCTCTCAGAGCGAAGCGTCTGTTTTCATACCAGCTGCAAAGTGCAAAATGATATTAAATTGTCAGCATCTTTCCCCTGGTCTAAAGAATGTGAAATCCTATCCCAATCTGTCTGTCGTCAGATCTGCTGTGGGGCTAGGGGCCAGAACACAGAATGTTACGTGCCTAGAGCACCACCATTTCTCAGCTCTGGGGGCCGGGGCGAGGCTTCCTTGCAGTGCTCTGAATCTCAGTTTTCTCATGTGTAAAGTGGAGAGACTTCAGAGCTGGGAGGTTTGTGATGAGGATTAAAAATATGATGTGTCAAAAAAGCTCTGTAAGCTGTGAAAGTCTCAACTAATGTTATCTCATTAAGTGAGATAATAGATGTAAAATATCCACCTGTTATGTAAGTAGGTGGTCAACCTAAAATAGCTTTCACTTGCTGTCTGCATTATACCTACTGTGATGATTACTTTTACCAAGCCCACCCCATGATGGGAAATCTTAGAGGGTATTAGTGTCCCTTTTCATCCTATGTTATTATTTATTACATCTTTGTGGCCAACTGTATTTTGCAAAAATGGCCAAAGCAATATTTTCAGTCTCACATGGTTGTCCAGAAACTTGCTACCCCCTATCAAAAGTTAGAATCTGGCCGGGCGTGGTGGCTCATGCCTGTAATTGCAGCACTTTGGGAGGCCGAGAAGGGTGGATCGCCTGAGGTCAGGAGTTCGAGACCAGCCTGGCCAACGTGGTAAAACCCCATCTGTACTAAAAATACAAAAATGAGCCGGGCGTGGTAGCGCATGCCTGTAATCCCAGCTACTTGGGAGGCTGAGGCAGGAGAATTGCTTGAACCCAGGAGGTGGAGGTTGCAGGGAGCTGAGATGGCGACATTGCACTCCAGCCTGGGCGATAAGAATAAAATTCCACCTCAAAAAAAAAAGAGAGAATGTATTTTCCCTCCCCTTGAACATGGGTGGGACATTGTGACAGCCTGTGGAATAGAGTGTGGTGGATGTTAGGTTCATGATTTCTGAAGCTAGTTCATAAAAGACAATATAGTGTCCACTAGGATGTGTTAGGATGCTTATCTTTGAAATCAGCCACCATGCTGTGAGGGAGCCCAAACTAGCTCACACGCAGAATCCCATAGGGAGGAACCGAGATCCCCAGCCAACAGCCAGCATCAACCACCAGACATGTAAGAGAACAAACTTTAGATGATCCCAGGCCATGTACTTGAGTTTCCTCCTAGTTAAGACATCATGGAGCAGAGCCCTTCTCTGCTCAGCTTGCTAAGGAGGATGCAGATAACAGAGTCTCTTACCTCTGTCACCTGCCTGAATTTCCAGTCCACAAAATCAGCACACAAATGGTTGCTTTACATACTCACTAAGTTTTGGGGTAATATTTGATGCAGTCATAGAAACTGGAACACTCCCCCACTGAGCCACAGACTTCTTGAGGAGAGAGACTATTTTTTTCCTCCTTAGCAAGCTGAGCCCAGGAGCCCTCAGGGTCTGGGTCGTGACCAGTCCTTCCTTAAGGACATCCACCTCCCTTTCTGTCATGTTAGAGTGCCTCTATGCTCTGGGAGGCCTGGACTTCTGAGATGCGCAATGTTTGTAATTCATTGATTCTGTCAACAAATATTTATTGAATATTGGGGGCAAAATGCTAGGACCGAGATAAGAACAAGCCAGACGGGGTGACTGCCCCCGGGGGCTTACAGTCTAGGTGGAGGTGTGGGGGGGAGATTACAAAATGAATCCAAATTGTGATGCTTACTGTTACAGGAGGAGCACAGGGGCCCTATTTGGGTAGAGTGGCTGGCAAAGGCCTCTTCGAGAGAGCGACACTGACTCAGAACGATGAGCGAGCCTCAGGCAGGGTGGGGACAGGCGTGAAGAACACTCCAGGTGGATGGGACAATGACCGCAAAGGCTGTGAGCAGAAGGAACTTGGGATGTTTGGGGAAAATGAAAGAAGGCAAGTGTGGGCCGGGCGAAATGGAACACGCCCGTAATCCCAGCATTTTGGGAGGCCGAGGTGGGTGGATCACCTGAGGTCAGGAGTTTGAGACCAGCCAGGCTAACGTGGTGAAACCCTGTTTCTATTTAAAAAATACAAAAAATTTGCTGGGCATGGTGGTGGGCACCTGTAATCCCAGCTACTCAGGAGGCTGAGGCAGGAGAATCGCTTGAACCTGGGAGGTGGAAGTTGCAGTGAGCCCAGAATACGCCACTGCACTCCAGGCTGGATGACAGAGTGAGACTCTGTCTCAAAAAAAAAAAAAAAAAAAGAAAAAAGGCAAGTGTGGGAGCCTGGTAGGCCAAGGCAGGCTGGAAGCCAGAGATGTGAGAGGGGTGGGCTGTGGCCTGGTAGGCCTCGGAGAATTGCTTGAATTTTCCTCTAAAGGCAGTGGGGAGCCATAGGAGGCTTTCCAGCACATTTGTTTCACTTTGTGAGTTGCCAAATAGCTCCTTGGTCTCACTTTCCAGCACTGGCTGTGCCCAAGCAGAGTGGTGACGGGGCCCCCTGTCAACATTTGTGTTCCCACAGGTCCTTGGTGGGAATGAGGAAATGCTGAGTTTGGTCTCTACAGAGGACACATAGAAGGCAGCCCTCACCTGTGAAACAGACGCACAGGGTAGGCTGGGTTGCCAGGACAGGCAGCATTGGATCTGAGTTACTGGGGAGTGGCCAGTCTGTGGCACATTCTCTCTCTCTTTCTCCCTCTCAATCACACACACACACACACACACACACACACACACACACACACACACACAGCCAAAAGTAGCTAAACAAGAGAAAAGGAGCCTCTGAACAAAGCTGTGGCCTCCGAGTGCCATATCCTTTCTCGCTTAAAAAGCCCCTGGCCCCTCACTGAGAGCTTGCCTGCTCTTACTTTGTGCCAAGCTCTGGCAACCCTGGTTCTCTGCAGTGAGACGCCTGAGGGTTCCCCACACAGGGCTGTACCTGCCTCTCCAGGAGCGGTTCATGCTCTCGGGTTACTTATACTCAGTGTCCCTGGATTAAGAAAGTAGGACATCTGTAGCACGTTTTATAATTGTTTCTATTCAAAATGGATAAGAGAAAATGTTGGTGTTTAAAGCAGCAATAATAAAGATGATGATAACAACCCGTGTTTGTATTTCTTGGTGCGTGCTGTTTGCAGGCACTGTATTCATCTATGACATCCCTGCCACAGGCCCCCGAGCTCTCCAGCTGGGGCAGCTCTCTGATGGAATGCCCCTCTCCTTTAGCGCCCTATCTGCAGGCACACACACACACACACATATACACACACACGCAGCTTCCCAGGAGTGTTCTCATGGATGCACACAGACGCTCCTTCTTACCCTTTCTGAACCCCCCCAAATACAATCCACGTTCTGTGGGAGCAGGAGCTAGGGAGCAGCTGCCCATGGCCCTTTCCCTGCAGGGGCTATGGATGTCAGGAGTGTGATAGCCTCAGAGCCATCCCTGGCATCTGCTTCACTCCAAGGGATGGTGGCCGGGCTGGTAGGAGTGGGGCTTGGGTGCTGCCCCTCGCATACTGTGTGGCAGTCTGTCGGCTCATCTTCAGAGTGTGGTCCCCGTCCCAGCTGTTGCTGCCTGAATTGTGTTTTCCCACGCCCAGGCCTGCCCAAGCTGTCACCAGCTGTGACCAGCTGTCAACCAGTTGTTAGTACTCTGCTTCCCTCCCTGCCACGTGACAGCACTCATCGTCAGCTAGACCCCAGAGGAGTTTTCCGACAGGCAGACTGATAGGCAGATGGCACTCAGTGCCTGAGCACCCTGCAGTCAGGGGGACACCCATGGCGAGACAGCCGTGGAGGTGAGCCAGAGAGACAAACACCCAGAGAGACAGGGATGGAGGCGGGATCACAGAAAAAGAGATCAACCAGAGAGGAGCAGAGCGGCATATGGAGACGGAGAGAAAGCGTGCATGCGTACACACACACGTACACACACACAAGAGAGAGAGAGAGAGACATAGGGAAGGAAGGCCATCCTGGCCAAACAATGTAGCAATAACTCGTTTTCTATCAACTGTGGATCCCGGGAGCCACGGCACCAGGAGTGTTGCTAGTCTGCAGCCCCAATACTCAAAGGGTGGTCCCTGAACCAGGACCAGCAGCATGAGCGTCCCTGAGAGCCTGTTAGAGCCTCGGGCCCACCCCAGGCTATCCGCATCTGCATTTTTACAAGAGCCTAGGCGGTTTATATGCACATTAAGCATTAGAAGCCTACTCCAATCCGAGCTGGCCTCTTGGCTGCAAGAAGTTTGAAGCTGACGTGTGCAGCGTGTACACTTTCTCTCCTGAGTTGTGAACTGAGCCTCAGGAGAAGCCACAATGAAGGGGTGTTCTCTCTGGCTCTGAATAAAGACCAAGGAAGGGGCCTGGCAGCCAGTGTGCTGCCAACTCTGCCCCTACCCTGCCATCCTGGCCCGACCCCCGCCATCCTGCTCCCGCTCCTTGCTTTTGCCCCCACGGTCCTCTCCGTCTACCATGCTGTTGTTTCCTCTTCCAGAAGATCCAGTACTTTGCTTCCTTCCACACCCAGTCTCGGGCTCACCAAGGCAGGAGGCCTTCTTGGGCAGACCCGGAAGATAAAGCTGTTCCCTCTGCTCCCACTGTAATGACAGTCACAGTGAGAATCGCCACCGACAGGCAGCATGTTTTCCACATTCCCAGGCTGCTTTGCTGATTTTTCTCACTCAACTCTCACAGCTGAACCAAATGAAGCCCTATTATTATACCCATTTTACAGAGGCAATCATCAAGACTTAAAGGGTGAATCTGTCCTTCGTTCAACAAATGTTTAGGTGTTTCCAAGTATGTTCCAGTTTAGGGGACCAGCTAATTGAGGAGCCCCACCCCCATCCAGGCTGCAGCTCCCAGATGGTGGACCGCAGAGGCTGGAGCAGGCCATGTGCAGAGGAGGGGGCAGGAGCCCAAGAAGCGTCAGTTGCCTCGCCAGAGATAAGGTTGCTTTGTTCTCCAGGCTGCTTCCTGCACTGGGGAATTCCATTCTGGCCTGCAGGCAGGTGGCTGCCTCCTCAGTTCTTGCACAATCGGCTCTGAAACATCTAGAATGACAGTTATTATGTATTTATGAACTCAGGATCTTTATGGTTTCACAAACTAGGTCTCCCCCTGAAAGAACCACCCATCCCCAGCTCTCAGTCTTAGCCCCCCAAAGGGCCCGCTCTGCCCTCAGTCTGTCATTGCCTGAAGCTGGGCAGGGTGCAAGCGTTCCCCACTGGAGACCTGCAGGGTGGCCCTGGACAGAGAGATAGGAATGCCAAGGGACGCCCCTAGCCCTGGGACCCGCAGGCCTGGGGTGGAGAGAGAAGACACCTCTTATCCTCCTATCATCTGGGCCTCCTAAGCCAAGTGGCTTTACCCGTTTGGAACTCAGTTTTGCAGGCTGTAAATGCGGACAATGGTCCCAGCACTGCCTACCTACCGTGCTAGGGGATTCTGAAGAATGTGAAAATTCTAAAGTGCTGAACACATGGCAGGGCAGTTATCCTGATTCCTGTGGGGCAGGGACAGCCCCCCGCCACCCTCGCTAGAGAAAACCACTTCCAGTTTTTATCTTGTAGATTATATAGGCAGCCATTGCTTAGGGAACAATTTACATTATACTGATCACAATTTCCACTTTTGAAAAATCTTGCTCCTTGTAGAATTTTCTACTTTCTTGTTATTAAGAACAGGCCCTAGCTTGCAAGTGGGAGCTCAATGTAATCTTTAGGGATGTAGTTTGAAAGCTAGAAATGTATGGTAATGAAAAGACCTTTATTACTAACATTTCTGCAGGAAAAATAACTTTATTTTTGCTGGTCTGACACTCTCACAAAAACAGTTACTTGTAGAATATGATTTCTGAGATTTCATATTAACATCTTGCTCCTGATTTTGCAGAACAGCCTTCTTGGCACCCCTCCCAGCAGCCCCATGAGGTAGCTACTGTCTCCATTCTCCTGCTAAGAAAGCCGAGGCCCAGACAGGAGATGTAACTTAGCCAAGATTGCATAGTTGGTAGAAAGGAAGGAATTTGAAGGCAGGACCGTGGGTCTCCAGAGTGATATTTTCCACTGCAATGCTCAACCCGTTCTCTTCTGTAGAGAAGGATCCCTTCACGGCTTCACCCCGATAAATACCAGATGACACAGACAAGCAGAGGTGAGAGAATTCTGTCAACTGTGAAGTCCTACATGTAGGTCAGAGCTTTTTATATCAAAGCTCTAATTTATTACGAGTCATTTAGAGCTTGTTATTTCCTTCACCAACAGAGCCTTGCTTTTACAGAAGGAACCACCGCAGGGTTCCTTGAATAATGAGTGTTTAAGATATTACTAAACACAACTTTCCAGAAGCACAATCTGCCGGAGGGAAGTGAGGGGCACTTTGGGCAGGGAAGTGAAATCTCTGGAACAGTGGATTCTGCACAAGCAGAGGAGACCTACTGAGACCTACTCAAAAGGACAAATGCTTTTGGTTACCCCAGCCTGTTTACAACCCTGCAGCACCAGCTCATTTTTAAAAATCTGTATCTGGCTGTCGGGCACAGTGGCTCATGCCTGTAATCCTAGCACTTGGGGAGTCTGAGGCAGGTGGATCGCTTGAGCTCAGGAGTTCACGACCACCTGGGGCAACAAGGCAAAACCCCGTCTCTACTAAAAATACAAAAAGCTAGCCAGGCGTGGTGGTGTGCATCTGTAACCCCAGCTACTGGGGAGGCTGAGGCACAAGAATTGCTTGAACCCAGGAGGCAGAGGTTGCAGTGAGCCAAGATTGTGTCACTGCACTCCAGCCTGGGCAACAAAGTCAGACTTTGTCTCAAAAAATAAAACATAAATTAAAAATAAAAAATAAAAAAAAAAAACCTGTATCTTATTTATCATCACTTATAGTAAATGGTGTTTATGGTAGGGTCTAACAGAGTTATTATTCCAAGGACACTCAAAAAGTTTTCATAACCTGCCCAAGGTCCTATCTGCAAGCATCTCTTAATAGTCAATGCACAACAATATGGTCTAGCAATTCTACTTCTTGTGTATACACACAACAGAATGGAAAGTAGGGACTGAAACAAATATTTACACACCTATGTGCATAGCAGCATTATTCACAGTAGCCAAAAGCTGTAAGTAACTCAAATGTCCATTAACAGATGAATAGATAAACAAAATATGGTACGTACATGCAATAGAATATTGTTCAGCCTTTCAAAAGGAATTACATGCTAATTACATGCTGACACATGCTATAACATGAATGAACCTTGAAGACATTATGACAAGTAAAAGAAGCTACACACACACACACACAAAGGCAAATACTATATGATTCCACTAATATGATGTACCTAGAGGAGGCAAATTCATAGAGACAGAAAGTCAAAAATGTTGGTTGCCAGTGGCTTGGGAGAGGGGAGAATGGGAAGTTGTTTTTTAAATGGGTATGGAGTTTCTGTTTGAGAAAATAAAAAAGTTCTGGAGATGGATGGTGGTGATGGTTGCATAACGATGTGAATGCACTTAATGTCACTCAACTGTACACCTAGAAATAGAGAAAATGATAAATCTTACGTTATCTGTGTATTACCACGATGCAAAAGCAAAGTCAATGTATAATCTGAATAATAATTCATCTGCCAACTTTACAGATGAAGAAACTGATGTTCAGAGTGGTTAAGTGACTGCTCCCAAGTCAAAAAGCCAGAATCAAAGCTGGGATGCAAGCCAAGGCTTTCTGACAGGTCTCTCTCTGCTTCTGCATGCTGCTTCTTGTCTGAATGCCTTAGTGGCCTCTGCATGGCCTTTGGTGAAAGGATTTTGTTTCTTTTGCAGAAAACAATCATTGAAAGGCATTTAGCCTTGGATCATTAGTTAGGAGCTGCCTCTGGCACAAATTTAGTGCGGCCTCAGCTTAGGCCCTCCCCAGTCTGCACCTCAGCTTCCCCATCGGGCAATGAGGTGGCTGCATTGGTGGTCGGCTTCCAAGGGCACATCCAATCCCCACATTCCATCACTCTTTCATACCACATAGCCTCTCAAACAGAACTGCCTTTAGAAAGAAGCAAAATTCATACGTCAATTATAATTCCCAGTTCTTCTTAGTTTCAATTTCTGCCTGTTGCCTCGTATCATGACAATTTCACCCTCTTGAATTTGCAGAAGTGTGCTCATTTGGTTGATATGCTCACCCTACAAATTCCCCAACCACGTTTTGTTTCGGCAACAGTTGGCTTCAGACCTCATAGTCAGAACTGCCTCTCGTAAATTCTTTATGACTGTTTGGTTTGAAACCTGCAAGGTAAAATCGTCTGAAGGTTATCAAGATTGATACTGCAGGCTTTGTTTTGAAGTCACTCAGTGGGGACAGTTATATGTATCTTATTTTAAAACTTGCAAAGCAAGATCCCTAATGATTTGTTTGTCTCTGCTTCAAAGCTTTACATATTTCTTTTGTCTATTGTCTGATAGGGATTCGTCTGTGATTTAAAACAAACAAACAAACAAACAATTTAGTTGAATTTTTTTTTTAATTCTAAGTGTAGGACCAGCACATGAAAAGTGGCTGACCCAGCAGGATGGGATAAAAGAATAACTCTTACAGAGTGTTTAGGACTTGATCCGTAGAAAGACCACACTTTTATTCAAGTGCAGTGAGTAAAAAAATGGTCCCGTTATATTATCTGGCAATTTATTGTCATTCTGAGAAGGCTATAGGTTTTTTTTATTTGATAAAAAAGTAATACATATTCAGACCTAGAAAATGTGAAAAATGTAGAAAAGTACAAAAAGACAATAATCCCATTACCTGAGATACTTACTATTAAATTTTGATATACACTTCTAGTTATTTTTGCATTCATGTATATATTATTTATCCAAAAATAGGATTATGTGTTACATTCTCTTCTGTAATCTACTTTTTTCATTTATATGTAAAACTTTTTTCTATTTTATTAAATACATTCTATAAAGTCACTCTAATATTAATAGCTACACAGTAGTCTATTGCATGGATGTATCAACATTTACTTAATTCCACCCCTACTATTAGATGTTTCTTTCCAATTTTTTTGCTTAAACAAAAAACAAAAAGGACTGAGATTATCATTACTTTGGCTAAAATTCTATGCACGTCTCAATTATTTTTGGAAAATAAATTTCTACAAATGCATTGCTAGGTTAAAAATACACGGTTCTAAAGCTTTTAATAGATATTGTTATCATAGTTGTGAAAACTCTAAAACTTCCAAAATAAACACAAAGCAAGAGAAATGGAAAGGGTAATCATATATTTCTAGACCTCTTCCACATAATCTTCTTCCTCTGTGTCTCATCGTGATACTTTCCAAACCCAAACTGGCCAGCCTGCTCTAATATCTGCGGTGTCCTCAGATAGTTAAGCTGTAGAGGGGAAGAACTCAGGACTAGGAGATTGGACACTTGGCTTCCAATCCTGAATCAAGCTTCACCAATCTGGCCATAAACAAGATATCTGGCCTTTAAAGTTTCTCCATTTGTGAAACCATGTCACCATGGTTTCATCTGATGTCAGCCAGATAATTACAAAAGGCCCTTCCTGAGCTTATATTGGAAATGAAAGAAAACGGATGAAAATGCAGGTAAAATATTAACATGGTGCTTCTGATTTTCGTTCCCCATGCTTGCTTTTCCAATCATTTCAACCTCCCCATGTGCTTCCCCCAGTGCTTGGCTGCATTTACCTTCTCTTATTTCAGTCTAAAACTCACTCTTGGGCAGGCTTCAGCTGGGTGGCCAACGATTACCAAGCCTTTTTGAGTCATTAGGAATTAGAAGTAATCTTTCCCCAATGTGCTCCTTTGCAGTTTATCCAGAGCCTTTGAAATGCAAATTACTCCAACCTGCAGCTGGGGAAACTGGACTCTTTAGGGCCTCCAACTGATCTCCACAGCCTGTGCCCAGCAAGCCCCAAGCAGGCAGGATCCTGTGGCCTGCTTCCGAAGATCAAAGGGGCATTGTTCATCTAAAGTTCACCACCAGAAAACCTAGATTAGCAAGTAGTTCCACCTCCATCAGTCTTTAATATCAAACGGCTGTTAACACAGGCAGGACACAAGGCCTCTGGCCACAGGCTCTGAGCAACTCAAGAAGAGAAGCTACTAAGATATCTCACAAGAGGAAAAAGTAGCAGGTGAAGTTTCTGTTCTGATCTCTCTTGGTATGGAATACAATCAGTGGTTAAGAATGGCAGCTCCGGAGCTGGGCACGCTGGGCTGTTCTCTGGTCTTGCACAGAGGAGGTACTAATACAAGCATTTGGAATAAACTAAATGAATTTCTATAGCTAAGTCTAGGGGGCATATACTCTTCTTTGTTGGCACATTTGTGGTCTCCTCCTTGCTCTTCTTTGAACTAGTCCTGACTGGGCAATGGAAGTCAGCAAGCTCTGGCCAGCAGGGAGTGGACTCTGGGCTTCTTGACTACCACATGTTTCCACAATGCACAGTTTGATTACCTGGGCCCCTGCCTTGTCTTTCCAATAAATGCCCCATGGACACGCACATTCTCTCTACTCCCTCCTGGAATCCCACCAACGTGATCGTAAAGGAATGCAAGAGGCACAAACTACGAGGGAAGAGAGAATAAGAGAGGAGATGACAGTGGACAAGAGATATCTACAAAATTCTAGAAGCTGCAAAACAGATGAATTAGTAGTAACTGACTTAGTGGAGAGAAGAATAACCTTTCTTCAGTAGGCTAAACAAACTAGGAGACAGCAGCTAGTAAGAGATGCCAAAAAAGTTCTAAAAATGTGAAAACAGAGAGATGAATGGTATCTGACTGAGAAGAGAGAAGAAAAGTGAATCTGACTTCCTTCAGTAGGACCAGCTAGATATAATTTCCTAGAGCTAAAGAATATATGTATAATTTCCCAGAGCTAAAGAATATATATATATATATATATATATATATATATATATATATATATATATATATATTTTAGAGACAGGGTCTTGCTCTGTTGCCCAGGCTGAAGTGCAGTGATGCAATCACAGCTCACTGCACCCTTGACCCTCTCCGCTCAAGCAATTTTCCCACCTCAGCCTCCCAAGTAGCTGGGACTACAGGTGTGGATCGCCATGCCTGGCTAATTTTTGGTACTTTTTTGTAGAGATGGCATTTCACCATGTTGCCCAGAATGGTCTCAAACTCCTGAGCTCAAGCATTCCACCCACCTCGGTCTCCTAAAGACGACATTTTTAAATAGAAAAGGTTCTCCAAATGCCCAACATAATGTTGGACATTTGAAAAAAAAAGTACATTGATATAAAATTTGATAATAGTAAGTATGAAAAAGATATCCTGAAAGGTTTTTTCTGGGGTTTTTTTGTGTTTGTTTGTTTTGTTTTTGTTTTTTTTTTCAGAAGGGGAAGGAATCAATCAGAAAACTAGAAGCTAAAAACACATGGATGTACTTTCTTAAACATTCTGAGGGAAAATAATTTTCAAATGTAGAATATTATACCCAGCCAAATTATCAATCAAATGTAAATTGAGAAAAAAACCTCAGACTTGAAAGATCTCAAAAGCTTATGTCCATAAATTCTTCCTCAGGAAGTTGCTGCAGAAAATACTCCATCAAAATGAGAGTTAAGACAGAAAAAGACATGGGACATGGCAAAGATTTACCCTAGGAACTAGATTTACCCTCCCACCTGAAACAAATATAGAACCAGACCAAATGTAAGAAACAACAGCTCTGAAGACATTAGACATTGGGTAACAAAGACCAGTGAAACAAATAGAGCCTTACAGGCAGGGAGAACACATCCAGACAGAAGCCAAGGGCTTCTTTGAGTTTGAGGAGATGAAGCGGCACATCTGGGGAAATGTCCTGGAAAAACCAAGGGAGCCAACATTCATAGAATTGAATACCCGTGTACAGAGCGCTGCACAGAAAGGGAACTTCAAAGATCTGAAGAGAGTTCCTTTAAGAATTCAATTGAGTACTTACCAGTGCGTACAGGTGAGGAAACTCCCCAAGGTCAGGGAAAGAAAGCACTAGAGGGAACTGTGCTGGGGCCAATGCCTGCTCCATCAGATTGGAACAGCTCAAAATTCATAAAGCATTAGCTAGAGTACCAAGGAGGATCTTGCCCCAGTCAGGGAGAAAAGTTGACCCTAGACTAACCATTGCTTTGTTCCAGCCTAATAAAGATTAAAAGCAAGAACCAAAAGGAGCACATTGTTTCTGTGTAATTTAACCTCATCCCAGAACAAAGTTCAACAATATTTTTAAAGGTCGGGCATGGCGGCTCATGCCTGTAATCCTAGCACTTTGAGAAGCCAAAGCGGATGATCACTTGAGCTCAGGAGTTCGAGACCAGCCTGGGCAACATAGTGAGACTTTGTCTCTAAAAAAAAAAAAAAAAAAAGAAAGACAGAAATATTATTAGGAATGAAAATATATCCAGCACCCAACACTAATAAAATTCATAATATTTGGGATCCAATTTAAAGGAAAATGAAACCCATACTGAAGAGAAAACTCATTTATGGAAACTCACCCAGAAATAGCACAAATGATAGAAATAGTAGACAAAGACATTAAAATCATTATAGGGCCAGGCACGGTGGCTCATGCCTGTAATCCCAGCGCTTTGAGAGGCCTATGCAGGCAGCAGATTGCTTGAGCTCAAGAGTTTGAGACCAACCTGGGAAAATGGCTAAGCCCTGTCTCTATTAAAAATACAACAAAGTTAGCCAGGAGTGGTGGTGTGCACACATATAGTCCCAGCTACTTGGGAGGCTGAGTTGGGGGAATTGCTTGAACCTGGGAGGCAGAGGTTGCAGTGACTCGAGACCATGCCATTGCACTCCAGCCTGGGTGACAGAGCGAGACTCCATCTCAAAAAAAAAAAAAAAAAATTGTTATAACCACATTTTACATCTCTAAGGAGTTAGACAAAAGATTGAACAAGTTTAGTAGAGAGACAAAAGATATAACTAAGATCCAAACAGAATCTCCAAAGAGAAAAACTTTTTATATCTGATACGAAAAGTACATTGGAAGGGAATAATGGCGGATTGTATATTACAGAAAAAAAAGATTAGCAAACTTGAAGATGCATCAATAAAAAGTATTCAAAATGAAACACAGGAAAAAAAAAGACTGAAACACAAATAAACAGAGCATTAGTGAAGTGTAGGACAACTTCAAGCAATCAAACATAAGTGAGGGCTACTGTAAAACATACTTCACCAGCAAATGATCCACAGCTCCTGCTACACATGTCGTCATGTAAACCCCTCATCGAATGTGAGCTGTGCTTAGTGAGTGACTTCCAGAGAACAGGATAAGGGAAATGTGATGGTGAGTGACTTGGACACCAGCGTTCCCAAAGAAAGGGAAAGTGGGGGACAGAAAAATATTTGAAGCCAGGTGAGGTGGCTCACGCCTGTAATCCCAGCACTTTGGGAAGCTGAAGCGTGCAGATCACCTGAGGTCAGGATTCGAGACCAGCTTGGCCAACATGGTGAAACCCTGTCTCTACTAATGACACAAAAATTAGCTGGGCGTGGTGGCCTGTGCCTGTAATCGCAGCTGCTTGGGAGGCTGAGGTATGAGAATTGCTTGAACCCCAGAGGAAGATGTTACAATGAGCTGAGATTGCACCACTGCATTCCAGCCTGGGGGACAGAGTGAAATTGTGTCTCAAAAAGAAAAAGTATATATACATATTTTTTTTTAAAGAAATAACAACAAAAACCTTCCAGATTTGATAAAAATTATAAACCCACAGATTTAAGAAGCTAAAACAAACATGGAAAAAAAAAAAAACCTATACCAAGCCATAGTATCATCAAATTGTTTAAAACTAGTGATGAAAAGAAAAATCCTGAAATTAGCCAGGGATGGGGGAAGGGCACATTGTATACAACAGAAAAAAGACACGTGAATATAGCAAATTCCTCATTAAAAACAATGTAAGCTTAAAGACAGTGAAGCAACATCTTTAAAGCATTGAAAGAAAGGAAAAACTGTCAACACAGAATTCCACATGCAGTGAAATTATCTTTCTAAAAACAAGGATAAAATAAAGACTTTTTCAGACATAAAAAAGCTGAAATAATTCATCACCAGCAGACCTGCACTATAAGAATCGTTAAAGGAAATACTTCAAGCAGAAGGAAAACGATACCAAATGGAAATCTGGATTTACACAAAAAAATGAGAAGCACTAGATATGGTACATACATGGATAAATATAAAGGCTAATATTATTATTTTTGTTATTGACATTTTTAAAAGGTAAAAGTGATTGACGCAAAAATATTAACAATGTATTTTGATGTTTGTTGTTAACATATATACAGGTAAAATATATGAGAATAATATCACAAAGTCCTAGAGGGAAAAAATAGAAGTATATTGTTGTAAGGTTCTGATACATGAAGTAGTATAATATCCCTTGAAGACAGCTGTAGAAGTTAAAGATATATACTATAGACTGTAAAGCAACCTCTAAAATAACATCACAAACAGTTATAGCCACCAGGCTAACAAAGTTGTTACAAAGGAATCATAAACAATATTCAATGAATTAAAAATAATGTGTAAAGAGGGGGAAAATGAAACAAAGAACAGGTGGTAGAAATAAAAAAATAAGATAATAGATTTGAACATAAACATATCAATAATTATATTAAATGTAAATGGTCTAAATATCTTGTGGTTGCCAGCCTCCAAGATGGCCAGCATTGAGGCCCATCTTCTGGTATTTCCACCGCCATATTAGCTTCTTCCATAGAGCATGGACTGAGCTTTGTGACTTACTAAGCAAAGGATAAGGCAGGTGGGATGATGTGTAATTGGTGACTAGGCCATAAAGGGCAGGGCAGCATTGCATTCTCTCTCTCTTTTTCTCTCTTTTTCTCTCTCTCTCGCTCTCTCTCTAAGGGCAGAGCAGCATTGCATTCTCTCTCTCTCTCTCCCTTTTTCGTCTCTTTCTCTCTATCTCTTCCTCTTTCTCCCAGTATCAGTATCAGCTATGGGGAAAGCCATGCTGAGAACAGTCCCATGGAGAGGCCCACATGGTAAGAAACTATAGCTTCCTGCAAACAGCCTCCTGGATGAGCTCAGAAGTGGGTTCTTCAGCCCCAGTCAAATCCTCAGAGTCTGCAGCCCCATCTTGATCGCAACCTTAGGAGAGAGATCTGCCCAGATAAGTTGCTTCAGATTTTGGACCCTCAAAACCTGAAAGATGAAAAAATGTTTGGTTCTTAAGCTATTATGTATTGCGGTAATTTGTTACACAGTAGTAGATAACTAACATACACCTTAATTAAAAAGCAGATATTGTCAGACTAGGTTAAAAAGTAAGACCCACCACTTTATACCCATTAGGATGACTATTATGTTAAAATTAAAAACAAAACAAAATTAAAAGATAGAAAATAACAAGTGTTCACAAGGATGCTGAGAAATTGGAACCCTGGTGCATCAGTGGTGGGAACATAAAATGGCGCAACCACTGTGGAAGTTTCCTCAAAAAGTTAAACATTGTGTGACCACATGATCCAGCAATCTGCTTCCAGGCATATTTCAATTTCCAAAGAATTGAAAGCAGGAACTCAGGTGTTTGTACAGCAGTGTTTATAGCAGCATTGTGCACAGAAAACAAAAAGTGAAAATGGTCTATAATCCCAGGACTTTGGGAGGCTGCGGCGGGCTGATCACTTGAGGTCAGGAGTTTGAGACCAGCCTGGACAACATGGTGAAACCCTATCTCTATAAAAAATACAAAAATCAGCCAGGTTGTGGTGGTGTGTGCCTGTAATCCCAGCTACGTGGGAGGCTGAGGCAGGAGAATCGCTTGAATTCAGGAGGTGGAGGTTGCAGTGAGCCGAGATAGTGCCACTGCACTCCAGCCTGAGTGACAGAGTGAGACTCTGTCTCAAAATAAAAAGGTGAAAATAACCCAAACGTTCATTGATAGAAGAATGGATTAACAAAATGTAGTATATACATGCAACAGAATATTACTCAGCTTTAAAAAAATAAAATTCTGACGTATGCTACAACATAGATAAACCTTGAAGACATTATGTTAAGTGAAAGAAGCCAGGCCAGGCGTGCTGGCTCACGCCTGTAATCCTAGCACTTTGGGAGGCCGAGGCTGGTGGATCACAAGGTCAGGAGTTCAAGACCAGCCTGGCCAAGATGGTGAAACCTCATCTCTACTAAGAATACAAGAAATTAGCAGGGCATGGTGCAGGCGCCTGTAATCCCAGCTACTCAGGAGGCTGAAGCAGAGAATTGCTTGAACCTGAGAGGCAGAGATTGCAGTGAGCCAAGATTATGCCACTATACTCCAGCCTGGGCGACAGAGCAAGACTCTGTCTCAAAAAAAAAGAAAGAAAAAGAAAAAAGAAAGAAATCAAACATAAAAGGACAAATACTCTGATTCCACTTATATGAGGTACCTAGAATAGTCAAATTCATAGAGGCAGAAAGTACACTAGAGGTTACCAGGGGCTGGGAGTGGAAAGGTATTATTTAATAGGTTCAGAGAGTCATTTGGGATGATGAAAAAGTTCTGGAAATGGAGAGCAGTGATAGTTGTACAACATTGTGAATGTACTTACTATCACTGAATTGTACACTTAGAAAGGGTTAAAATGGTAAATTTTATGTTATGTAAATTTTACCATAATAACAAAAGTGAAAAAAAACCAAGACCCAATGACAGACTGCCTATGAGAAACCTATTTTAATATATAGATACAAATAAGATAAAAGCAAAAAAAGGGAAGTACATATGCTATGCTAACTGTAATCAAAAGTAAATGAAATGGTTATATTAATATTAATACAAAACCATGTAGATTTCAGGCAAAGAATATTACTGGGTATACAGCAGGTCAATACACAAGAGGTTACAACATCCTAAATACTTATGTGCCTTAATAACCAAGCTTAAAAATAAATAAAGTGACCGAGCACAGTGGCTCATGCCTGTAATCCCAGCACTTTGGGAGGCCAAGGCTGGCGGATCACTTGAGGCTAGGAGTTCGAGACCAGCCTGGCCAACATAATGAAACCCCGTCTCTATAAAATATACAAAAAAACTAGCCAGGTGTGGTGGCTCACACGTGTAGTCCCAGCTACTCAGGAAGCTGAGGCAGGAGGATTGCTCGAACCTTGGAGGCAGAGGTTGCAGTGAACCGAGATCGTGCCACTGCACTCCAGCCTGGGTGACAGAGTGAGACCCCTGTCTCGAAAAATTTTTGAAATTGAAAAAATAAACGAAGTGACCCTTTTGTAGTTCATAAGCATGATGATTGAGTTTTCAGGTGCATGGGTGAGATGTGCCTCCCTCAAATCTTGTTCAGACATTGGCACATTACCTCTCTGATGGGAAGAGAAATAATTAAATTAAATTAAATAATAAATTAAGCAAAAACTAATAGAATTGCAAGGAGAAATAGCCAAGTCCACAATTATGGTCTGAGAACTTGCTGACCCTCTCTCAATAATTATAAAACAAGAAAACATATAATTAGTGTGAATACAGATGACTTGAAAACACTATCAACCAAACTGACTTAATAGACATTCATAGAACACTCCACCCAGTAACAGCAGAATATACACGCTTTTCAAGTGCACATGAACATTTATCAAGATAGACCATAATCTAGGCCATAAAACAAGTAAGTCTCAGTATACTTTTTTTTTTTTTTTTGTGAGGGAGTCTCGCTCTGTCACCCAGGCTGGGGTGCAGTGGTACCATCTCGGCTCACTGCAACCTCTGCCTCCCAGATTCAAGAGATTTTCCTGCCTTAGGCTCCCAAATAGCTGAGATTATAGGCACCTGCCATCATGCCTGGTTAATTTTTGTATTTTCAGTAGAGACAGGGTTTCACCATTTTGGCCAGGCTGGTCTTGAACTCCTGACCTCAGGTGATTCGCCTGCCTCGGCCTTCCAAAGTGCTGGGATTATAGGAGTGAGCCACCATCCCTGGCCTTCAGTATATTTTTAAAAATTCAAGTCTTTACAAAGTATATTCTCTGACCACAATGAAATTATAAATTAATAGTAAAAAGATAGCTAGAAAATCCAAAGTATTTGGAAACTAAATAACACACCTCTGAATAATCTGTGATTGAAAGAGGAAGTCTCAAAGTAAATTTAAAAATATTTTCCACTAAAAGAAAATGAAAACAAAGCAGTATTTAGAAATTTATAATACTAAATGATTAAATAAAAAAGAAGGTCTCAAATCCAGGACCTCATCTTTCACCCTAAGAAACTAGAAAGACAAGAACAACTGAAGAAAAGAAAGTAGACGAAAGAGAGATCAAAGAAAAAATCAATAAAATACGCCTGTAATCCTAGCACTTTAGGGGGCCGATGTGGGTGGATCACTTGAAGTCAGGAGTTCAAGACCAGCCTGGCCAACATGGTGAAACCCCATCTCTACTAAAAATACAAAAATTAGTCAGAAATTGCTTGATCCCAGAAGATGGAGGTTTCCGTGAGCCGAGATCACCCCACTACACTCCAGCCTGGGCAGCAGAGTGAGACTGTCTCAAAAAAAAAATGTAATAAAATAGAAAATCATATAAATAATAGTGAAAATCAGTGAAACCAAGGGCTGGCTTTTCGAGATCAATAAAATTGATAAACTTCTAGCCAGATGATGAGGAAAAAATAAATATGAAAGTTGATCATAAGAATTGGGTTATTCTTGTCATTCCCAACTAAAACAGAGTCAAGAAGCCACCGGAGGAAAATCACTCAGGGTATAAAACGTTACTCTGAGAATGTAATTCTCGTAAGTATGGCTGCTGAAACTGCCTGTTGTAACCTAAAACCAGTTTTATCTATAGCTTCTGAGATAATTTGCTGCAACTCTAGAACTAATTTTGCCCATCACTGTTGCTCACCTATTTGGGCTTCCCAACTTTACAAACCTTTACTAGTGGCAATGAACTTTCTCAAAGAGCAATATGTGACATTTCTTCTTCTTTTTAATAAAACCTCTAACCTTGCCTTTGCTCTTCAGACATACCAAAGGCCACCTGGTCTGTGTGTATGCCCTAAATTACAATTTTCTCTTCCCAAATAAAACATTAAGTTTAGAGATTCAGCTCTACATCTTTATTTTGATTTCAATATACAAAACACAAATAGTCAATATCAGCAATGAGTGAGGTGACATCACTACAGATCCTCTAGGTATTAAAAGGATAATAAAGAAATATTATGAGCAATTCTATGCCAATAAATTTGAAAAATTAAATGAAATAGATAGATTTCTAGGAAGACAAACTACCAAAGCTTACTCAAGAAAAAATGGATAACATAATGACATTATGCCTTTTAAATAAATTGAGTTTGTTGTTAAAAACTTTCCCACAAAGAAAATTCCAGGCCCAGATGGTTTCACTGGTGAGTTCCAGCAAACTTTTAAGGAAACATATGAACAAAATCTTCCAGAAAACTGAGTCAGAAAAAATAATTACTAACAGATTCTATGAGACCAGCATTCAATAATATCAAAACCAGATAAAGGCATTACCAGAAAATTTGATGAATTTCCTTCATGAACATATGCAACAATTGTTAACAAAATTTTAGCAAATTGAATCGAACAATGTATAAAAAGGATAATACATCAACAGCCAACGCAGTTTATTCCAGAAATACAAGTTTGTTCTCATATTTGAAAATTAAGTAATGTAATCCACCACGTCAACAGACTAAACTCCAAACCAAAATGAAGCAAGAAAGCGTATGATTATCTCTAGTAGATGGGAGGAAAAGCATTTGACAAAGCCCGACCCCTATTTCTGACAAAAATTCTCAGCAAACCAGGAACATTGGTAAACTTCCTCAATCAGATAAAGGGTATCTACAAAAACTCTACAACTAACATCATGGAAAGACTGAATGCTTCCTTCTTACGATCAGATTTAAGGCAATGATGACCCCTCTCACCATTTCTATGTAACATTTGTACTGAATGTTGAAGCCATTGCATAAAGCCAAGAAGTATTAAAAGGTATCTAGATTGGAAAGGAAGAAATAAAACTGTGTTTATTTACAGAAGATGTGATCATCTACATAGAAAATTCTTCTGAATCCACATAAAAGCTACTAGAACTACCATATAGAGGGTAAAATTACACCACTGTATAACTCAGACATTCCACTCCTGGACATTTACTCAAAAGAAATAAAGACATATGTTAATAAAGTGAGTTTAGCAGAGTTGCAGGACACAAGACTAAATATATAAAAATCAGTGGTATTTCTAGATTCTCACAATAAAGAGTCAGAAATTGAAGTAAAATTAATACCATTTACAATAATAGCACCAAAAATATTAAGTACTAAAGGATAAATCTGACAGGAGATGTGTAAGACCTATATACTGGGAACTACAAAATGTTGCTGAAAGAAATTAAAGAAGACTTAAATACATGGAGAGAAATATATATTCATGGATTGAATGACCCAATATCCTTAAGAGGTCAGTTCTCACTAAATTGTTCCAAACTCAACACACTTTCAATAAAATTCTAGCAAGCTTCTTTGGTAGAAATTTAACATATTGGCCAGGCATGGTGGCTCACTCCTGTAATCCCAGCACTTTGGAAGTTCGAGGCGGTGGATCACTTGAGGCCAGGAGTTTTAGACCAGCCTGGCCAACATGGTGAAACCCCGTTTCTACTAAACACACAAAAATTAGCCAGGCATGGTGGCGCATGCCTACAATCCCAGTTACTCAGGTGGCTGAGGCAGGAGAATCGCTTGAAGCTGGGAGGCAGAGGTTGCAGTGAGCTGAGATTGTACCACTACACTCCAGCCTGGGCGACAGAGTGAGACTCTCTCAAACAAAGAAGAAAAGATAAACAAACAAAAAAAGAAAATTGACATGTTAATTCTAAAATTAATATGAAAATTTAAAAATTTAAAATACCAAAGTAATTTTGAAAAATAACAAAGCTGGAAACTGGTCTTGCCTGACTTTGAGACTTGTAAAGCTATAAAAATTAAGACAGTGTGATAATAATCTCAAACTATACAAATAGTTAAATATGACAGAACAGGTAGACCCACATATATATAGATAGCTGATTTTCAAGAGACATGCAAAGTTAATTCATGGGCAAAAAGATAGTCTTTTCAATAAATGGTGTTAAAATAATGGTTATTCATATGCAAAAAAAATGAACATTGATCCATACATCACACCATACACAAAATTTAACTCAAAATGTATTGGAGACTTAAATGTAAAACCTAGAACTACAAAAAACTTAGAAGAAAAAAATAGAAAAAGATCTTTGTGGTCTTGAGTTAAGCAACAATCTCTTAGATACAATACCAAAAACACAATACATGAGGGGAAAAAAAACAAAAACAGATAAATGGACTTCTTCAATATTAAGAACCTCTTCTCTTCAAGCCAGGTGTAATGGTTCATGCCTGTAATCCCAGAGTTTGGGGAGGCTGAGATGATCGTTCAAGGCCAGGAGTTCCAGACCAGCTTCAGTAATACAGTGAGATTAAAAAAAATTTTTTTAATTAGCCAGGTATGGTGGTATGTGCCTGCATTCCCAGCTACTCAGGAGGCTGAGGTGGGAGGATCACTTGAGCCCAGAAGTTTGAGGCTGCAGTGAGCTATGATTGCACCACAGTATTCCAGCCTGGGTGACAGGACAAGATCTTGTCTCAAAAAAAAAAAAAAAAAAAAAAATTTCTGTTCTGCTCTTCAAAATCACTGTTACAAAATACAAGCCACAGGCTAGGGGAGAATATTTGCAAAGCACATATGTGATAAAGCACTTGTATTCGCAATATACACAGAATTCTCAAAACTGGATAATAAGAAAACCAACAACTTCACAATAAAATGAGCAAAAGATATGAACAATAAAGAAGATATATGGATGGCAAATATGCACATGAAAATAAGCTCAGCATTGTTTGTCATTACAAAATGGAAACTGAAACCTCAATAGACACCACTGAATAGAATGCGTGAAATTTAAAAGACTGATCATACCAAATATTAGTAAGCATGTGGAACAACTGGAACTCTCACTCACTGCTGGTGAAAAGCTAATATGGTACAAATATTTTGGAAGATGAAATGGCTGGGCTGTGTCCCCACCCAAATCTTATCTTGTAGTTCCCATAATTCCCACATGTTGTGGGAAGGACCTGGTGAGAGATGACTGAATCATGGGGGCAGGACTTTCCCATGCTGTTCTCGTGATAGTGAACGGGTCTCACAAGATCTGATGATTTTTAAAAACAGGAGTTTCTGCACAAGCTCTCTCTCTGCCTGCTGCCATCCACCTAAGATGTGACTTGCTCCTCCTCGCCTTCCACCATGATTGTGAGGCCTCCCCAGCCATGTGGAACTGTAAGTCCAATAAACCTCTTTCTTTTGTAAATTTCCCAGTCTTGGGTATGTCTTTATCAGCAGTGTGAAAACAGACTAATATAGAAGATAATTTGGTAGTTTCTTAAAAAACAACAATATAGCCAGGAGTGGTGGCTCATGCCTGTAATCCCAGCACTTTGGGAGGCCAAGGCAGGCGAATCACCTGAAGTCAGGGGTTCGAGACCAGCTTGGCCAGCATGGTGAAACCCTGTCTCTACTAAAAATACAAAAATTAGCTGGGCGTAATGGCGCACGCCTGTAATCCTAGCTACTCGGGGAGCTGAGGCAGAAGAATTGCTTGAACCCAGGAGGCGGAGGGTGCAGTGAGCCAAGATTGTGCCACTGCACTCCAGCCTGGGCGACAGAGTGAGATTCTGTCTCAAAAAATAATAAGAAGAAAATAAAATAAGAAAATACACCTCTATATGACCTAGCTCCTAGATATTTATCCAAGAGAAATGAAGGCATATAGCCATACAATGAATTTTACATGGCTGTTCATAGCAGCTTTATTTGTAATAACCAAACAATAGAAGCAACCCAAATGTCCTCAATAGGAATGAATAAGCAAAGTATAAGACATCTAAACAAGAGACTACTACTCCACAATAAAACGCCATGAACTGTTGATAGAAATGGCAATGCAGGTGGGGTGCAGTGGCTCATGCCTGTAATCCCAGCACTCTGGGGGGCCGAGGCAGGTGGATCACCTGAGGTCGGGAGTTTGAGACCAGCTTGATCAACATGGAGAAACCCCGTCTCTACTAAAAATACAAAATTAGCCAGGCGTGGTGGCACATGACTGTAATCCCAGCTACTCGGGAGGCTGAGGCAGGAGAATCGCTTGAACCTGGGAGGCGGAGATTGTGGTGAGCTGAGACCACGCCATTGCACTCCAGCCTGGGCAACAAGAGTGAAACTCTGTCTCAAAAAAAAAAAAAAAAAAAAAGAAAAGAAAAGAAAAGAGAAGAAAAAAAAGAAATGGCAATTCAGATAAATCCCAATATAATTATGCTGAGAGCTGGACATGGTGGCACAGGCCTCTGTTCTCAGCTACGCAGGAGACTGAGGTGGGAGGATCCCTTGAGCCCAGAGCTCGAGGCCAGCCTAGGAAATATAGCAAGGCCTCATCTCTCTCTCTCTCTATATATATATATACTCTCTATATATGTATATATATATATATACATACTGAGTAAATGAAGCCAGATCAAAACAAGTACATACTGTATGAATCCATTATATAAAACTCTAGGCCGGGCACTGTGACTCACGACTGTAATCCCAGCATTTTGAGAGGCTTAGGTGGATGGATCAACCTAGGTCAGGAGTTCGAGACCAGCCTGGCCAACATGGTGAAACCCCTAAAAATACAAAAATTAGCTGGGTGTGGTGGCGGGTGCCTGTAATCCCAGCTACTCGGGAGGCTGAGGCAGGAGAATCGCTTGAACCCTGGAGGTGGAGGCTGCAGTGAGCTGAGATTGTGCCATTGCACTTCAGTGTGGGCAACAAGAGTGAAACTCTGTCTCAAAAGAAAAGAAATAAATAAAAAGTAAAAATAAAATTATAGAAAATGCCAACTACTTTATATTGACAGAAAGCCTGGGAATGGGGAGAGAAGCAGAAGAGAGGGATGACAAAGAGACACAAGGGGCCAGGCACAGTGGCTCACCTGTGTAATCCCAGAACTTTGGGAGGCCGAGGCGGGCAGATTCCTTGAAGTCAGGAGTTCAAGACCAGCCTGGCCAACATGGTGAAACCTCGTCTCTACTAACAATACAAAAATTAGCCTGGTGTGGTGGTGGGTGCCTGTAATCCCAGCTACTGGGAAGGCTGAGGCAGGAGAATTGCTTGAACCCAGGAGGCGGAGGTTGCAGTGAGCTGAGGTGGCACCACCGCACTACAGCCTGGGCAACAGAGAGAGACTCGTTCTCAAAAAAAAAAAAAAAGAGAGAGACACAGGAAGCTTTGGGGGTGATGGACATGCTCATTATCCTGATGATGGTGATGGTTACTCAAATGTATGCATGTGTCAAAATTCATCAGATTGTACATTTTAACATGTGAGGTTTGCTGTCTGTTAATTATACCTCAATAAGCTGTTAAAGATAAAAAGAGTAAAAAAAAGAGTAAAAAAATCCCTTACATGAGAATGCTTCTGGAGTTGTTGGAGAGGAGGCCTAGAGCCCAGCTGGGCATGAGAGAGCAGTCGCTCCAGTTTGGAGAAGGAGGATGGGGTGCTCCAGGGAGGACATTTCCAAGGAACAAATGGAAGACATAGCTGGCTTTTGTGTTTGAAGGCACACTCATTACAATACTGAGGAGGCTGGGTGGGGTGGCTCACCTGTAATCCCAGTACTTTGGGAGGCTGAGGCAGGCGGATCACTTGAGGTCAGGAATTCGAGACCAGCCTGGCCAACATGGTGAAACCCCATCTCTATTAAAAATGCAAAAATTAGCCGGGTGTGGTGCCACATGCCTGTAATCCCAGCTACTCAGGAGGCTGAGACAGGAGAATCGCTCAAACCTGGGAGGCAGAGGTTGCAGTGAGCCAAGATTGTGCCACTGTACTCCAGCCTGAATGAGTGAGACTCTGTCGCAAAATAAATAAATAAATAAATAAATAAATAAATAAATAAATAAAAATACTGAGGAAATACAGTTCTACTGAAGAGGTGGGGGGTGAATTAGAGATAGATACACAGAAAGCTTAGTAAACAACATGAGGCAATTATTAATTGCAAAGAAAGCAAAAAAAGTTCTATAAGACAAGAAATGTAATGGACAAAAAAATGGCTCTATTCCAAATATATTAATATAGTCATGAAAATGTGAGTAATGATGGTTTAGCCAAATTGATAGAATATATCTGGGAAGATGGAGTGGGAATTGGTGTAAGGCTGAGCTGTTAGGGCAAGAGGAAGACGTGTAAAATCTCACCCACCACACCTAGAAGTCAAAACGCAAAAACCTAAAAGTAGTAGATGAGGAAATGGTAATGTAAGCATAGTATTTAGACTGAGGGAGGTAAGTAGCAGAGACAGCTGAAGGGAATAATCACCATTGCCTCTAGGGAGTGGGAATCCGGAGGGAAGTCTGGGGCCTTAGATTGCTGGTTGTTGTCAAAAGCCAACACTCTCTGGTTTTTCAACTATTTGTAAATATCCCTTAGACATGATAAAACTAAATTTAAGAAACTGTATGGGAAAAGTCCTGGGAGAGCATGACTACAAATTAAAACAGTGATTTCAACTCTTTATTTTCCCCCGGTTTAATTTGTACTGGTCCTGGGTCTTTCCAAGACCATTTATTACTTTCATAAAGAATAAAATAAATGAGTGAATAAATGCAGGTGAACAAAACCCATCCCATTGCTAATTCTCAAGAAAGTGGAGGACAAGACTGAAAAGAAGATAGGAACCAAGATGGAAAATCCCAGAGACGGGAGCCGCTGGCCAGGTTCCTGGCACACAGCGTTGGAAGAAGCAGCCTTCCCCTGGGAAACCGCCAAGGAGTCATTCCAGGACAGCAGCTGGGCTTCCGGAGAACCGGTGCCCGCTGACTACTGTAAGGTTAGGCCCCTGCGGCCCCTCCTACACACACAATAACAATAATAAGTATAAACACACAAAACAGCGAAGCCTGGGGTAAGATTCCTGCTCTGACTCACAGGCTGCCTTTCATGCTTACGACATAATCTCTCAAAAACATCTCCTGTTTGGTAACTTCAGTTTTCTGAACATCTCCCCTTTAGATGAGAAGCAAGAGGTGAAAGAAGGGCAAAGTGAGTAAGAAGAAAGAAAGACTTGAGTGCTATTCTAAAGAGAACATTCTAGATGTGTCCAGGGGAAGAAGCAAAATATGGGCTCTCTGCCCAAATTCTCTCACTGAATTTCAAAAAGAATTTGTATCCCCTTTTGATCCCCATAGAAGGCATCAAAAGGTGAGAGAAGTCAAAGAATCTTTCCAGGTTCACCAAAGTCAGAATTATTATTATTATTATTTTGAGATGGAGCCTGGTCTGTCACCCAAGCTGGTGTACAGTGGCACAATCTCGGCTCACTGCAACCTCCACCTCCGGGGTTCAAACAATACTCCTGTTTCAGCCTCCTGAGTAGCTGGGATTACAGGTGTGTGCCACCATGACCCACCCAAAGTCAGAATTTGAACCCAGTACTCTCCCCTTTTTCCTTTCTTCTCTCCATCCTTCCTTTTCCTTCTTTAATTTTTATTTTTTTATTTATTTTGCCTTCAAAAATATTTATATAGCTCCCAAGCACAACACTAAACACTGGCCTGGGACTTCATGAAACTTACCTCCAGGGGGAGGGATGGAAAGTAAAATAAACAAATAAATGAGCAAATAGTTGCAAATGCTTGTCAGGGCTGTGAAGCAAATAAAACAGGGTCATGTGAAATACCGAAACTGAGCAGGCATGACATGGAATACTTCAGGATAAGTGGTCAAGGAATGTTCTCGAGGAAGCAGTATTTGAGCTGAACCCTGAGTGAAGAGCTGTGGAAAGACCAGAAACAGTGTTTCAGGTGCAGAGAATAGTAACTGCAAAGACTGAGGCGAAACTAAAAAAGTCATCGAAACCCACACTGAGCCCTGCTGGCGGGGAACTGATGACTCCTCGTTGGTACGGTCGTCTGCCCTGTCCAACGTGGGGTTCTTGAGAAGCTGATTCTGAAATTGAGATTAGGGTACAGGAAGATTCTTGTGGGGGTGCTCTTGTGAGGAGTGAAGGCAGCGAGGCTAGGCAGAGGGAGGGAGGCACTGAACTGTGCTGCAGTCTCACAGCACTGGCACAAGGACCCTGACCTTGGCATCACCGACTGCATAGGGTTGAGAATTTGACCATCTCTGGGGTGCCACAACTCTTATAAATTCAATCTCGGGTCTGATACTCAGCCTTTTCCGCCCTCCAGTTGTGAGAGATGATGGCCTCTTTATATGCTACCAACGAGGTCCTATGGCTGTCACACTTTACCTTCGTGATTAATCACTCTCAGCCTTCCACTGCCTTTCTCAAATGCATTGATGGTTCTCAGCAACAGCCATCTCACTCCATTGTTCGCCCCTCCTCACCAGCCTTTCAAACTCCTGAAGTCTTGCACCTCCTGTCCATTCCTTTCCATAGCTGTTCCACCCAAGTGTATCATGGAAGTTTTACCAATTGCAAAGCATGCCTGGGGGAATCAGTGCTCCACTGCCACAAGGGATGGGGTCCTCGTGGTCAACTGGCTGATGAGTGATCAAACTTCAAAATCCCATACACAGTCTGCTTCCTCAAACCCTTCCTGGCACCAACATCTCTGAGCCGGAGATGCACGTGCGGTAAGTTTATAGGGAACATCCTCTGAATTATTCCCTGCAGAGGAGTGAAGAAAGTAAACATATGCCAGGTGTGGTGGCTCATGCCTGTAATCCCACCACTTTGGGAGGCTGAGGCGAGTGGATCACTTAAGGTCAGGAGTTCGAGACCAGCCTGGCCAACATGGAGAAGCTCCATGTCTACTAAAAGTACAAAAACTAGCCAGGCATGGTGGCATGCACCTGTAATCCCAGCTACCTGGGAGGCTGAGGCAGGAGAATCGCTTGAACCCGGGAGGCGGAGTTCACAGTGAGCCGAGATGGCGCCACTGCACTCCAGCCTGGGCGACAGAGCGAGGCTCTGTCTCGAAAAAAAAAGAAAGAAAAAAGACAGAAAGTAAGTGTGGCCAGAAGTTCAATTCTGAAGCCCTCACAGCAACAGCCTCCGCCAGTCTCATAGGGCTGAGAGCTCTGGAGCTGGGGTGGCACTTTGTCCCAAACTGAAGCACTGAAGGGCTAGGCTTTTGTTCCCCCACATCAGTCAACTGTGAGACTGGGATACCTCACTGGAGGGGCCGCATGGCAGCTGCTTTCAGCTAAACATAGTGTGAAGGGAGGGAGCCAGCTGAACCTCCGCCAACCTTCTGCACTTCAGCAGGCAAAGCTGCAGTGGCTGGGGGAGTCCTGCCTTGGCTCTGCAGTGGGGCGTAAGGAGTGCACCGGGACAGCCACCACAGCCCCACTTCCATGCTTCTACCGCAAAGAGCAATTAGCTTCTTTTCTTGGGACACATATAGAATCAACATCTGGAGACCACGAGCCTGAGACCCATTTCAAGTAGCAAAAGAATTTGGACAGGATGCATTTAATCTTGAGTTAATGGTACAAAGCTCAGCCAAGATAAAATTCTCAGCCTCAACATATTTTATTTTGAAAAAATGTTATTGTCAGGTACAAGGGAAATTCCTCCTAACTTAGGGGGCTCTGCCAGATGACATAAGCACTGGAGGGACCATTCGTCTGGTGTGTTATCTTTTTCATCTAAGTAGGTCTTTCCTCCACCAACTCATCTCTCAAAAAGCTGGCCACAGTTCCTAAGTAATTCTATCCCCTGACAGCTGCAGGAAAGAAAATAGTTGTGACTTGAAAACACACATTTTTAGGCTGGGTGCAGTGGCTCACACCTATGATCCCGGTACTTTGGGAAGCTGAGGCAGACGGATCACCTGAGGTCAGGAGTTCGAGACCAGCCTGACCAACATGGAGAAACCACGTCTCTACTAAAAATACAAAATTAGCCAGGCGTGGTGGTGCATGCCTATAATCCCAGCTACTCGGGGAGCTGAGGTAGGAGAATCACTTGAACCCAGGAGGCAGAGGTTGCAGTAAGCCAAGATCGCGCCACTGCATTCCAGCGTGGGTGACAGAGTGAGACTCAGTCTCAAAAAAAAAAAAAAAAAGAAAAGAAAAGAAAAAAAGAAAGAAAACAGACATTTTTGGGGCCAGGCACAATGGCTTACGTCTGTAATCCCAACACTTTGGGAGGCTGAGGAAGGATCACTTGAGGTCAGGAGTTCAACACTAGCCTGGCCAACATCCCAAAACCGCAACTCTACTAAAAATACAAAAATTAGCCAGGCATGGTAACATGTGCCTGTAGGGCGGCAGAGGTTGCAGCAAGCTGAGATTGTGCCATGCACTCCAGCCTGGGCCACAGAGCAAGACCCTATCTCAAAAAAAAAAAAAAAAAGAAAAAGAAAAAGAAAGAAAAGAAAACAGACATTTTTGGATGTCATGTTTCCAAACACCAAATATGTTGGGTTTCCCCTTTCTTCTCCCATATCTTCCCTGCTCTGGGTGGAATTCAAATGGGGAATTAAAGCGAACACTTTGAGCCTAATTTCCAATCCTTACATTTTTATTGAGCACCTACTATGTGGCCAATGTGTTGGTAGTTATTAATAATAATAACAACCACCATTCACTGCCTGTTATGGGCCAAGTACTGTGCAGATATTACTTTGCATGCTTATAAGGATGATAAAGATTAGATGCATGTTAAAATTATTCCATTTGTCTCAGAGGGAAAATGGGGCTCTACTAGATTAACCAATCTGATCAAGTCAGTGAGGAACCCAACCCATGATAAAGGAGTTCAGTTTTAAAAAACTCAAGGGCTTCCCATCTATCATAGAGTCTAGTGAATAGAAAGAACTCAATAAATGCATTTGAAGCATTTTTAAGTATGATTGACCCATTTAGGCTGCAGGGTGGGCATGGAGGCAGTGGTGCTGCCTGCAGCCACAGGGTATGCCGTCTAAGTATGACACCGGACCTGCTTCTCAGAAAGGTCCAGCACTCTCAGTGAACTTGAGAGAGCCACTGTCAGTCCCAAGTTTGGAATTTCTACTAGCAGGACAGGCAGTTCATGCCCAGAAAAGGGGCTGCCTCTTAGTCTGGAGCTCTCAGTTCTCTGCCCCAAGGAAGCCATGGGTGGCCGGTGTGCTTCCCATTCGCACAGAAACAGGAGGACTTGGCAGTGCCTTCTATGGGAGCTTTCCTTCAGGGCTAGGATAGGCCAAGGAAAGGATGGGATTGGACAGAGAGAGCATTCTAGAGCTCACCTTTATCACAGAACCTCAAAGAACACAAAGTGCTGGAAATAAATACCAGGGCAGAGACTTCCAGGGTAAGGCCTTCTCTAAATCCACTGTTCTTCTTGTCCCCTACGTCCCACGGTGTCTACTTCAGAAATCTGGGAGGAGCATTGTACTCTAGTGGAGGGAAACCAGGCTTTGGAGTTAGAAGGGCTGGGTGTGAATCCTGGGTCTCTAGCTGGATGACCTTGGGTAAGTTACTTAGCTTGTCATAGCCTCAGCTTTCTCTTTTGTAAAATGGAGCTAGTAATCCGAACACCAGAGAGATTGTTCTGAGGAATAAAGGATATTGCAGCTGTAAAATGCTGGCCCTTACTATTTGAAAATAAATCTTACATCTGCTTTCCCCTTCTCAAAGATGTGTGATTATTCCTGCATAGACATGTGACTAGTCCTATACGTTTATTTTTACCTGTCCTTTTTCTAAAAATAATTTGAGGCAGCTGGTTTAATGACAAGACCAAAATAGAAGGCTCTCTCTCCCCTTTAATCCCTGCTCTCAAACACTTAGTGCAGGTGGCTATGTCACATCGAAGGAGTGGGAAGTAACAGAAGTGCGAGACATGCATTCAGCAGGTAGTATACCAGCCATGGGAGACTCAGAACGGACAAATGCCCGCCTTCACGGAACTCACTATCAAAGGTGGCATGCAGCCTGTGAGCCATTCCACACGGGCTTTCAATCCTTTGAGTTCTGATAATTCTACCTACTTCATATTTATTTTTCTTTTTTATTTTATTTTATTATTATTTTTTTGAGACGGAGTCTCACTCTGTTGCCCAGGCTATAGTGCAGTAGCATGATCTCAGCTCACTGCAACCTCCACCTCCCAGGTTCAAGTGAATCTCCTGCCTCAGCCTCCCGAGTAGCTGGGATTACATGTGCTCACCACCACGCCCAGCTAAATTTTTGTATTTTTAGTACAGATGGGTTTTCACCATGTTGTCCAGGCTGGTCTTGAACTCCTGAGCTCAGGCAATCTGCCTGCCTCAGCCTTTCAAAGTGTTAGGATTATAGGTGTGAGCCACCATGCTAGGCCCCTACTGAGTATTTCTAGGACCCATCTACTTCTCCTTAGACCCTCGGCCATGACTGTAGCTTGGGCCCTCTTTTTCTCTCATCCGGATGTCTGTGTCTTAATTGGTTGTCTGCACTCTTGTTGTCTTCCAACCTTTTCTCTATGCTGTAGGCAGTGTACATGGCTCAGTTTCTCTGCCTAAACATTCAGCGGCTTCCCAGGGACCTGGGAAAAAGCTTAGCATGGCTCAGAAGACCCTTGCTTCTCTCTCTTGGGTCCATTCACACTTTCCAGCTCCTCTTTCCTCCATATTGAACTTCTCTCCTGAGTGTGCCACTCTTTCCATTTTCAATGTGCTTCCCTTAGCCAGGAACCTTGTTCATCCAACTCAGCTTGGCGGTCACTTCATTCATTTCATTCACTCATTCATTCGCTCAGGATTGACTGAGTGCCCACTATATTCTGAAAGATGTGCTATATTCTAGTAGGGAGACAGCCAAGAAACAGTGCACATGTCAACAAATGACATATCTAATTTATGTTAATGGCAAGTGTTCTGAAGCACAGTGGGGCAGGGAAGGAACTAGAGAGCGGCAGGGTGCTGTTTTGGGTATGGTACGCAGGGAGCACGGAAGTAAGGGAGCTGGTCATACAAAGAAGAATGGGAGGGACACAGATGTTCAAGGTTGGGGGAAATACGTGCGAAACCTCTGTGGGAATAAAGCTGGAGTGCAGAGAAAAAAGCAAGACATTCAGAGTGGCTGGGGCAGAGAGAAAGGGGCCAGTGGTGAGAAGTGAGGTCTGGGAGGAGGCTTGTGGACTTTGCCTGACAGCTCCCCACCACTCTCTCCAGCTCTGACCTCAAGGGCAGCCTGTATTTTTCCAATTTTTCTGCTTGGGACTCTGTATTGTAAGTGAATGCTGAAGTATCCATGTTCCCAACAACACTATAGTCTTTTTATTCTTATTGACAATTTAACTTCTGCAATAAGGTAGGTTCTCAATATATATCTGTGGGTGATTGAATGACTACCAGGAACAAGAATAGAGGTGAAAGAAGATGTCATTCGCCCCCTGCAAAGTAGCCCATGACAAGTGGTAGGTAAGGGTGGACTGCCTGGGAGTGAGGCCAGAGGATTCTGCGTGGCGGGCAGGGTTGGGGATGGAGGGAAGCAGAGATCCCCTGGACAGGAGATCAGCTGAAGGAAGTGGTCTCCTATCTTAGTGCGTCTTGGCAGGCTGAGAGGAGGAGGCTGGGGTGAGGAATTTCTGGCAAAGGGGATTCCTACAGGTGGGAAGGTTGGGGCTTATCTGGAAAACAATGAGTAGACCACAGAGTTATTTCTTGTGACAACACGGAAAGAGCACAGAGCAGGGAAAGAGTCCAGGTATCCCCCACGCCTCTAAGCCTGGAATCTGGCGGTGTGAGGGAGGGGTGGACTTGGGTGTCTTTGTGAGTTTCCATCACTCTGAAGTTCCAGGAGCCAAAGAGCCCTGAGCCCATGACCGGCTGGACGGTGAAGGGAGGTTTCAGGATGCTGGTGCTGCAGTTAGCTCAGATGAGCTTGTGCTTGGCTCCCTGGGTGCAGACCACCAGTGCAGAGTTCGATGGACACACAGTGGGTCTGCAAGGCTGCCTGAGGCAAATCCATCACTGCTGCCTGGCTCCGAGATGGAAGCCTAGTGAGTCCAGAGATCATCCATCTCATGCATCTTCCCACCCAAGGCAGAATTCCTTCCGTGTTAGTTTCCTAGGGCTGGCATAAACAACCCCCACAAACCGGATGGCTTAAACAACAGAAATGTATTCTCACAGTTCTGCAGGCTAGAAGTCTGAAATCAAGGTGTTGGCAGACTCCCTCTGAAACCTCTGGGACAATCCTTCCTTGTCTCTTCCTAGACTCTGGTGGTATTCTGGCAATCTTGGAAGTCCCTGGCTTGTAGATGCATCATGCCAGCCTCTGCCTGTCTAGACGTGGACTTCTCCCTGTAGGCCTCTGTCTGCACATGACAGTCTTTTTGTAAGGACACCTGTCATATTGGATTAGGAGCCTATCCTACTCCAGTATGACCTCATCTCAACTAACACCTGCAACAGCCAGATTTCCAGTACAGTCACATTCTGAAGCACTGGGAGTCAGGACTTGGACATATCCTTTTCGGGGGAGGGGGGTGCAATTCAGCCCATACACCATCTGTGCCATCCCCAGCAAGGGGTCCTTCAGCCTCTGGCAGGTGCCCCCACTGAGGGGACAAGGCCTGCAATGCAACCAGCTCTTTGCCAGATTGTACCCTCTTCCCCCCTCCTCCCTCTCTTCCTTCCTCTCTCCCACAAATATTTATCAAGAGATTAATATATTCCAGGAATGGTGCCAAGTCCTGGGTGCCCAACAGTAAACAAAACAGAGACTAGGGGAAAGGCTTTCGTTACATCATCCTCTCCCACAGGTCCCCTGAGGCCACGCAGCGCATGCGGCTGCACCCTGAATGACTAAAGACAGTGATGGACTCCCCAAGGCTCCCGTGGGTCAAATCCCTGTGGCTTCTTTACATATTTCTCAAATGGAGGGTGATTATATATGTGATGGACTAAACCAGGACACTTTTGAGAATGAACTTGGGTGCTATTGGTAATCACACCGAGACACAGCAACGTCCGGGACCAACTCAACCCTCAGTCCGCTCATGGGGCACAGGTTTCCTGGTCCTTCCCTACCCTGACTTCTCTTCTTCTGATGTTTGGTGGTCTGCATCCTTTTAAACCACTGTGCTCCCAGAACTGATTCCCATATGTGTCTGCCATACTGGAAAATACCAAATAGGCAAGGAGATCGTTTCAATACTGTCTGCTGAACACCTTAATAGAGGCAAGAGAGAACGCAGAGGAAGAAACAATGGACTCTTTCTGAGAGAGTGGAAGATGGCTTCGCAGAGGAGCTGCTGTCTGAGACGGATAGCATGAGTAGGAGTTTCCCCAGGCAGGGAAGGTGTTGTTGTTTCTCCTCAGGGTAGAGGGGAGAGCAGGGTTCCCCGTGTGTCTGTTGCTGAATGTGACTCATGCTGTTTTCCTGCTTTGAGCCTGCTCTAGGGTGTTATGGGCAGGATGGACTTGTCCTGCGTGCTTGTTGTTCCGCCGTGTTTCTGATCTTCAGATTTATCGTAAGGAAGAACAGCCGATGTACAGGCAGAACTTGACAAATGAGGCAACAAGCAACTTGATCTGGGATCCATCGTCCTCTAGACCCCAGTAGGAGTGAGTCATTTACAAGCGTTTGTTGAGAACAGGCTTCACTGATGGGTCTGTGCTGGTCTCTGGGAAGGCAAAGGTCACATGTAGTCACTGATCTCAAAGAAATTGACCCAGGCAGCAAGACACATGCATGCAATTAAATTATACCAAAATATCTAAGGGCCACCACACACCTTTATAAGTTTTGTGCACATTTTGGGACTACAGAGAAAGTCACAGGTAATTCCAGCTGGAGGAATACACTTGGCTTTCACTGAAGAACTTTGAGGGCTTCAAGGGCCAAGTCACACATCACGGCTGGAGAAGGAGAGGCTCAGAGGTGTGAACACATAGGAAATGCTTGGGGCAGGACCAGCCTTTGGGGCCAATGGTGTGGGTGGGGTGGAGGGGAGAAGAGGAGACAGATAAAGGAGGCTGCCTTGGGATGCAGAACAGGGAGCTGCTGGGGTAGCAAGCCAGCATCGTATCTGGTCAAGTGTCCTCACCCCTGCCTTCCCTCCTGCTAAGGTCTAAGCACCAGCGTGGTGGCCACCCCAGCAGCCTTGGACCCCTGAAGGCTTGAGCACCAAAGCACACACAGCTGCCTCTGGCTGAGTTCTGTGGTCGCCTGCACCCCCTCCACCTGCTTCCCCCGGAGGTAGGTCCTTCCACTGCCAGGGGCCGCCTCCTCTGAGGTGAGTAGTGCTGGTCCTCTCGAGGGACCCAGACACTCTCACAGCCCGGGTTGATACCATGAAGAGTGAATCCTCACTAGCCCTCTAAAATCGGAAAAGGGGACCCATCTCAGACAGTGCTGGGTTCAGCTGTGTGGACATCGACAGGGCTGAGAAGAGAATGTCAAACCCCAAAGCATCCCCAGGGCTGTGCCTTCCCATCCTGGGTGAGGGGAGTTCTGCAGGGGCACTGGGGTGCTTGTCTCCTGGGGTTCATAAATCATGTCTTTGGGGAGGCCTCTCTCACCCTGCATGGCTGGAGCAGGCCTCTCTCTCTCTCTCTCTGGCACTCCTGGGCTCCTATGTAGCATTGACCACAGGGTACTGCAGTTGGGCATGTCTTCATCTTCGTGCCTTCTGGGCTGGAAGCATCCAGGGGGCAGCGAGTGGGGCCTCCTTGTTTCTGAATCCTCAGAACTGGCACACACAGTAGGTGATCAACAAATGTGGATGGAAAAAGAAAAGTGAGCAAAAGAGGAAGGAAGTGGACGGAGGAGGTCATCGAGAAGGAGGAGCGCGGTGCTTGGAGTTGAGAGCAGGATGCACTGGGATTTCATTGGGTCTGACGCACTTTTGCCCTTGTGAACCCCATCCTTTAAGAAAAGATTAATAGTTGGCTGGGCGCAGTGGCTCATGCCTGTAATCCCAGCACTTTGGGAGGCCTAGGCAGGCGGATCACTTGAGGCCAGGAGTTTGAGACCAGCCTGGCCAACATGGTGAAACCCCGTCTCTACTGAAAAATACAAAAATTAGCCAGGTTTAGTGGCACATGCCTATAATCCCAGCTACTCAGGAGGCTGAGGCATGAGAATCGCTTGAACCTGGGATGCAGAGGTTGCTGAGATGACGCTGCTACAATCCAGCCTGGGTGACAGAGTGAGACCCCGTCTTTAAAAAAAAAAAAAAAAGTACAGTAGGCCTAGACACTGTGCTACTGTGTCCAATGAGGAAGCTGGCCCAGAGCACAGTGGTCACCTAGTAAGGAAAGGGACTGCCAGGCCCCAGCCAAACAAAACTGACCTTTTGTTGCAGCAAGTTCCTGGAAGCCCCCTCTTGTGCCAGACATTAGCCATTTGATTGCTGGATCTTGGGAAGGGCTGGATCTTGGAGGCAGGGGCTGAAGTGGTGGGCAAAGAGGCATGTCAGGAGATTGGAGCAGTGACTCTCCATTGACTGTGTGGCAGGTTCTTAGTATTTGAAAAATGGGTGTAGACATCCTGACACCTTCTTTTTTTTCTTTTTTTTTTTTTTTGAGATGGAGTCTCACTCTGTTGCCCAGGCTGGAGTGTAATGGTGCGTTCTGAGTTCACTGCAATCTCTGCCTCCTGGGTTCAAGCAATTGTCCTGCCTCAGCCTCCGGAGTAGCTGGGATTATAGGCATGTGCCACCATGCCCGGCTAATTTTTGTATTTTTAGTAGAGACGGAGTTTCACCATGTTGGACAGGCTGGTCTCAAACTCCTGACCTCAGGTGATCCACCCACCTCAGCCTCCCGAAGTGCTGGGATTACAGGTGTGAGCCACCACGTCCGGCTCTGACACCTTCTATAAGGCTTGGATGGAAGTAGAAATAACAAAATATGGCCACTGCAAAAATGCAAGATGAAGAAAAAGAAGGCAGCCAGCCCAAAGGCCAGGTTTCTGATCTGGGTACCAGTGAAAGAGACAATTCATTGGCAGGAGTAGTCTTCAGGGGAGAGATAATGAGTTCTGTTTGGGACACATTGGATGTGGTGTATCTCTGGGATTTCCAGAAAGCTATGCCCCTGTTGAATAGAAGGGTGCAGACTTTCTAGGAAATAAGATGGGGATGTAAACAGAGATGTGTGAGGTATCAGTCGGCACATAGTAGGCTCTCAATTAGTCTGTCTTGATGTGGTGTTGCTGACACCCCAGAGCTGAATGAGAAACCCCTAACGTGAACACATCAGCCCAGCTTGGGAGGTGACTGGGAGGACCTCACGCAGACTGACTTTAAGGAAAAGCACAGAACATCCTTTGTCTGATTATGATCGACACAGACACCTGGAGGGCATATCTCAGCTCAGAGTTCCCTAGGTGTGCTGGGCTGTCAGAAGTCAGCAGGAGGGGCTGGCAAGAGTTTGTCTTGAATCTTGAAATCTGGGAGGCAGATGAATAAGAAACTGCATTTTCCAAACCCTGAAGCAATACTTACTTTTCCTTCACATCTACTTCTCTAAGTGTATTTTTTTAACCTTGTTGGTACATATTATATAATCACATTGTTCAAATATTTGAGATGGTGATTACACTAACATTCAATTTTAATTGGTACTTATGTTAATATGTCAGATGTTCTCAGGAAAAATTAATTAGGACTAAACAATTGATTGACGGTCTTTAAAATCCAGACTTTCAAAAACGAACCCGTTTCATAACCCATACCACAACTGTGGGGTTAATTTGGATCATAGCTTTTATTAGCTCAGGGATGATCTTCCTTAAGACCACATGCTAGTCTATCAATAAGAAATAAAGGCCGGGCACGGTGGCTCATGCCTGTAATCCCAGCACTTTGGGAGGATGAGGCAAGCAGATCACCTGAGGTCAGGAGTTCGATACCAGCCTGTCCAACATGGTGAAACCCCATCTCTACTAAAAATACAAACATTAGCCGGATGTAGTGGCATGTGCCTGTAATCCCAGCTATATGGGAGACTGAGGCAGGAGAATCACCTGAACCTGGGAGGTGGAGGCTGCAGTGAGCCTAAATTGTACCACTGCACTCCAGCTTGGGCAATGGTACAAGCCTCTGTCTCAAAAAAAGAAAGAAAAATGCAAAACATACAGTTGAGCCAGATGCGTTGGCTCACACCTGTAATCCCAGCACTTTGGGAGGTTGAGGCAGGCAGATCACCTAAGTTCGGGAGTTTGAGACCAGCCTGGCCAACATGGTGAAACCCCGTCTCTACTAAAAATGCAAAAATTAGCAGAGCGTGGTGGCGTGCACCTGTAGTTCAGCTACTTGGGAGGTTGAGGCAGGAGAATCACTTGAACCCAGGAGGTGGAGGCTACAGTGAGCCAAGACCACACCGCTGCACTCCAGCCTTGGTAACAGAGCAAGACTCCATCTCAACAAAACAAAATAAAACAAAACAAAAATAGTTAAGAAACAGAATTTAAAATAACTTAGTCCAACTTCCTATCTAAGACAGAAATCCCTTCTATAGCAAGTCAGATGCTTCACTAGTCTCTTTTCAATCCTGTGAGTGACAGAGATCTCAGTACCTAACAAGACAGCCCCCTCCATTATTGGCTTGTTCTAATTGCTACCAAATTCTTTCTTATGTCATACTGGAATAGAGTTCCCTGTCGTTTCCTCTTGTCAGCTGTAAATTTCACTTTCTGGAGCAACAGCAAAATTCCATTTCCCATAGGAAGATTCCTCCAAGAACTGACTCCTTGAAGAGAGAAAAACAAAAGGCTCACGAGATATCATACTCTCCTCCCCGGTGATTATATTAGGGTGAAGCTCTTGGGAGATATGTAGAGGACTTCATTTCACACGGTGGTGTTATAAGTCTACAAACTTAGAGTATTTTAGGAATCTTTGTTCTAAGGACAGGTGCAGTGGCTCACGCCTGTAATCCCAGCACTTTGGGAGGCCGAAGCGGGTGGATCATGAGGTCAGGAGTTCAAGACCAGCCTGGTTAAGATGGTGAAACCCCATCTCTACTAAAAATTAAAAAAAATTAGCTGGGTGTGGTGATGGGCACCTGTAATCCAAGCTACTCAGGAGGCTGAAGCAGGAGAATCATTTGAACCCAGGAGGCAGAGGTTGCAGTGAGTTGAGATCATGCCACTGCACTCCAGCCTGGGTGACAGGGTGAGACTCCATCTCAAAAAAAAAAAAAAAAAAGAAACATTTGTTCTAAAAAGATTTCTGAATAGATTGGTTAATTTTTGTGGCTGCACTTGGATATAATTTGTTTAAAAGACAGCACACCTTAAGGTCTTAGCTAAGCTTTGCTCATTCGGGTGGATGAGCACCCCCCAGGACCACCAAGAGGATTACTATACAATATTAAAGATTTTATTTTAAAATCAAATTGTATGCATGAGTGTGTATTGATAAAAAAAAATTAATTATGTGCACGAGGTTAAATGCAGTCTTAAAGACGGCATCAGGGAACCTTCATAAACAAATGTGCACTTTGGAGTCAGGTTGTGCTGTGTTAGAATTCCAGCTGTGCCACTTATTAACCGTGTGACCTTGGGCCCCAGTTTCCTCAGATGTAAAGTGGGTATGAAAATAATTAACCTTGCAAGGCTGGAGTGAGTATTAAGTGCAAAAACATCTATATTCAGCCTGGGATATAGCAGGCACTCAATAAATGGAAAGATCAGGTTTGTAGATCCTAATTTTAAACACAAGAGAGAATGTTCATTTAATTTATTTAGAAAGTTAAATAGTAAGAACAGAGATATACAATCTAGTAAAAAATATTTCAAGGCCATATGTTTAAAGTGTCTGTCAGTGTTTAAAAATGTGAAATTAAAATGTAACGACACCCAATTGTTATTTTAAAAACTCAAACCATCAATAGAAAAACAAATGAAAATTTCTTCACCATCTCTCCATTTCGATCCTCAGTCCCATTCCCCAATAATTTTGCTAAACAGTTTGGTGTACAACCTTCCACATATGCTTATACAAGCACGTTAAGACGTATTCCCTTCAAAAATGAACTCATGCCATACACATTGTTCTGCCACTTCTTTTGCATCTGACACTATATGATAGACATGAGCTCCAGCTCCGTCCTCTTCACAGCCAGGCATTAATATTATTATTATTATTTTTTTTTCAGGCAGAGTCTCACTCTTGTCGCCCAGGCTGGAGCACAGTGGCGTGATCTTTGCTCACTGCAACCTCTGCCTCCCAGGTTCAAGCGATCCTCCTGCCTCCTGAGTAGCTGGGATTACAGGCACGCACCACCATGCCTGGCTAATTTTTGTATTTTTAGTAGAGATGAGGTTTCACCATGTTGGCCAGGCTGGTCTCGAACTCCTGACCTCAGGTGATACGCCCATCTTGGCCTCTCAAAGTGCTGGGATTACAGGCATGAGCCACTGCACCTAGCCACCGCCAGGTATCACTAAGATGGGTTTTTAAAAGAGGGCTTTTGGCCAAGTGCAGTGGCTCATACCTGTAATCCCAGCACTTTGGAAGGCCAAGGCTAGAAGATCCTTTGAGGTCAGGAGTCTGAGACCAGCCTAGGCAACATAGCAAGACCCTGTCTCTACAAAAAAAAAAAAAAAAAAAAATAGCTGGGTGCAGTGACACACGCCAATACTCCCAGCTACTTATGAGGCTGAGGTGAAATGATCGCTTAAGCCGGGAAGGTCGAGGCTTCAGTGAGCTATGATCACACCAGTGCACTCCAGCCTGGGAGACACAGCGAGACCCTGTCTCAAAAATAAATAATAAATAAATAATTTTTAAAAAAGGGTTTTAAAAGAAGTAATGTCAGTGAAATGTAAGGTTTGCCCTAAGTCCACAATTCTAAAGTTTGGATGACAACGGAAAAATCCAGGTTTATTTCATCTCGAAAATAGGGCAGAGGTCAGACAGCAGGTGGGGAGATAATCCGGATAAGACAATTAGAGGATTCTGAATGAGCAGGAATCATTTTTGTGGTATTGACAACCACCTCTACAATGACGTGGTGCTCTGTCGCTTACCTTGCTTTTGGCAATGGCTGCAGTCCTGCAAGGAGAGAGGTGCCCACGATTCCCATTTTAAAGAGGAGGAAACTGAGATTCACAGAAGCTGACACGCCGCTGCAAGGACAGGAGTTGGGAGTCAGGTAGAGGAAGGTGGAATTTGATTCTTTAAGGCTCTAGGCCAGTGGGTAAGCCATAAAAAGGAGCAAAGCGAGCCCTTGGCATCTGACCTCCTGCCTCGAGTAGAGCTGAGATTCCTTCTGCAATTTCAGAGGAATGCTGCTCTGTGGCATCTGGCTTAAGGGCTAAATAGTCCACAGTGTTTTGTGACTCCCTGTAATGTAGCCGGCACTGTGTTAGAAATCAGTGAATGCGGGAAAGTGGGACCCGCATTGGGCTGGCAACCATGACTTCTGTCCCAGCTGGGGCATGTCACTGCCCTGAAGAGTGGTATGGGCTACAGGAGCTCTTCCTTGGCTTGGAATTGAGGCAGTTGGGGGCTCCATGAGTACAGAAGAGGGAGTCTGGGAACTCACTCGTGCTGGAGTTCACAGAATGAAAATCTCTTTCATCCATCCTCATGGTTTCAGAGGTGGGCAGACAGTCTGGAATTACCTAAGGCTGATCTCGTGTTATAATGAAATAGAATGAAATGAGGAAAAGGGCAAGAAATCTCATCTTTCTTTTTCTTTTTTTTTTGAAATGAAGTTTCACTCTTGTTGCCCAGGCTGGAGTGCAATGGCGCAATCTCGGCTCACTGCAACCTCCACCTCCTTAGTTCAAACGATTCTCCTGCCTCAGTCTCCTGAGTAGCTGGGATTACAGGCATGTGCTACCATGCCTGGCTAATTCTGTATTTTTAGTAGAGATGATGTTTCCCCATGTTGGTCAGGCTGGTCTTGAACTCCCGACCTCAGGTGATCTGCCCACCTTGGCCTCCAAAGTGCTGGGATTACAGGCGTGAGCCACTGCGCCTGGCCAAGAAATCTCATCTTTCTATGCAGCTTTGGGAGTGGCTGGCACAGGACAATGATGTTTAGAAAGCAAATCAAGTGGCCTAGCCATCATCCTAGGGGAAGTCAGGGGACCTGCTCAGGAGGGACAGACACAACTTGCTCCCCTGGACAGCATCTGGCGGAGGGTGGGGACCGATCCTGGGGGTCTGGCTATCTTTGACTCAGATTAGCAACGCTGAGAGGAACTGACAGCCCACGTCAGCCTCTCTCTGGGGCCCTCACAGAGAGGGTACTGTCACCCTTGTCTGGTACTATAGTGGGTCAGGAGTCTTCAGTCAGCCAGAAGGGAGACGCTGACCAACAGGACATCCTCTCCATTCTCCCCAGCCCCTCTACTAGCATGGATGGTGAGAAATGAGTCTCAGATGGAGGCATCTGAAGCAGATTCTGCAGAAAAGGTGACTCATGCCAGGGATCTCACCTTCCCGAGGCCCTAGGAGCCCCGCTTAGTTCATCTGTGCTTCTGGAGGAACCCCGGACCCTGGAGCTGCAGAGGTGCTCTTTTGAGGATACTGGAGCTGGTGGCTTCTTCCAGCCCTCTTCTCAGGAGAGCTGCATATTCTTGCTCTTGTGAACATTTCATTCCTTCATGGAGAAACCAAACACTCCAATCCCCAAAGGAAAATAGAGATAACTGCTGATTTCCACAGGTGGAAGAGACAAAAGCCAGAACTTTCTCCTGGTTTCATGAGAAAGTGCTGGGGTTTTATTGTTTGTGTGATCTGATTGATCTGAATGTGTGGCTTTCAGTCTGGTTTTGAAACCCTTCAAGATCCCCAGAGAGGCTGGGCGCAGTGGCTCACATCTGTAATCCCAGCACTTTGGGAGGCCGAGGCAGATGGATCACTTGAGGTTAGGAGTTCAAGATCAGCCTGGCCAACATGGTGAAATCCCATCTCTACTAAAAATACAAAATTAGCCGGGCATGGTGGCAGGTGCTTGTAATCCCAGCTACTCGGGAGGCTGAGGCAGAAGAATCGCTTGAACCTAGGAGGCGGAGGTTGCAGTGAGCTGAGATGGTGCCACTTGCACTATAGCCTGGGCAACAGAACAAGACTCCGTCTCAAAAAAATTTTAAAAAAATAAAAAATTGACCTTAGTGTAAAAGATATTTAGTTAGCATTTTTTAAATAAAAAGTTTTGTAGCTGCAAGCAAGTTTGAAAACTACAAGTCTGCTGTCTCAGTTTTCTATGGATTGCTGGTCCTGACATTCTCTTTATATATATATATATATATATATATATATATAAAATAGTAGCTGAGATTACAGGCACCCACCACCAAGCCCCACTAGTTTTTGTATTTTTAGTAGAGATGGGGTTTCACCACGTTTGTTAGGCTGGTCTCGAACTCCTGACCTCAAGTGATCCACTTGTCTCAGCCTCCCAAAGTGCTGGGATTACAGGCATGAGCCACGGCACCCAGCCCTGACATTCTCCTTATGTACATAGAGACATAAGCCTTGTTTTGGGAGAACAGAGAGAAATCTGTCCATTCATTCCACAAAATATTTTTTGAGCACCTCCTTTGTGACAGGTACAACTATGCATCATGAAAAATAAAAAGGCCTAGTAATGGCTGCCATTGCCTTTGAGGAGATTGTGCTTGGGGGCACAGGTGACTCCATGGCAGCCAGTTCAGAGGAAGCATTTCGAAGTGAAGTCTAAGCTTCTATCCTTGAACGACTTCATTCCGATCAGCTGTAGCTACAGACACCATTCTCTTCAAGACTTCTCTCTCTCGTTTTTTATTTAAACCTATGTGTATTTTAATATAGAAAACTTTTTTCATGAAACAACTTGCAGGACTAATTTAGGATTAATTAGAATATCTTCAACAGGCTGGGAGCAGTGGCTCACACCTGTAATCCCAGCACTTTGGGAGGCCCAGACCAGAGGATCATTTAAGGTCAGGAGTGTGAGACTAGCCTGGCCAGCCTAGTGAAATGCCATATTTACTAAAAATACAAAAAAAAAAAAAAAATTAGCTGGGTGTGGTGGTGCATGCCTGTAATCCCAGCTACTCAGGAGGCTGAGGCACAAGAATCACTTGAACAGGGGAGATGGAGGTTGCCGTGAGCCAAGATTGTGCCACTGCACTCCAGCCTGGGTGACAGAGAAAGACTCCATCTCAAAAAAAAAAAAAAAAAAAGGAATATCTTCAACAGTTTGCTCTAAATCATAATTATAATAAAAATCCATTAAATTTGCACTATTAAGACTTAGTATTTAAAAGGTTATTTAACAAATAACAAAAATAAGACCCTGCTTTTTTCTCTAGACTTACTTTCAGCACCTCCAGTTTATGAAGCTTTCTTACCCCATGCTCTTGGTCTTTTCCCTCCAAACAAACCATTCTATCCAACTGGGGCCACCTTGATCCATTGGGGGGTTTTAGCATAGAGTGTAACAGCTGCATGCTTGATTTGGTTTGTTCCTTCTGGCTGTTTTCCCTCTTTCACGAGGGGCTGCTCTTTTAACAAGAAGGCTGTAACGTGTAACAAGAGCAAAAACTAAGGCTTTGTTGCATTAAGCCGCTGTGATTTGAGGGTTGTTTGTTACTACAGCATACTCTCACCCATCCTGACTAATACAATCCTATCCGCCCTTGTGTCCCGGGCAAACTGTTTCTCATCCTGTAGCTCAAATGTCCCTCCCAGTCTGTGAAACCATGTTCCACTCCCCCAGGGAGGGGTGGAGTCTCTTTCCTCTGGGCCATCCTTAATTGTAGCACACAATAAGTTTCATTGGATTTTTCTGTGTGGCTTATAAGTGCCTTGCAAGCAGAAGTTATAGTTATATATAGTCATATACAAGTGTTTGTTGATGGACTAAATGAATGCTTGTATTTAGAAATTGCTTCCTAAAGCCTACTGTTCAGAGCTCATTTCTGAGCTGCAAAGACACAGTCTGTCACTGTAAAAGTGACATGGTGCAATCAGCAGCATCTGCCCAACAACTCGAGCTAGGTATGCAAGCTTGAAATCAAGACAGTTAGGAGAGAGAGTCCATAAGGTTTCTTTCAGACTCCAATAGTCAGTGCCCTGTGAACATAGCTGGACCAGAAAGAGACCTTCCTTGGCCAGTGTCAGGGAAAACAACACAGTCCTCCACATTGAAACAATTTGTTAGCATTTACAAGTTCACATTTTTCTGTATTTTAACTTCTAATTGGTTTCCTCTTTTGTGCTAAGAATGCCATCTGTCCCTTTGACAGGTTTTTGGATTTGATGCCACTTACCAGGAAATATGACCATTATAAGCATTGTAAGAGGATTCAAACGTGTCCATCCCAAACAGCCTTGTTTTAGGAACTCCATACATGATCCCACACTGTTCATGTGTAGAGGTTTTACCATTTTTCAAGCTCCTGCCCCACAGAATAAAGCCTTTTTCCTCTACAATTTCTTAGAGCTTATAATATACAGCAAGGTAACATACATGGCCCCACTTTGATTGTAGATTTCCTATCTTCTCTGTGGCAGTAAGAATATTATTATCCCTATTCGTAGGTAAGAAAACTGAGGCTGTTGGAAATGGACATGCCCAAGATCATATAGAAATAATAGAACCAGGTTATCAAACTTCATTTCTGAATCTAAGCCCACTGCCCTACAGATATCTTTCCCTTATGGAATAAAAGCAGGGATAGGGCTCATTATTCCGATATTATGAACCAGGAGAAGTTAATGGACCGATCTAAAATTCCTCAAGAAGTAAGACACAATTCTAAGCTTGAAGAACTCCAGTCCTCTCCCCGGGTGACCCTGTGTTCTTACTAGGACTACCTTATACTACCTTGACTCTGCAGTACCTTCTTTCAAGCCTAAAGTTACTTGATTACGGACAAGCCATGAAGAGTAAAGGGGTGTGGCCCAGAGAGATTTCCAGTTGAAGAAAGAATGATTCAACAGTCCCATTAAAACAAAGAGACATTTTCTGCAGGCTCCCCCAGGACACACATGCTATGGTCTATTGCTGCGGGGTACATGGAGCCCCTGCAGGAGGGCTGGGACTAGAAGGAAGGGAGGGAACGTTTACTGGACATCCATTATAAGCCAGATGGCTACTTTGTGTAATCCTCACATGATACTAAAAGAAAGATGAAAAAATGGCCGGGTGTGGTGGCTCATGCCTGTCATCTCAGCACTTTGGGAGGCCGAGGCGGATGGATCACTTGAGGCCAGGAGTTTGAGACCAGCCAAGCCAACATGGTGAAGCCCCTTTTCTACTAAAAATACAAAAAAAAAAATTAGCTGGGCACGGTGGCTCGAGCCTGTAATCCCAGCTACTTACGATGCTAAGGCACAAGAATCGCTTGAACCCGGTAGGCGGGGGTTGCAGTGAGCCGAGATGGTGCCACTGCACTCCAGCCTGGGCAACAGAGTGAGATTCTCTCAAAAAAAAGAAAAAAAAGAAAGAAAGAAAGAAAGATGGAGAAATAAAGCCTCAGAAAAGTTGGACTATCCAACATAGCAGAACTCGCTGTCATGTCTGGTGTCAGAGCTGTTCTTTCCAGCATTCGCTGCACCAGATGCTGTAGAAGATGGAAAGGCAACATGGGAAAGGGTGCTGCACTCAGGAACTGCTCATCCTGTTAGGGGAGTCGCACACACACACAGGAATCTGATAAAGAACCCCCATGGCCGGGCACGGTGGCTCACGCCTGTAATCCCAGCTCTTTGAGAGGCCGAGGCGTGAGGTCGCCTGAGGTCAGGAGTTCGAGACAAGCCTGTCCAACATGGAGAAAGCTAAAAATACAAAAATTAGCCGGGCGTGGTGGCACACACCTGTAATCCCAGCTACTCAGGAGGCTGAGGCACGAGAATCGCTTGAACCTGGGAGGAGGAGGTTGCAGTGAGCAGAGACTGCACCACTGCACTGCAGCCTGGGAGACAAGAGTTAAAAATAATAATAAAAATTAAAAAAGAACCCCCTTGTTGGCGGCAAGCAGTATAAGATTAATGGAGATTTGGGGCAGAGAATGGGTAGGGTTAGGGGAAGGGAGGACGAGATTCCTTCCAGGACAGTCTCCAGCTGAACTTTGAGGAAAGAATTTGAATAAGCAGAAATGAAAGGAAAAGCCTTTCTAGGCCAGAAGTAGCAGCTTCTGGAAATGAGCAGATAGAATCACTGATATTTATCAGTGATTGTTATCTGAGTCCAAGGAAACTGAAAGGGCCAGCAGGCAGATTCTAGCAATTCCACTCAGATATTGAGGTAGCTCGGGCCGTCCATGGGGCTACAGGAATGTATCCAGCATTATAGGAAAATGAAATTAGCAAGAATCAGTGGGTGAGATCAGCCATCTACTAAGTAATCACCTGAGGAGAAGATCTGAAAACTTCAGCACAGCGCGAGGTGATCTGGACACATCCAAAGCACGTCATTGTGTCTGGAAAGTAATCCCAGAAAAAGGAGACCCCTGTCCTTCGTAGAGAGCCTGCCTGTTTCAAGGGGCAGCGCCAAATGGACTCAAAGGCCAGATCTGGCATCAGAATTCCTTGTAGCCCTTACAGATTCCTACTAAGATGAGGATCCCCTAATTGTGAGCCATTCCAGTGCACTGACAAATTCAAGTTTGAGGCCCACAAGGGGAAACCTATTTCTCCCCAAACCCCATACCTGTGGAGCCTGGCCCTGAGCAGCTGCCTCCAGGGACATCTTTCCCATTTTGACTTTTAGCATAAGGAAACTAAGGGAAATGAGAATTCCAACTCCACAGCAGCAGTATCACCGTCCATTCCCCGTAGCTCTTCATGGTTTGCAGTGCATTTTGACTCACTCCATCTTAGCCCTCTCTCAAGTCTACGTAATGCATGAAGCTGGAGGGAAGTCTTCACAGTGGAAGGGGTCTTTGAGCTGCCTCCAAGGATGCAAAACTAGTCTCTGAGGGCAGTCCAGGGTCTGCTGGACACTTCGATTTTCTAAATCAGTAATCAAATTACTGGCATTAAATGAAGATAATTTTTGTTTTAAACCTAATTATGCTATTACAAATAAAACTTCCCACCTCCAAAACTCTCTCAGTGGTGGATCTCAAACTCTCCTCCAGCCTCAGATGTCAAAAAACTATGCATTTTGCCTTGGGCACATCCAACATCATATACGTTGAATGGCTTTGATGGGCATGATTCTAATCTTAATTAAAGCAGTGCCCGTTTTGGTCCATCTTGGTCTCTTTGAACCCACTCTCAGCTGACTCAGTTCAATAGCAGTTTGGTGGGAAAAATGCCAACTGGCCTGGGAAACAAAGGAGAAATTTGGGGGTGACTTTAGGCTTCACAAAAGGGTCCCTTACATCACTTGAAATGATTAACTTTACTGAAAAGTAACAAAATTATTTTTGAAAAATAACAAAAACAAAGAAATTAAATTTGTTCATAACCCCATTGCTTTAAAAAAAAAAAAAAGTTATAGGCCAGGCACAGTGGCTCACGCCTGTAATCCTAGCACTTTGGGAGGCTGAGGTGGGTGGATCACTTGAGGTCAGGGGCTCGAAACCAGCCTGGCCAACACGGTGAAACCCTGTCTCTACTAAAAATACAAAAGTTAGCCTGGTGTGGTGGCATGTGCCTGTAATTCCAGCTACCAGGGAGGCTGAGGCAGGAGAATCACTTGAACCAGGGAGGTGGAGGCTGCAGTGAGCCGAGACTGTGCCATTGCACTCCAGCCCGGGCAATAAGGCGAGACCCCATCTCAAAAAAAAAAAAAAAAATTAATTAGGCATAGTGGCGGGTGCCTATAATCTCAGCTACTGGGGAGGCTGAGGCACAAGAATCACTTGAACCCGGGAGGCAGAGGTTGCAGTGAGCCGGGATCACGCCACTGCACTCCAGCCTGGATGACAGAGCGAAACTGTCTCAAAAAAAATAAAATAAATAAATAAAAGTTATATCAAGAAGAAAGTTTCTCCCTCCACCTGACTGATTGTCTTCTTCAAAGTAAACCCCTGTTAGCAACTTGGTGCACATTCTTCTCAATTTGTTACTGGGGGGTTGATGCAGATATATCTAAGTACATATATATCCAAAATGCCAGACAGATTGACCTATACCTTGCTTATTTTCCTTCATGTTCAGGAACATTTCCCGTCTGTAACTATAGACCTAACACATTATTTTTAGTGGGTGTATGTAATTCCACTGCATGGATGTATTACATACCATTCTCCTGTTTAATTTGTTTTAGTTATGGATATTTAGATTGCTTATAGTATTTTTGTTATTGAGAATGATGCAGCCACACACATTCTTGTTTATATGCTTTTATGTGTTTGTCTTATTATTTCTCGTAGGATGGATCATGAAGAGTGGAATTGCTTTTCCTCTTGGGGCAGGCACACCAACAGTGTATGTGAGGCCCCTGCTCCCACTCCCCAGGCTGGCCAGTACTTTGGGCCAATCTGCTAGACCCAAAAATGTTAATCTCACTGAGATTTAATTTGCATTCCCCTGACTACCGGTGAAGTTGAGCATCTTTTCATATGTTTATTGACAATTTGCATTTCTTATTCAGTAAATTACCTGCTCGTATCCTAGAGTCATATTTCTGTCTGCCCGTTTTTTTCTATTCAATTTGTGGGAGCTCTTTGTATACCTGGGATCTAATCTTTGACTCATATATATGGCAAGTATTTTCTATTACTGTTGTCAACTTTTTATCATAGTAAAATTCTTACATCCAGCACCCCCACCCCTCCCCTGCCCTTTTTTTTTTTTTTTTTGCATTTGGGTTAGGCAGAGAGCTAGCTTTACTGTTTTCCAAATGAAGTCAATCGATCCCAAGGATTTTTAAATTATTTAATCAGTAAAAATGTACACATTTTGAGGGAGGTGTGAAGATCCTAGGAGAAACTGTGCTCTTGTCCCTGAAGACAGACTCAGTAGATCTTTTTTTTTTTCTTTTGAGACAAGGTCTCACTCTGTCATCCAGGCTGGAGTGCAGTGGTGTGATGATGGCACACTGCAGCCTTGATCTCCCTGGGCTCAGGTGATCTTCCTGCCTCAGCCTCCCAAGTAGCTGGGACCACAGGCACGCACCCACCACGCCCAGCTAATTTTTATATTTTTTGTAGAGACAGGGTTTCACCATGTTGCCCAGGCCGGTCTCAAAATCCTGGGCTCAAGCCATCTGCCCTCCTCAGACTCTTGAAGTGCCAGGATTACAGGCGTGAGCCACCATGCCTGGCCAACCCAGCAGATCTTTAATTCACAATCTGGAAAAACCATCTAGAGGCTGTTGCTCTCCTAGCCAGTCATGATTTGGGCCCTTCTCAACATGTGTATGTGTGTGTTGTTTCTTTGTGTGTGTGTGTCTTAGTAAAGAGGAGATTTGTAAACTAAAATATTCTCCTCTCTCAAAAATCACCTTAATTATAAACCAAATGCTGTGTATAACTCTATCCTAGCAGTTGGTGATTAGATTGAGGCATCCATTTCAGATGTGGGTCTCCTTCCCTGGTCCACAGTGAGCTCCTTGCGGCTGTACCTTAACTTACCTCTGTTCCAAACCCACCCAGGGGCTCAGACACAGTAATAGATGGGTACTTGTCTCAGTTCATTTTGTGTTGCTATAACCTAATAGCACAGACTGGGTAATTTATAAAGAAAAGAAATGTATTTCTCATGTTTCTGGAGGCTGAGAAGTCCAATATCAAGGTGCCAGCAATTGCTGAGGGCCTTCATGGCGTACCATCCCCTGGCAGGAAAAAGGAAGAGAGGGCAAGAGATCAAACTCCTAGCCTCAAGCCCTTTTATAATTAGCATTAATCCATTCACAAGAGTGGAGCCCTCATGACCTAAACACCTCACATTAGGTCCTGAGACAGGAATAATATAAGGTGGCTGCAGAATAATAGAAGATTTTGGGCAGCAATTTCACATGACTAGCAAAAGGAAACTGTTGAAATGGCTGCAGAGGCCATGGGCTAAGACCGTGAAAAACAGAGTGTAGACCAAGCTGGCTAAGACCCACTGAACCCAGCATGGCACTGGATTTGACCTAGGTTTCTCCTAGGACCTCATTATACGCTCATTAACATACTAAATCACACACCCCACTAGCATCATGACACTTCCGAGAACACCCATATTTGGTTTAAAAATAGGTGGTGTCACAGTTCTGAGAAATCTCCTTCTTTTTCTAGGAATGATCATGAATATTCTGCCTCTTGGTTAAAGAAACCCGTAAAGGTAGCAACCCCAAACCCCCTTTCGTGTGAGTCTCTCGAGTACACCCATATTCCCTTTTCTTGAGTGTGTACTTTTCCCTTTGCAATAAATCGTACTTTCACTATTTTCCAACTGGTCTTTGAATTCATTCTCTTGATGGTGTCAAGAGCCTGGACACTGGCTGGGGTCTAGGTCCCACTGGCATTTGGGGACCTCCCCTCCAACACTGTTGCACTGGGGGTTAAACTTCCAACGTGTTTTTTTTTGGAGGACACATTCAAACCATGGCAGTACTGAACAAAACCTTGGCTTTGAAACCATATGAAGATTTGTTTTGTGTGTGTTCACATAGTTGAAGTATTTCAACATTTTTAAGAGGGATTTTCAGGCTTCTCTATAAGCAGACTAAGAATCAGCATTAGCATGTTTTCTCCATGTACAAAGTCTTTTATCTTTCTACTTACAAATGAAGGTAACCAATAAATATTTGTTGAATTTTATCATTCTGTTAACCTTCAGATTCAGACTTGTCAGTAATTACTGGCTTGCATTAAAAGCAGGAGATTAGAGATTGAGGTCCAGGAAGTATAAATGATTTGCTCAAAGGCATGTAGAGTAACCAGGTCTCCTGTCCCTCTGTCCCCCTTTTCTGCTACACCTTGTCCCTCGACAAAGGGTGAATGACCTAGTGATGGTCATTCATCTGAGGAGAAAGGACAAAGGTAGGACTTTGAATCGGAGCAACTGAACCCATCCTGGCCTATTTTCACAGTCTTGCCACAGAAGATCTGGCCACCTTAGAAGGACTCATTCAGTGATCTTGGTCTTGAATAATACCATGAGTACTTACTATATACAGGTACACTGCTGTGCCGTAAGGATTCCCTCTGGAGCAAAACTGACCCAGGTCACAGGTTAGTGAGGGAGACTGAGCCTGTCTTCCACAGTGTCACGGAAGTGAGCACTAAACAAATACTCCCAGGCATGGATCATTACAAATGGAGGTGAGTGCTGGACAGGAAAGGACAGGATGCTAGGCGAGAATTCAGCAGGAGGGCTTGGTGGCGATTAGGGGGCTAGGGAAAAGCAGAAGTGGGGCTGTAAAAGGCTTTTGCAAAGATGAAGGCTTTTACATTTGTGAGGGAAATAACAATAATAAAGGTGCTTGGAAGGGCTGCTCATCCGCATTCATGGGCCTCTTCCTAGAACTCTGGGAATCTTTCTCCCTAGAGCTCTGTAGGCGTCCAGGGTCAGGGCTGGAAAGGCCTTCACAAATGCTAATCTGTGAGCATTTTATGGGTTGCCCCCTGACCCTCAGCATCCTCCTCCTTAACTAGATCCAATGGTGAGGTGAAGAGGTGGGGGCGATGGAGAATGGCATTTCCAGTTTGGAGAAAAAAGTAGGGAGAGGCGGGGAAGCCTTCCCACCCCAATCCCAGGGCCAGGTTCCCCTCTCTCCAAACAAGCCTAAGGAATGTTTTTCAAGGCAAAATCCCACCTCACTGTGTATTTGGTTGTGAAGGGGGCTGTCCAGGAGATCAGGGTTGTTTTTGGAGAGTTTGGAGGGCAGGGGCAATAATGTCTGACCCCCTGCAAACAAATACACCTGTAAGAAAAGCTAGACCAGAGTGAAGTAAAGCCAGGATTTGATGGTGGCGGGAAGGGAAGGGGCCAATGCTGCTGCTGGACAGAGGGGTGTTATTTTCCCCAGAAGAATAGCATGTCGTGGTCATCATCATAATAATAGCTGACACAACTATTATGGGCTGGGGACTTATAAGAGCTTTCATAACTCTCAGGTAGGAGGCACTACGAACTCCATTTCACAATTGAGGAAACTGAGGCACAAAGAAACGAAGTAGTGACAGCAGCTTTCCTTTTTCCCTTCAACAGTTTGGAATCAAGCTGTTTGAGCCGAGGCTGGGTCTCAGGAGGTGTGGACAGCACTTCCATCTCGGTAAATCAGATTCGCCTGCCCATAACTGGGGAGAATGGTGGCTTTGAAAAGGTTAACTTGGGAGCCCTGGGGACGGCTGCAGGGAACGTACGCCCATTCCCCCTAGGAAGCAGAGCCAGGCCGCCTCCTCCTCCGCAGTGGTGAGGACGCGTGGACAGTCCCGCGGGGGCGGCGGGAGACCTGCGGAGTGGCCGCACTCCAGGTCCGCGCCAAGGCCGGGCAGCTCCGCTTTCTGCTCAGTCTCCGCGAGGTGTCGCCTTCGGCCGAAGAAACCACCGCGGCGCCACCCTCGTAGCTCGCACTTATTTATTTATTTATTTTCAAACAAGGGGGGCGCCCCTCTTCTTTCAATTTGAAACTGGAAACATCCAGAGGTCTTGTTCCTAAGGGGGCGCGTCCTCTCCCTGCTATTTTGCACCTTCGGACTAGCCTTCTTTCGTAATTACACAGGAGCAACCTCCCTGCAAGGCCTTGCTCAACGTTGGCCTCGCGCTCAGCTGCACAACACGCAGTCAAAGCGGGGGCTGGGTTAGAAGCATCGGTCTCCCCTCCCCAACACACACCCCCGGAGCCCTCCGTAATTTTTTTTTCTTTTAATGACAAGCAATTGCCAGGCTCGCAGGGTGGGTGCTGCATTGCACCGCTCCGCGCGCAGCTGGTTCTCAGAGTGCAGCCGGTGCAAGCCCGGGGGTCCAAAAGGGCGGGAGGAGCACACCCTGGGCTTCCCAGCTTTGCAGCCTTCTCTCTGCAAAGAAAAGCAAGTGGCTTTTGGCGCGAAAGCCTTGGCGCCTCCCCTGATTTTTATGGAAATCAGGAGGGCGGGGTAAAGCCGCTTTCCTCTCCTTTCTCCCTCCCCCTTGTCTGCGCCACAGCCCCCTTCTCTCCCCGCCCCCCGGGTGTGTCAGATTTTTCAGTTAATAATATCCCCCGAGCTTCAAAGCGCAGGCTGTGACAGTCATCTGTCTGGACGCGCTGGGTGGATGCGGGGGGCTCCTGGGAACTGTGTTGGAGCCGAGCAAGCGCTAGCCAGGCGCAAGCGCGCACAGACTGTAGCCATCCGAGGACACCCCCGCCCCCCCGGCCCACCCGGAGACACCCGCGCAGAATCGCCTCCGGATCCCCTGCAGTCGGCGGGAGGTAAGGAGCAGGGCTTGCAAACCGCCCGGCGCCCAGGGAAGCGACGAGCGCCGGGGCAAGGCAAGCCCTGGACGGGATTGCGACGTGCGCACCGGGCGCCCTAATATGCCCGGGGGACTGTTTCTGCTTCCGAAACAAAACCATCTCTGGGTTTTCCCAGAAAAGCCAGTTCCAGCCCCGAAGGCATCCTGGCTAGAGGAGACCCGCCCTAATCCTTTTGCAGCCCTTACCGGGGGGAGTAATGGCTTCTGCGAAAAGAAATTCCCTCGGCTCTAGAAGATCTGTCTGTGTTTGAGCTGTCGGAGAGCCGGTGCGTCCCCACCCCAGGCTGGGGTTCTTCTCCAAAGGGTGCCCCTGGAGGAAGAAGAGGGGGGGATTAGGCAGGGCGAGGCCGCCGCGGTCGCAATCTGGGTCACGGCTGCTCCAGCTTGGAGGAGAGGCGGCTCTCCCGGCGACCCTCCTCGCGCGGGCGCCCCTGCCATTCCCGGGAACAGGGGCTCAGCCTCTCCCTCCCTGGAAGAGGACGTTGTCGTGGGTTTGGAAGAGCAGGGGTGGGCTTAGAGAGCTTCCAATTAAGCTATTGGCAGGAGTATCCCTGCAGCGGGTGAATGCCGAGGGGCGTTTGCTCAAATTTGGGGAGGGGAAGGATTTGTGGATATGGGTGTCTGTTGTTGGTCTCTGTCTAGAGAAAGGCTTTTTTTTATTTGCAAAGTTTTCTAAATCCCCTGCTATCATTTGCACTCCTGAGGTTGCATTTTTACAAAGGGGGTAGAAGGTACTCCAAATACCATTCCCGGTAGCTGGGTCGGAGAGCCTGGGGCTTCCCCTGAGCAGCCGGCCCCACACCGCTGCGAGTGCGGTTGTCTGCGTGCTCGTGAGAGCTAGAATTCTGCAGCCAGGAACAGCCCCCTCCCCCAGGCAGTGCCTTGTGTGAATGAAATGGCAGTTTCCAAAGTTGCGGAGCCTCGCCACCACCCCCTGCATCTGCATGCCCCCTCCCACCCCCTGTCGTAGACAGCTTGTACACAAAAGGAGGGCGGGAGGGAGGGAGCGAGAGGCACAACTTCCTCCACCTTCGGGAGCAGTGGGCAGAGTGGGGGGCTTGGAGGGAAGATTGGGGAACCTGGTTAGAGGGGGCGCCCATTGCCTATCCCCTCGGTCTGCCCCGTTTGCCCACCCTCTCCGGTGTGTCTGTCGGTTGCAGTGTTGGAGGTCGGCGCCGGCCCCCGCCTTCCGCGCCCCCCACGGGAAGGAAGCACCCCCGGTATTAAAACGAACGGGGCGGAAAGAAGCCCTCAGTCGCCGGCCGGGAGGCGAGCCGATGCCGAGCTGCTCCACGTCCACCATGCCGGGCATGATCTGCAAGAACCCAGACCTCGAGTTTGACTCGCTACAGCCCTGCTTCTACCCGGACGAAGATGACTTCTACTTCGGCGGCCCCGACTCGACCCCCCCGGGGGAGGACATCTGGAAGAAGTTTGAGCTGCTGCCCACGCCCCCGCTGTCGCCCAGCCGTGGCTTCGCGGAGCACAGCTCCGAGCCCCCGAGCTGGGTCACGGAGATGCTGCTTGAGAACGAGCTGTGGGGCAGCCCGGCCGAGGAGGACGCGTTCGGCCTGGGGGGACTGGGTGGCCTCACCCCCAACCCGGTCATCCTCCAGGACTGCATGTGGAGCGGCTTCTCCGCCCGCGAGAAGCTGGAGCGCGCCGTGAGCGAGAAGCTGCAGCACGGCCGCGGGCCGCCAACCGCCGGTTCCACCGCCCAGTCCCCGGGAGCCGGCGCCGCCAGCCCTGCGGGTCGCGGGCACGGCGGGGCTGCGGGAGCCGGCCGCGCCGGGGCCGCCCTGCCCGCCGAGCTCGCCCACCCGGCCGCCGAGTGCGTGGATCCCGCCGTGGTCTTCCCCTTTCCCGTGAACAAGCGCGAGCCAGCGCCCGTGCCCGCAGCCCCGGCCAGTGCCCCGGCGGCGGGCCCTGCGGTCGCCTCGGGGGCGGGTATTGCCGCCCCAGCCGGGGCCCCGGGGGTCGCCCCTCCGCGCCCAGGCGGCCGCCAGACCAGCGGCGGCGACCACAAGGCCCTCAGTACCTCCGGAGAGGACACCCTGAGCGATTCAGGTAAAGACCGAACTCGGGTCCGGCTGCCTCCCTGGGGCACTGGACCCCGGGTCGCGTCCCCTTTGTTAGTGCTCGTATGTCTTGGCCTGGGGAGCATTTTGGAGGCAGTGCTAGGGGCAGAGAGGTCCTGTTTCCCCCAAGTCTCTCCTCGGGGTAAAGAGAAGGGGCTGAGAGAATGCCGTTGCAAAAGGGGTGCTCTCCAATTCTCGCCTTCACTAAAGTTCCTTCCACCCTCTCCTGGGGAGCCCTCCTCTAGGCCATCACGGGCCCTCACCCGGTCCCCCACCTCTCTTTTGCAGCGCAGTCTGAGGAATAAAATTGGAGAAAGTTGGTGGCTAAACCGGGTGGGGGTTTAGGGGGTTGCTGGGTGCACTGCCTGGACAGAAACCTGTTAGCGCAGGGGTGAAAGGGACTCTCTGGCCCAGGTCAGGGGAGGGAAAGACATCCCGAGAAGATTCAAGGGCTGTGCAAAGCCCTGTTTAAGGCGCAGGAACTTATAGGAGGGTTGCACAGATGGCTAGAGCCGATTTTCTATTCTTTTTCTTTTTCTTTTTTTTTTTTTTTCAAATGTCGGTACCTTTCCCTTCCCCCATCCTCGGTGGGTGGTGGGCTATTTGCTCCTGGTGCGTGGCCAGCAGGCGGCGATATGCGAGGCCAGCAGGCGGGCCCGGGATCTGAAAGGCTGGGGGTGGTGGGGGCACCCTCCCTCCCTCCATTCAGCAGCTGGCTGCAAGTGCAACAGCAGTTGTGTACATTCTCAGGGGGCCTCCTCTTTCCAGTGTGCAGTGGAAACTGGCTGTAGTTTTGTCTTCCAGCCTGAATTCCAGGCCTAATTTGAGATGTGAGTTGTATCTGTAACCCAGTGCCCTTGAAGGTGAGGGCAGGCACTCAGCAGCCTCTCCAGGAAGGCTCACATCCTGGGAGGACTCACTGATTAGTTCTATTGTGTTCATTTGTCTGTGTCTTAAGCTGAAGGGAAGAGTTAAAACCAAGCCTTTCCCTGGGGGTCTGGATGAACAGAACTCAACCCAAAGAGTGGCATTGCCTTGTCCTTGGAGCAGGGAGCTGGGACCCCCCTTGGACTTTGAAAACCAGTGTTTTCAGAATGCAGGTGGATAACAAGCCTAAATTTACTTCTGGGCTGAGGAGAGATCTTTGAGGCTCCTGGAAGGAAACTTGGTGATAAGCCTCCAGTTTGAAACGGCTCTGTCCCTTTAATGTCTGTGCCTTGACAGCTTTTGGTGAGGAAGCACTTCCTTCCAACAGCTGTCTTCTTGGCAGAAAACCAAAACATTGGCTTAAAGGGACCCACAGACTGGAACAGCCTCACATTTCGGCTTTAGAACAAATCCCACAATTGTTCAGCTTTCCGGTCCCCTTCAGATCAAGCAGAAGATATGTTTTGATTTTCATGCTTGTATTTTAAACAATAATTTTCTACCCCAGCGTGGTAGTCAATGAGGAGAGAGGGGAAGAATGCGCACATGATGCTACACGTTTCTGTTGTTGCTGTTATTATTGGTGGCTTTGAGGAGAGCTGCTCCCATTTGGGGGTTTATACCAACTGTGGATTATGGCTTTGTCATTAAGATTTGATCTTTGTTAAATGAAAAACTGTTTATTGTATAAAACTCAGGTTTGTGGACGAAAAGTTGTTTTTTTTCTTCAGTTAATTAAATTGTTCCTCAAGTTTGTTTAAGGACTTAAAATCAAACACAACCATGTGTAAACTGCTAAATGAGGCTCCTAAAATGAGAGGCCTCAACTCTTTAAGTGTGGAGCTAGAAATGTAAATAAGTCCACAGGGCAGACTGGTGATTATGATAAAAGCTACCATTTACTGAGCATCTGTCTACTAGGCTCAGCTCTATGCTAAGTCTACATGTTATCTGTCAAAGTGGTATCATCCCCATTTAATAGCTGAGGAAACAGAGGCTTAGAAAGGCTGGGTAACTTGACCAGGGTCATGCAACTAGTCTGCGGTGGAGCCAGGATTCTGTCTGACCCTAAAGGCCAAGTTCTTTATATTTATTTCTACCACCTGCTAAAGTCTTGAATGGAGGCTGAAAGCACAGTTGGGGTATGGGGAAGAAAAATATATATACATACATATATGTATATGTATGTATGTATGTATGGGGGGTTGTTTTGTTTTTGTTTTTGATAAGGAGTTTTGCTCTTGTTGCCCAGGCTGGAGTGCAGTGGTATGATCTGGGCTCACTGCAACCTCCGCCTCCCGGGTTCAAGTCATTCTCCTGCCTCAGCCTCCCGAGTAGCTGGGATTACCGGAGCATGCCACCACACCCAGCAAAGTTTTGTATTTTTAGTAGAGACAGGGTTTCACCATGTTGGCCAGGCTGATCTTGAACTCCTCATCTCAGGTGATCTGCCCGCCTCCGCTTCCCAAAGTGCTGGGATTACAGGTGTGAGTCACCGCGTCCGGCCTACAGATATATTTAATTTAAAGAGATCTAAAACAAATACAAAACTGTCCACATCTATGTTGATGGACCCATAAAAATAGCAGTCTGCCAGGGTCTGCCGGAAGAGACAGATAAGCATACATATTAACATGGATATATATGTGAATTTCATTCAAATGGTTCTCACATGAGAGTAACTAGCATCTTTCTCTCAGATGATGAAGATGATGAAGAGGAAGATGAAGAGGAAGAAATCGACGTGGTCACTGTGGAGAAGCGGCGTTCCTCCTCCAACACCAAGGCTGTCACCACATTCACCATCACTGTGCGTCCCAAGAACGCAGCCCTGGGTCCCGGGAGGGCTCAGTCCAGCGAGCTGATCCTCAAACGATGCCTTCCCATCCACCAGCAGCACAACTATGCCGCCCCCTCTCCCTACGTGGAGAGTGAGGATGCACCCCCACAGAAGAAGATAAAGAGCGAGGCGTCCCCACGTCCGCTCAAGAGTGTCATCCCCCCAAAGGCTAAGAGCTTGAGCCCCCGAAACTCTGACTCGGAGGACAGTGAGCGTCGCAGAAACCACAACATCCTGGAGCGCCAGCGCCGCAACGACCTTCGGTCCAGCTTTCTCACGCTCAGGGACCACGTGCCGGAGTTGGTAAAGAATGAGAAGGCCGCCAAGGTGGTCATTTTGAAAAAGGCCACTGAGTATGTCCACTCCCTCCAGGCCGAGGAGCACCAGCTTTTGCTGGAAAAGGAAAAATTGCAGGCAAGACAGCAGCAGTTGCTAAAGAAAATTGAACACGCTCGGACTTGCTAGACGCTTCTCAAAACTGGACAGTCACTGCCACTTTGCACATTTTGATTTTTTTTTTAAACAAACATTGTGTTGACATTAAGAATGTTGGTTTACTTTCAAATCGGTCCCCTGTCGAGTTCGGCTCTGGGTGGGCAGTAGGACCACCAGTGTGGGGTTCTGCTGGGACCTTGGAGAGCCTGCATCCCAGGATGCTGGGTGGCCCTGCAGCCTCCTCCACCTCACCTCCATGACAGCGCTAAACGTTGGTGACGGTTGGGAGCCTCTGGGGCTGTTGAAGTCACCTTGTGTGTTCCAAGTTTCCAAACAACAGAAAGTCATTCCTTCTTTTTAAAATGGTGCTTAAGTTCCAGCAGATGCCACATAAGGGGTTTGCCATTTGATACCCCTGGGGAACATTTCTGTAAATACCATTGACACATCCGCCTTTTGTATACATCCTGGGTAATGAGAGGTGGCTTTTGCGGCCAGTATTAGACTGGAAGTTCATACCTAAGTACTGTAATAATACCTCAATGTTTGAGGAGCATGTTTTGTATACAAATATATTGTTAATCTCTGTTATGTACTGTACTAATTCTTACACTGCCTGTATACTTTAGTATGACGCTGATACATAACTAAATTTGATACTTATATTTTCGTATGAAAATGAGTTGTGAAAGTTTTGAGTAGATATTACTTTATCACTTTTTGAACTAAGAAACTTTTGTAAAGAAATTTACTATATATATATGCCTTTTTCCTAGCCTGTTTCTTCCTGTTAATGTATTTGTTCATGTTTGGTGCATAGAACTGGGTAAATGCAAAGTTCTGTGTTTAATTTCTTCAAAATGTATATATTTAGTGCTGCATCTTATAGCACTTTGAAATACCTCATGTTTATGAAAATAAATAGCTTAAAATTAAATGATGCAACTCAACCTTTTCCTTAATGGCATTACACTCTGTCCCTTAAGGAGCAACCATAAATAATCCATAACCTATAGAGGGAATTTGGTTTCCGTAAATAGCCCTTTTTGCACCTGTACAATCCTGGTTGGGGGGCATGAGTCATTGTCCCCACTTAAGGTGGAGGGAACTGAGTTTGGGGAAATTAAGGCAGTTCTCCAAGATTATGCAGAATAGAGATGTTATTAGCGACTATTGTGTGCATTGTAGCAATGGCATTTGATAATTTACAGAGCACTTCTGTATACTGTGGCTCCTTAGTGGAATTAAGCTGAGACCTCAGATCAGTCCCTTTAAAAGAAAAGTAAAAATAGCCACAGGGTTGTTTAACTCGCTTGTATTGGGCTTTGGTAGTATTCGTCCCATTGGCAGACAGTCTTCTATTTTAAGGTAGAGCATAGTTTGTCTCCAAGAATTCATTGTTAAAAACATTCACTAGGATCTGTGGAGGTTCTAGGCTAAGCAGAGTAAGCAGAATAAACAGATGGAAATGGGTTCCTCCCTTCAATGAACTCAACCTGATTCACCAAAGTGTAATTCACGAGTGACAGTTACGTAGTCCAGAGCAAGTACCAGGTGCAGGAGAGACCCTGGGGTCACAATGGAGACCCCATATGGGTGGCATGGCTCTCTACTTGCCATTCCTATTACACAGCAGTGTCTTGGCTACTTGGGCTGCCCTTTGGAAATGGGATCAATCTTGCAGGCTCCAGAAGACAGAGCCAAGACTTGTGTGTTAAGGAGATAGTTTACCTGTTGGGACATAAGAGCCTTGCTTGTAAGCAGCTTCTCAGAACTAAAAGTGTACAAATAACCTATTTCTCTTTTGAGTGTCAGGTTGTACTCGGTTATTTCTCTAGGGTTTTGTTCATCTCAGATTTTTAACTGTGAGCCGAAAAAAAAGAAAAAGGCCTTTTGCTTCACTGAGAAGAAAGCAGGTCCAGAGATGAGACAGCTTTGCTTGCCTGGACACACAGTTTGTCAGGGGCAGAGATGGGAGACACCAAGCCATGTGTCCTTGTCTGCTTTGGTCATTTTTATTTGTTTCTTTTGAGATGGAGTCTCACTCTGGTGCCCAGGCTAGAGTGCAGTGGTGCAATCTCGGCTCACTGCAACTTCCGCCTCCCGGGTTCAAGCGATTCTCCTGCCTCAGCCTCCTGAGTAGCTGGGACTACAGGTGTGTGCCACCATGCCCGGCTAATTTTTTGCAGTTTTAGTAGAGACCAAGTTTCACCATGTTAGCCAGGATGGTCTCGATCTCCTGACCTTGTGATCCACCTACCTCGACCTCCCAAAGTTCTGGAATTGCAGGCGTGAACCACCATGCCCAGCCGCTTTGGTCATTTTATAAAGGCAAGTAGGAGTTTAGAACTCAGTCCTCCTTATCCTGCTTATCGCACACCCTTGAGATACGAGGTTGGTGATACTACCATGGACATCTTTCTGATGGTCTCGCCATGTAGAAAATAAGATAAAATGCCCTTTAATTCTCCTAGTCCCCATCCCCAGACTAAAAAATAATGCACCCTTTCTTTTTGAATTGTCATTCAAAAAACTTCCGTTCGTTTGCATTTTACAGGCCCCAAATCACTCACGGCCTCTGCCCCTGTGTGTGTGCAAGAGCCAAAAGAAAGTTAAGCAACCTCACATTAATTGTGTACCTAAGATTCTTGAAGCCCAGCTCAGTCATCCCAGTTTCTCTATTTGTGATTACCATAAGGAACCTACCTGAGTGTGTCCAATGAAATGGAATGCTTAACCGTGAAGAAAGAAAACTGTTCATATGAATGAGGCCACTAAACTACAATTCCTACTATGCTCTCTTTTTGCTCGGGCTGCTGGGAAGCTCAGAGCCAAATTCCACCCCCTCTAACATCTCCAGTGGTCATTCTCTTCTAAATGTTTACGGTTTCTTGTTTTCCATTGTTAGGTTAGTCATCTTTTTAATGTATATAATGTAGTATATAACATGAAACGTTTTTGCATTAGGTGGACCACAAATATGCACCTAAAGGATTAAAACTAAAGTGAAAAAATCCCATATTTGCCTTTTCTGACCTAGCTGAGGGAATGTCACCAAATTTAGCTCTGCAATTATCTATAAAGTAATTGCTGTAGTCACAGAAGAATTGAACTAGTTGTTTCAATAACATGAGAAACCATCTCTGCATTCCAAGAGCAGTTTTGAGACTGGGAAAGAGCTCTACATCATTTAGTTCAATAAACGATAGAGCTGAGACGAAGCACAGAGATCATCTCATTGAAATTCATTTCTCAGAATGAGGGTGCGGGATCCCACCTGGAATTAATGGCTTAACCCAGGGAGACTAGAGCCGGTGTCTCCTATGACCCGCCCAGTGCCCTTCCCCATAACATTCACTTTCTCATTGCCCACACTGTAGCCTCCCCACCTCCTGGCCTGCCCGTCCACCTACATCATGCTTCCATATTAACCCTTCTAAACCACCTACTCTTTATGCAAACTTCCAACAGTTCCCTACTATTTACAGAATCGAGTCCCGACTCTCCAGCCCAGCACAGAGGCACTTCTACCCAGTCCCACCAGCTCCATTGCCCATGGCCCTCCATGTGCTGGACTCTGGCTGTTTCTCATCCGTGACTTGTTTCACCACATCCCTCCTTCTAGGTTACCCAGATTCCATTAATTGAAATCCTTCTCAATCTTGCACCCCCAGGTAGGCCTTTCCCAGCCCTTGGCCTCTGTGCACTTATCTTCTAGCTGCCTTATGCACCTCCTGGACCCCCTAAACTGTGGGCTCCCTTAAGGCAGATAGGGCTCTCATTTGCCTCTGATTCTGAGCATCTGCCCTGTGACTGACAGGTGACAGAGCCTTAGCAGATGCCAGCAGTATAGACGGTAACAGAGGAAGGAGCGAGGAGAGGATTTCCATTATGGGTGGGTCTCCCACCAACTCCAGTTCACAAGCTCTCAGGCTAATTCAGATGGGAAAAGACATCCCTTAGACATCAATGAGTGTCTGGTACTGACTATGCTGGCAGTTCTGAAGAAGTGAAGATAAAATGCTCATAGAGGACTGTCTACAAGGAGCCCACAGTCTGCAAGAGAGTTAAAGCCCTGGGGGTTGTATAGAAGGCAAGAAGAGAAACCAAGAGGCACTGGGTTGAGGGGCTGATGAATGAAAGCATATGAGGGGCCTAGTGGCTGAGTTTGGGGCTATCTGAAGGAGGAAGCTGGTCCTCTGCCTGGGTTCACTGAGTCTACGCCTGGCCTGGCTTGTGGCAGCTCAGACACTTGCCTCAGGCCACAGATGGTCTACACTCGTAGTGAAAAAGGTTGCAATGCCTCCCACCCCTGTGTAGCACTGCAGAGCTTCCCAAGTTTTTGTATGCATGAGTCTCAAAAATCCTTGAGGATTTTTGACCAGTTTATCACATTCCCACATTATAAGTGAGGGAATCTGGTCTTCTGAGTTTTAGTTTCATTAATCCCTATGGTGGCTATGTTTTGAAATTCTGATGTGAGTTGTTTTCGAAATCAGAGGTTGTTTGATTTGGAAGAGGCATAGAAGCCAACTAGTTTACTCTCCCATTTCAGGGGAGGCACCTACAGTCTGCTTGTGAGAATTTTATTTTTCCTTTATTTTATTTTTCTTTTTTTTGCAACAGGGTCTTGCCGTGTTGCCTAGCCTGGCGTGGAGTGGCTAATCTCAGGCACAGTGCCACTGCTGATCAGCACAGGAGTTTTGACCTGCTCCATTTCTGACCTGGGCCAGCCAGTTCATACTTCCTTAGGAAACCTGGTGGTCCCCTACTCCCAGGAGTTGCCATATTGATGCTAAACTTAGTGTGGACATCCAGTAGGCATAGGGTGCTACAGCTCAGAACTTCTGGACTCAAGTGATCCTCCTGCATCAGCTTCCTGAGTAACTCGGACAACAGGTGCACACACACTGCCGTGCCTGGAAGCGTTCTTTTTTCTTTTTTTCTTTCCCTCTTTCCCATTCTTTCTCTCAACAAATATTTATTTAACAGTTACCATGTATCAAGCACTGTTCTAAGTGCTTGGGAGACATCAATGAACAAAAAAGACAAAACTCTCCCAAATCTTCTCTGCTTTCTTGAAGTTTATAGTGTAACAGAGAGTGACAGCTGTACAAATAAACATAATAAGCAAATAAATTAAACAGCATCTAATATGGTGGCAAATGCCGTAAAAAATAAGTAGAAAGGCTAGAGGAATTCAGGGATGCCAACAGCAGAGGTAGGAGGCTCAGGGAAGGCGCATCTGGTCCTGGGAGCTGAGGGGCAGGGCCTGTGGGGAGAGTGTCCTGCCCTGGGCACTCTTGTGCTTGCTCAGAAACCAGATCTCAGGCCTCAAGCTTCTCGGTTCAGTGCTTAACTTCCCTTATCTCTGGCTGGGCGTGGTGGCTCACGCCTGTAATCCCAGCACTTTGGGAAGCCAAGGCAAGTGGATCGCAAGGTCAGGGGTTTGAGATCAGCCTGACCAACATGGTGAAACCCCATCTCTACTAAAAATACAAAAATTAGCTGGGCATGGTGGCTGGTGCCTGTAATCCCAGCTACTCAGGAGGCTGAGGCAGGAGAATTGCTTGAACCTGGGAGACGGAGGTTGTAGTGAGCCGAGATCACACCACTGCACTCCAGCCTGGGTGATAGAGCGAGACTCCGTCTCAAAAAATAATAATAAAAAATAAAAAATCTTCCCTTATCTCCCTCTGGACATTGGTAAATGTACCCCACCAATTTCCATTCATTGTCTCGAGGAGAAACCATTGAGCATAGTAGTTAAGAGTATGAATCTGGGCTGGGCATGGTGGCTCATGCCTGTAATCCCAGTACTTTGGGAGGCCAAGGCAGGTGGATCACCTGAGGTCAGGAGTTCAAGACCAGCCTGACCAACATGATGAAACCCCATCTCTACTAAAAATACAAAAAAATTAGCCAGGTGTGGTTGCGGGCACCTGTAATCCCAGCTACTCGGGAGGCTAAGGCAGGAGAATTGCTTAAACCCAGGAGGCGGAGGTTGCAGTAGGCCAAGAGCGCGCCATTGCACTGCACCCTGGGTGACAGAGCAAAACTCCGTCTCAAAACAAAGAGTATGAATCTGAAGTTAAGACTCCCTGGGTTTGGCCGGGTGCGGTGGCTCACGCCTGTAATCTCAGCACTTTGGGAGGCCGAGGCAGGGAGATCACCTGAGGTTGGGAGTTCAAGACCAGCCTGACCAACATGGAGAAACCCCGTCTCTACTAAAAATACAAAATTAGCCAGGTGTGGTGGCTCATGCCTGTAATCCCAGCTACTCAGGAGGCTGAGGCAGGAGAATTGCTTGAACCCGGAAGGCAGAAGTTGCGGTGAGCCAAGATCATGCCATTGCACGCCAGCCTGGGCAACAAGAGTAAAACTCCATCTCAAAGAAAAAAAAAAAAAGTTAAAGACTCCCTGGGCTTGAATTTGATTCCCAAACTCACAGGCTCTGGGTTGTGCAGCTCCCCAACTGGTACAACGAGGGGATAACACTGGGATTATTAGCGGGTTGGCATCATTATTATTAATATGTTTTAAAATGGTCTCACTCTGATTGCCCAGATTGGAGTGCAGTGGCCTGATCTCGGCTCACTGCAGCCTCGACCTCCTGGGCTCAGGCGTTTCTCCCACATCAGCCTCCCAAGTAGCTGAGACTACAGGCGCATACTACCATACCCAACAAATTTTTTCCATTTTTAGTGGAATGGGGTTTTACTGTGTTGCCCAGGCTGGTCTCGAACTCCTGACTTCAAGTGATCCTCCTACCTTTGCCTCCCAAAGTGCTGGGATGACAGACACAAGCCACTGCACCCCGCCTTCAATTGATTTATATACAGCACATAGAATAGTGTCTGGCATGTGACAGGTGTGGTTTAAGCCTGCTCAATAATATGATTTGATGTTGATGGGGTCTTTCCTCTCTCTATTTCCTCAGTATGTTACCAGGGCAAAGAACCTTTAGAAAAAAACATTTACCGGTAGAACAAATTCACAAGCCTGAGTTTAACAAGAACTTTGCAGACTTTTGTTCCTCAAAAGAGGCCTTACAAAACCTGAAAACGGGTACCTTGGAAACAAATGAATGTGAGCTTTGAAGCCTATTTTAAGACGGAGCCTAGGAATTTGAGTGCCGCAGAACATCTACGCCTTCTACAATGGTTTATTAGTTTTCCTTACTTGTAAAGGAAATCTCTTCATAGGCCACTGACCAGGGTTACCTGATCTCTTTTGATATTGGTGTATCAAGCTACAAGACATTCATCCTGAAACCTTTGACCAGGAGAGGTAACAGAGCCTTTTTATGGTCGAAGCACACAGACCTATTGGTACAATGCACGTTTGGAGAGCACACACAGCACAAACTCCTCTGATAGCTACAGACAATTTGCAATGGGATTTGCTCGGAAGAGGCAACACAAAATCAACTTTTCTCTGCATTCCAGTGGGCCTGAGATTCTCAGCAGACCTTTGAGGTAGGGTGGGGGAAACAGGCCCACTCTTTCACAAAGCTTGACATCAGTTGAATTTTGTGTGTTCTTGTTTTGTGGCTCAGGCTATCTTCAGCCATCTTCCTGAGAGAGGACAAAAGAGCAGTCCCTCCACTGGAAAAATGTTGTTCCAGGTTCACTGGGAGGCAATCCTGAGTCACAGAAACACTTAGTTTGGAAGAAGCCCCTGGATTGGGTCTTAGATCAGTTATTGACTATTTTCAACCTTGAAATAGGAAAGTAACTTCTTGTTGCTCAGTTTCCTTGTCTATAAGTAGAATGGGCTGAAGTCAGTGATCTCTGGGGCTCCCTGTCAACTTTGAGGATCCAGAGTCATTGGTCCTTTGCAATGGCTGCAGCTTTAAAGGTGGCTGCAAGACTGCAGTGTCTGTCAACACCCTCTGGTTGGAAGATGTGCCCTGTCAAGTTCATATGATGGAAATTTAATCCCCAATGCAATAGTGTTGGGAGGTGGGTACTAATAAGAGATGATCAGATCATGAGGGCTCCGCCCTCTCAAATGGATTAATGTGCTTACTGGGGGAGTGGATTAGTGACCTTGAAACCGCCATTACAAAATTGTAACTGAGACAGTGAAAGAGCTGACCTAACCAACTCCATCTTGTTTCTAACCTCCAAGCTGTCCTTGTTCTTTGCTGGGCGTAGGCTGAACTAACTTTGGGAGGAACTTAGTTTGTAGATTAGCCCTTTCCCAAAACAAACCTCCTTCTTGCCTGGGGACTAGACTGCCTTTGTGGGACTAACACCAGCCACAAGATTAGAAATTATGGTTTAGGAGCCATGCAGCTGGAGGCTACAAGATTCCGACCCTCCCTAAACTGCTCCTAAGATCAGTGCTTGAGATATTCTGCAGACCCTGCACTTGATGATCAGCTGGCACCACCCAGATTGATAAACTGGCTCATCTGATCCTGTGGCCCCCACCTAGGAACTGACTCAGCACAAGATGATAGCTTCGACTCCCTATGATTTCATCTCTGACCAATTAGCACTCCTGGCTCACTGAATTCCCCACACTCACCAAGTTGTCCTTAAAAACTCTGATCCCCAAATGCTTGAGGAGACTGATTTGAGTAATAAGAAAGCTCTGGTCTCCCGCACAGCTGGCTCTGCATGAATTACTCTTTCTCTATTGCAATTTCCCTGTCTTTATAAATTGGCTGTGTCTAAACAGCAGACAAGGTGAACCCACTGGGTGGTTACAACCTCAGGAGTGAGTGGGCTTATTATGAAAGCGAGTTAAGCAGCCTTTCTCTCTCTCTCTCTCTTGCATCCTCTTCCTCTTCCACCTCAAGCTATGGAGTGACACAGTAAGAAGGCCCTTGCCAGGTGCAGGTCTCCCGACCTTGGATTTCTCAGTCTCCAGAACTGTAAGAAATAAATTTCTTGGCCGGGCGCGGTGGCTCACGCCTGTAATCCTACCACTTTGGGAGGCTGAGACAGGTGGATCACCTGTGGTCGGGAATTCATGACCAGCCTGACCAACATGGAGAAACCCCGTCTCTACTAAAACTACAAAATTAGCTGGGAGTGATGGTGCATGCCTGTAATCCCAGCTACTCAGGAGGCTGAGGCAGGAGAATCGCTTGAAACCGGGAGGCGGAGGTTGCGGCGAGCTGAGATCGCGCCATTGCACTCCAGCCTAGGCAACAAGAGCGAAACTCCGTCCCAAAAAAAGAAATAAAAATAAAAATAAAAAATAAAAATAAATAAATTTCTTTCCTTTATAAATTACCCAGTCCGTGTCATTCTATTACAACAGCAGGGAAGAGACTCAGATAGGAGCCCTGGGGCATATCTTGGCTCTGCAATTCACCAACTCCATGGCTGAGGGTCAGTCACTTCCCTCTGAATCTCACTGTCTCTCTCTAAAACAACAAGAATAATCACCACCTCACCAGGTTCTCATAAGGACCAAATGACGTATAGGAGGGAGGTGCTAGCACTTGAAGATGGGGCAATCTTTTAAGAACCCTCATTGCCCTCGATATTGACACATTCAGCCCTTGTCCAGCACGGCCCACCCATTCCACTGTTTTGCTTTCTGGATTCATCTCTAAGTGGGTTTCCCCAGGTGGGAAACTCCTTTAAAGACAATTAGCATACCTCTGGGTGCTCCCCTCTACCTAGAACACGGCTATGCTCATAATAGCTGCTTCATAATGTTTGTTAAATAATGACAACCAATGAAAAGACTTGACTGATTGTTCAAAGCCAGATAGAGAGACTCAATGTGTGCAGACAAACTGGTTACACAGGCTTGTCTCATCTGGAACTATGGAAAACTATGATTAATCTGGTTTTTAATTTGGTTACTTGAATGAAATAGAATATGGCAACAGACATGTAACACCCTGAGTTTTTGCTTGGGTTGGTTTAGCCACTTTTCTTTGGCATAAAGCCAAGAAGAACAAGGAATTTAAACTAGAGATTTGAAACCAAGGAAGCTTTAGTTAGATGCATCTTTGTTGGTAAAGAGGGCAGAATTGAGACCTGAGTTTATTATTATAAATAGCTTAATTATGTTTGGGTTTCAAAAGAAATATCGTTTTCATTCCAAGTTGGTCCTTCTTCTGAATTTGCTGAAATAATATTTTATAGTCTGTTTTGAGGGAAAATCGTCTTTCTACCGGCAGCCCTCTCCCTCAAACATCTCATTAAAATGATGAACCCTGAGGTTTTCTTGGATGGATTCAACTATAAACTTCGGGGATGGCTGTGAGTACATTCTGTTGAACACTTCTGGGAGGTTATTTTCCCTGGAGTGTTACCTCACTTGATAATTCCTCTGGGTAACAAATGTGCACGTCAGTTTCCTGCTGCAGCTCACGCCAACTGTGTGGAGGCGGCCTTCTCGCTTATGGCAACTGGTCCTGCCGGCTGGGCAGCGACGTGAGGACTTGCCCACCGTGATGAGCCACAAGGTGCAAATGTTGGAGAAAAGAAACAGCTTTTAGCCCAAGTGCACATCAAGCCCCAGCTTTACTGGAGGCATGGGATGCTGAGGCCTGGCTAACTGGAGTGGAAATTGCCATGAAATGCATATATGATAAGATGTTAGCTGACATTCAAGTGCTCTCTCCACAGTGTCTTCATTTGAGGGGTAGGAGTCTCTTTGCAGGGATGTTGTTTCTTTTTTCTCTTTACCTATGGTGACTGACTTGTCCCAGTTTGCCCATGACTGTCCTGGTTTTAAAATGGAATGTCAGGCTGGTGGTGGTAGCTCACGCCTGTAATCCCAGGACTTTGGGAGGCCGAAGCGGGTGGATCACCTGAGGTCAGGAGTTCCAGACCAGCCTGGCCAACATGGTGAAACTCCGTCTCTACTAATAATATAATAATTAGCCGGGGATGGTGGCGGGCGCCTGTAACCCCAGCTACTCAGGAGGCTGAGGCAGGAGAATTGCTTGAACCCAAGAGGCGGAGGTTGCAGTGAACTGAGATCGCGCCACTGCATTCCAGGCTGAGCGACAGAGCGAGACTCCATCTCAAACAAAAACAAAAGCAAAAACAAAACTGGAAAGTCCTATGTCCTGTGTCAGTCTCTGGCAATCGGAAAAAAAGCCCTCCAACCCCCTACCCCCACCCCGCCCCCCAATTCTTCCCTCTCTTCAGTCTTTGCTTTTTCTCACCACAGTTTAACCTGCTTCACAAGGCTCCCTGTGGTGGGCTTGGAGACCCAGGCTGAAACTCTACAGCACAGGCAGCCAAGGGCTCCACCATGCTGCAGTGTGGGAGGGTCAGCCAAGCTGTGTACAGACCTGTGCTCCTTCCCAAGCAAGCCTGGAAAGAACATTGTCTTGGTGTTAGACCACATGAATCTGAGCTCTGGAAACCTCATTGAGTGACTCAGAGCACCTGAGATGGCAAGAGAGGGAAAATCTCTCTTTTCCTTTTGAGATGCTGTTGGCCTCTCAGGAAATAATGAGTGCAAAGGTGGCAGGTCCTGCACAAATGCCAGGGACCAGAATTCCACTGACCGCCCCCCACTCTATTCCTTCTGATGAATGACAAATATTACATCTCAGAGGCACTGTGGTACTGGCTTTGCTCTTTATTCTTCATTCAGGTCTCTGCAAGGAGCCAAAAGGAGCAGTTTTCAAATTAATATAACAATTGGCCTGGCAGGGTGGCTCACGCCTGTAATCCCAGCACTTTGGGAGGCCGAGGCGGGTGGATCACTTGAGGTCAGGAGTTTGAGACCAGCCTGGTCAATATGGCGAAACCCCATCTCTAGAAAAATACAAAAATTAGCCAGGCATGGTGGCATGGGCCTGGACTCCCAGCTACTTGGGAGGCTGAGGCAGGAGAATCGCTTGAACCCCGGAGGCGGAGGTTGCAGTGAGCCGAGATCCCACCACTGCACTCCAGCCTGGGCGACAGAGCTAGACTCTGTCTCAAAACAAAACAAAACAACAACAATAAATAAATAAATCTAACCCCCTCGCAGGCAGTAAGGGCATTGGCCTCCCTAAAGCTCTCTGGGTGTGGGCTTGTCTAGGGAGAAGCCAGGGAAGCATCCAGAATAAAATCCTCCCCAAGATTCTGTAGGTAGTCGGGCCTCATTTCTTCAGAGAAGCTGCAAGTTCAGGTGCCTAGAAATGGGTTCGGACCTTGTTTCCCTGGGTTGAGGGCGATGGAATAATTTTGCTGTTAGCACATTCCATTAGGTTAACTGCTCCCTGTGGTAGGTTTTTGCTTCGCTCTGGCAGTGTGAAAGCATTTTGGCATCTCTTGTTGAGGGTGGAGGGATGACATTCCTCAGGCTTTGAAGGTGTGTTCCTTCACAAAAGGGACAGGATGGAAAGTCAAGTGGACCTTTTAGGGACCTTTAAAAGAGGTGTTTACATATATTTAGCTTTTGGGAGAAACCCTGCTGTCATCTCCCAGCCAACAACAGCTTATATATCCTGAAAATCCTATTTAAGGAGTATGAAGTACACAGTTGAAGATGCTCCCCAGCTCCAGGGCCCCCTGAAGGGGATAGGATCTGTCATGTTAATGACATGTGCATATTATTAAGAGAAGGGTCAAAGGGCCTGGAGTTTGGGAATGAAAGTTTGTTGTAGGGATTCTTCAATATGCAGATGGACAGCCTTACGGGGGTGTCAAGGGAGAGCCCTGGAAGAGTCTACTTCATAAAGCTATCTTTGTGGAGAACGCAGCAGTTTTGGGGGGCAGGGAGTGCTTTCCACAGGTGCAGAGCTCCGAGTGTGCCCTGCTCCCCACCCACCCATAGGATGATACCTCAATGCATGATCAAAGAAATGCAATTTTGTTTTGATTTCTTTGAATTAAAATGGTCAATTTGGCTGGGTGAGGTGGCTCACTCCTGTAATCCCAGCACTTTGGGAGGCCGAGGCGGGAGGATCGCCTGAGGTCAGGAGTTTGAGACCAGCCTGGCCTACATGGTGAAACCTTGTCTCTACCAAAAATACAAAAATTAGCTGAGTGTGGTGGCGGGCACTTGTAATCCCAGCTACTTGGAAGACTGAGACAGGAGAATTGCTTGAACCTGGGAGGCGGAGGTTGCAGTGAGCGAGACTGCGCCATTGCACTCCAGTCTGGGCAAGAAGAGTGAAATTCCATCTCAATAAATAAATTAATTAAAATAAAATAAAATAAAATGGTAAATTTTATGAATGACAGAATCCCTAAATTCTCCTGAGCCATATAACACTTCCCCTTGGTAGAGGCGTCCAGAGGGCTTCACAGAGAGATGTAAAACTCCATGCTATTCCATCCAGTGCTGCTAGAAGTGCAGATTATATGTGAGTGGATGAGATGGAGGAAGGAGGGGGAAGAGCCAGGAGTGCAGATGACTCTGAGCATCACCTAGGTAAGGAGGAAGCATGGAAAGTGGGATAGGAGGCCAGAGGAGCCGTCTCTGGTTGGGATGATATGTGAGGTAGCCTTGATGGAGGGAGAAGGACTGGCTGGATGGAGAAACAAGAGAAACCTGTGGGCTGAGGGGCAGCCTGAACCTAGGTGCGTGGATGTGCATGGCATGTTCAGGGCTCAAGTGCATTTTGGAGCATGAGGTGAGACAGATGGACTGAGTCTAAGGATCATCTCCAGGCAATGGGGAATCATCCATGGTGTCCCAGGATGGGGAACATGATGAAGTTCCTCGTGGTTTTGGGAGAAATTGACACTCAATAGACATATTGAATCAATTCAAAGAGGTCCATCTGTGCATCAGCCTTGGTAACAAGTAACCATGCACCTGCTTTGCATGGGTGCTGATCCAGCACTCCTGGGGATGGGGGGTGAGCCCAGACCTAGGTCTCTGGGGGCAGGGGTGGGTCCTGGCTCAGTGAGGCCACCACTTAAAGTTTCTTCCACCTCAAGCTTCTGCCCATCCCGTGCTTTCTCTCTTTCCTCTATCCATCTCCCTGGTCTCATAGGTCCAAAGCCCACCTGTCTTCCAGGAAGCAGCTCAGGGGAACCTTCTGCACAAAACCTCCAGACTCCCTGCTGCAGAAAGCTTGTTCTCTTGCCTCTAACCTCACCCAGAGCTTTTTCTACATATTTTTGTGTTTGAAAAATGTAAATAATCCCTCCCTCCCTATCAAGATCTTTATGAAAAAAATTATATAGTCAAGAAAGGTATAAAGACAAAAGAAAAATATAGGCCAGGTTTGGTGGTACACACCTGTAATCCCAGCTACTTGAAAGGCTGAGACATGAGAATTGCTTGAACGCAGGAGGCAGAGGGTGCAGTGAGCTGAGATCACACTACTGCACTCTGGCCTGCACTACAGAGCAAGACTCCAACTCCCAAATGACTACTGAGTACATAACGAAATGAAGGCAGAAATACAGATGTTCTTTGAAACCAATGAGAACAAAGACACAACATACCAGAATCTCTGGGACACATTTAAAGCAGTGTGTAGAGGGAAATTTATAGCACTAAATGCCCACAAGAGAAAGCAGGAAAGATCTAAAATTGACACCCTAACATCACAATTAAAAGAACTAGAGAAGCAAGAGCAAATACTTTCAAAAGCTAGCAGAAGGCAAGAAATAACTAAGATCAGAACAGAACTGAAGGAGACAGAGGCATAAAAAACCCTTCAAAAAATCTGAATCCAGCAGCTGGTTTTTTGAAAAGATCAACAAAATTATAGACCGCTAGCAAGACTAATAAAGAAGAAAAGAGAGAAGAATCAGATAGGCTCAATAAAAAAATGATAAAGGAGATATCACCACTGATCCCACAGAAATACAAACTATCATCAGAGAATACTATAAACACTTCTATGCAAATAAACTAGAAAATCTAGAAGAAATGGGTAAATTCCTTGACATATAACACCCTTCCAAGACTAAACCAGGAAGAAGTTGAATCCCTGAATAGACCAATAACAGGCTCTGAAATTGAGGCAATAATTAATAGCCTACCAACCAAAAAAAGTCCAGGACCAGATGGATTCACAGCCGAATTCTACCAGAGATACAAAGAGGAGCTGGTACCATTCCTTCTGAAACTATTCTAATCAATAGAAAAAGAGGGAATTCTCCCTAACTCATTTTATGAGACCAGCATCATCCTGATACCAAAGCCTGGCAGAGACACAACAAAAAAAAGAATTTTAGACCAATGTCCCTGATGAACATCAATGCAAAACTCCTCAGTAAAATACCGGCAAACTGAATCCAGCAGCCCATCAAAAAGCTTATCCACTACGATCAAGTTGGCTTCATCCCTGGGATGCAAGGCTGGCTCAACATATGAAAATCAATAAATGTAATCCAGCATATAAACAGAACCAAAGACAAAAACCACATGATTATCTCAATAGATGCAGAAAAGGCCTTTGACAAAATTCAACAGCCCTTCATGCTAAAAACTCTCAATAAACTAGGTATTGATGGGATGTATCTCAAAATAATAAGAGCTATTTATGACAAACCCACAGCCAATGTCATACTGAATAGGCAAAAACTGGAAGCATTCCCTTTGAAAACTGGCACAAGACAGGCATGCCCTCTCTCACCACTCCTATTCAACATAGTGTTGGAAGTTCTGGCCAGGACAATCAGGCAGGAGAAAGAAATAAAGGGTATTCAATTAGAAGAAAAGGAAGTCAAATTGTCCCTGTTTGCAGATGACATGATTATATATTTAGAAAACCCCAACGTCTCAGCCCCAAATCTCCTTAAGCTGATAAGCAACTTCAGCAAAGTCTCAGGATACAAAATCAATGTGCAAAAATCACAAGCATTCCTATACACCAATAACAGAAAAACAGAGAGCCAAATCATGAGTGAACTCCCATTCACAATTGCTTCAAAGAAAATAAAACACCTGGGAATGCAACTTACAAGGGATGAGAAGGACCTCTTCAAGGAGAACTACAAACCACTGCTCAACAAAATAAAAGAGGACACAAACTAATGGAAGAACATTCCATGCTCATGGATAGGAAGAATCAATATCATGAAAATGGCCATACTGCCCAAGGTAATTTATAGATTCAATGCCATCCCCATCAAGCTATCAATGACTTTCTTCACAGAATTGGAAAAAACTACTTTAAAGTTCATATGGAACCAAAAAAAAAGTCCACATTGCCAAGACAATCCTAAGCCAAAAGAACAAAGCTGGAGGCATCATGCTACCTGACTTCAAACTATACTATAAGGCTACAGTAACCAAAACAGCATGGTACTGGGACCAAAACAGAGATATAGACCAATGGAACAGAATAGAGCCCTCAGAAATAATACCACACATCTACAACTATCTAATCTTTGACAAACCTGACAAAAACAAGAAATAGGGAAAGGATTCCCTATTTAATAAATGGTGCTGGGAAAACTGGCTAGCCATATGTAGAAAGCTGAAACTGGATCCCTTTTTTACACCTCATACAAAAATTAATTCAAGATGGATTAAAGACTTAAATGTTAGACCTAAAACCATAAAAACCCTAGAAGAAAACCTAGGCAATACTATTCAGGACATAGGCATGCGCAAGGACTTCATGACTAAAACACCAAAAGCAATGGCAACAAAAGCCAAAATTGACAAATTGGATCAATTAAACTAAAGAGCTTCTGCACAGCAAAAGAAATCATCATCAGAATGAACAGGCAACCTACAGAATGGGAGAAAATTTTTACAATCTACCCATCTGACAAAGGGCTAATATCCAGAATCTACAAAGAACTTAAACAAATTTACAAGAAAAAATCAAACAATCCCATCAAAAAGTGGGTGAAGGATATGAACAGACACTTCTCAAAAGAAGACATTTATGCAGCCAACAGACACATGAAAAAATGCTCATCATCACTGGCCATCAGAGAAATGCAAATCAAAACCACAATGAGATACCATCTCACACCAGTTAGAATGGCGATCATTAAAAAGTCAGGAAACAACAGGTGCTGGAGAGGATGTGGAGAAACAGGAACACTTTTACACTGTTGGTGGGACTGTAAACTAGTTCAACCATTGTGGAAGACAGTGTGGCGATTCCTCAAGGAACTAGAACTGGAAATACCATTTGACCCAGCCATCCCATTACTGGGTATATACCCAAAGGATTATAAATCATGCTGCTGTAAAGACACATGCACACATATGTTTATTGTGGCACTATTCACAATAGCAAAGACCTGGAACCAACCCAAATGTCCATCAGTGATAGACTGGATTAAGAAAATGTGGCACATATACACCATGGAATACTATGCAGCCATGAAAAAGGATGAGTTCATGTCCTTTTAGGGACATGGATGAAGCTGGAAACCATCATTCTGAGCAAACTATCACAAGGGCAGAAAACCAAACACCACATGTTCTCACTCATAGGTGGGAACTGAACAATGAGAACACTTGGACACAGGGTGGGGAACATCACACACTGGGGCCTGTCGTGTGGTGGAGGGGAGCGGGGAGGGATAGCATTAGGAGATATACCTAATGTAAATGACGAGTTAATGGGTGCAGCACACCAACATGGCACATGTATACATATGTAACAAATCTGCACATTGTGCACATGTACCCTAGAACTTAAAGTATTAAAAAAAAGTTAAATTAATAAAAATAAATAAATAACAATAATAATCCCAGTGCCCTGGCCATACTACAGACCAAGGAAAGTTTTCTGAACTTCCCAGGTGATTTCAATGTGCAACCAAGGCTGGGAATCATGATGTCCAGTCCTGTATGTTTTTATTAAGTCTCAAATTTCTAGCTCCTATTATATTCTTTCTCATGTCCCAAAGGCACGCATATGCAACTTGTCCAAATTAAACTCATCATTTTCCTCCTGAAACCTGTCTTTCCTGAGTCATTCACTGTATTGGTCTCTATCATTGCCATCTACCTGGTCACTCAATTTAGACACCTGGGCACCGCCCTTGGGAAAATGAATTGCTTCCTCCTGTCCACTGGGCATGTTGCAGCGTTGTCAGGGAAAGGGAGGCTGACCTAATATTTGGGCCCTGGAGAAAGAGCCCAAATGGAGCCCACCCCACCTTACCTATAGTTCCCACTTCACCAGCTTCATCCTGTACCTGGAAGATACATCCCCTTGGCTTCTGGGGGCCAGGTGTGGCTGAAGGCAGGTCAATACAGGGATCCAAGTGCCTAGATTTAAACATGGTGCCAGGTAGAGGCAGGTTCTGGCCAAGTACACTCCCTGCGCTACAATCACATCAAACAGCATGTGTTATCAATGGACTGTGAGCTCTGGTACAGGGGACTTGTTGTAGTGGGCATTATGTTGTAGATTGAACTGAAATTTTGTTCCTTCCAGGTTTGATCCAGGTTTCCTCTGCCATGTGGCTCTGTGACATATTTTTTGGAGTGCAGTGGTTTTTACAGCTATAATTGGAGGCTGGGCCCTGACTCCTGGCATGGTTTAAGATATCACGGACCCTCGAGTCACGCTGCCCAGGTCTGGACTCCAGCACTTAGTGCTGTGTCTGCTATTTGCAGATCTCAGTATCCACACTGGTAAAATAGGAATTCCTAAAAAGCATCTAGCTGTTTGGCTTATTGTGAGGAGTAAAAGAGTTAATACTGTGGCAAGGCCCATAATAAATATTTGATAAGTGTTAGCAATTTTTTTTTTTTTAAGACAGAGTCTCACTGTCTCGCCCAGGCTGGAGTGCAGTGGTGCGATCTTGGCTCACGGCAACCTCCACCTCCCAGGCTCAAGTGATCCTCCCACCTCAGCCTCCTGAGTAGCTGGGACTATAGGCATGCACCACTATGCCTGGATAATTTTTTTTTTAATATATTTTTGTAGAGATGGGGTTTTGCCCTGTTGCCCAAGCTGGTCACAAACTCCTGGGCTCAAGCGATCTTCCCGCCTCAGCCTCCCAAAGTGTTGGGATTATAAGCATGAGCCACTGTGCCTGGCTTTACTGATTATTTTTATAATTTAAAAAAATGCAGTCAGCAGAACTAAGAGAGTCCAGGATAAACCTGAGCAGACACAGCCACACCTTCAGGACCCAGAACCTGCCTGGCAGCTTCACCTGTCATCAGTTCACTCCAAGTCCACCCTGTCTTGGCAGAGTGCACCCAGGCCCAGACAGAGGAGCCAGGGGAGCCCTGTCCTCAAGAAAGCACCAAGCTTAGTCTCCGGGGCAAGCCAGGTCCAGAGCCACAACACAAGTTGTGTGTGGGGTGGAAACAGCTTGCTCTTCCTCGCCTCTGGGCACTGTGGGCATTTGAACTCTGGAGCCAGTGACCTCATCTGTAAAAGGCAGTGAAAATTCCTACCTCACAAGGTGGCGAGGAGGATTAAATGAAATAAACGACTGCAAGGGTTATGTAAACTGTAGAGTGCCCCACAAATCGAAGGGATTATTGTTATCCATTAGCTCATTTGATTTGCATAATCCCTCTGAGGTGGGTAGAGGCTATTCCCGTTTTGGGACAGGCTGGTGCTCCCTGCTTCTTTAGGGCCTGAGTCTGTCCTTCGTGCCCAGGAGGCTGGTCTGGTTGGAGGCGGCCCCAGGCGCTCTCCGAGGAGCTGATGGGGTGGGACGCCCTTCTCAGGGAACTCTGGGGCTTCAGAGTGGGCCTTCCTTGGGGACTGCTCGACTGTGGCCAGGCCTCCATCCAGCCCTTCAGAGCTGGGGCAGCTCGGTCTGGGGACAGTGTCTCATCGCTCCCTCGCCACAGGGGCCAGGCCCTAATCGCTTTCTTTAGAGGCCTTTGTGCAGCCCGTTCTTTCATTCTGGGCCCAACACAATGCAGGGGTGAGCTGAGGTCAGATTTTCCACCTTCAGCTCTGGATTTCCTGTCTTTTGTCGGGTGGAGGACAGATTATGCCACCCGGCTTCCTGTCATCTCAGCACTGGGGGCGCCCCCGCCCTGGCACCAGCCCACAACGGGAGAGAGGGAAATCCCCCTGGGGGGTGAAGAGGGAGAACCTGCCCTTCATCCCCAGCCCCTCAGACATGGGCATTGGCCATCGTTAGATACTGAGCATTTCTTTAGATCTTTTAGCTGTTGAAAAATGGCTTCTTGTGGGATTTGAACTCTGATGACATCCTACAATATTTCACCTAAATATTCTAGATTAGAAAACATTATCAGCCCCATTAAACAACACGAAATCCTGCCCCTCTTTGGCAGCCCAGATTATGCAATAAAACACAATAAGGAATAGGCCCCTGGTAGCAGAAAGAGGTGGAGGCGGTGGGTATGGAGGGCTGTATTTGTTCCCTTGGACCACCATAAGAAGGTACCGCAAACTGGGGAGCTACAGCAGCAGAAATGTAGATATCTGTTCAAGCTGTCAGCAGGGCTGGTTCCTTCTGAAGACCATAACAGGAAGTGCCCTGGGCGTCTCCCGTAGCTTATGGTGACAGATGGTGATCCTTCCTGCTCCATGGCTTCCTTTGACACGGTTCTCCCTAAATCTCTGTGTCTTTACATGGGCCTCTTCCCTCTCTGTCCAAAATTCCCTTTTATTATAAGGACAACAGTTATATGGAATCGAGGTTCACTCTACTCCAGTTTGACCTCATTTTAACTAATTACATCTGCAGCATCCCTATTTCCAAATAAAGTGACATTCTGGGGTACTGGAGGTCAGGACTTCAGTATATTTTTCGGGGGGACACAAATCAACTCCATAACAGGGGGCCTCTGGTAAGCTAATTTTTTTTTTTTTTTGAGACAGAGTCTCACTCTGTCGCCCAGGCTGGAGTGCAGTGGTGCGATCTCCACTCACTGTAAGCTCCGCCTCCCGGGTTCATGCCATTCTCCTGCCCCAGCCTCCCGAGTAGCTGGGACTACAGGCACCTGCCACCACGCCCGGCTAATTTTTTGTAATTTTAGTAGAGACGGGGTTTCACTGTGTTAGCCAGGATGGTCTCGATCTCCTGACCTCGTGATCCACCCGCCTCGGCCTCCCAAAGTGCTGGGATTACAGGCGTGAGCCACTGTGCCCGGCCAGGTCAGCTAATTGTTATTGGCCATCTGGTCTGTGCCAGGCCCTGTGCTCAGTTCTAGGGCTGCAGAGATGCAAAGGTCTGTCTTTGTCTTTAGGGGGCTTAGTCTAGCGGGGAGAGACAGACAAGTCGGAATCAATGTTATAATGCAGTGTGTTCAGGGCTGTGAGTGGATTAGACACAGGTGATGGGGCTCTCATTAAAGGGGCCACTATCCCACTATCTCAGCCTTTGGATGGGGGTGACATCCTACATAGGAAGGCCAGTGACTCAAGAGGGACAGGGACAAAGATGGGAAAGACAAGTTTCACAGATTACAAGAACACCATTTGTGGGACTAAATCTACCAGGGGACTAAGTCCACCAGGAGGTGAAATCTGCCAGCTCTAACTCTCTCCCCTTTTCCCCCAACTCTCTCCATCTACCCACAGCCTCATGAAAAGAGACACCCACACCTGCGTTGTCTGTTTTCTTCTTCTTTTTTTAATTTTTATTTATTTATTTATTTTGAGATGGAATCTGTCTCTGTTGCTTAGGCTGGAGTGCGGTAGTGCCATCTGGACTCACTGCAACCTCTGCCTACTGGGTTTAAGCGATTCTCCTGCCTCAGCCTCTTGAGTGGCTGGGACTGTAGGCACCCACCATCACACCTGGCTAATTTTTGTATTTTTAGTAGAGACAGGGTTTCGCCATGTTGGCCAGGCTGGTCTCAAACTCCTGACCTCAGGTTACCCACCCGCCTTGGCCTCCCGAAGTGCTGAGATTACAGGCATGAGCCACTGCACCCGGCCTGCTTTCTTATTTTGCATAAATCACTCAAACTGGAGATCCGGCCCTGGCCATAAGCTAGGTCTCTTCAGCAACAGCCATTACTGACCAGCATGCATTCTCTTGCTCTCAGCCTCTCTTTGCTTAAATGCTTCTTGGACTAGAGAGTTAGCTGGACTTCCCTTTCAGTCAAAATCTATTGAGAACTTCGAAAAGTCCTGGGTGAGACAGAGTAGGGAGTATTTCCCTCTAACATCTTCCCTCTTTATCAACTGTCCCAACTTGCCTTATACCCTGGCCTTCCCAATTCCTGGGCCTAGGAAGGATGGCTGATGGGCCTATGTGCAGGCACTTCTCTTGCCCCTCCGTCCCTGGGTCCCCAGATGAGAGAGGAAAAATCAACATTAGAGATGCTGGATGTGACATTTTCTACTGTTTTAATGAATTCTTTTGATTCTTTTCTGGAGCTGTGAATCATGACTCATACCATGTGAAATGAAGCAGTCTGCATACCTTGAAATAGAGCGTGTTCTGTTTAACAAGAGGTCTCTACCTTGACTGCTGGTGAACTTGGAGGATGGTAGGAACAGAGTGCCTGGGGAGGGGAGTGGAGCAAAAGGGTAGCTGGAGCCTGGAACTAGAACAATGCACAATGTGTCTTTGGATTCCTCCCACAAAGAAACCAGGTGAGTCTGTGTTGGGCATGGTCTTTTTCAAGAGTGGTTAAATGAGGTTGCAAATTCATCATTACAGAATCTGAAACATGCACTGTTTTACCCAGAAATGTGTTTGATTGAAGTAGTCATGTTCCCGGGGTGGGGCGGGGGGACCAAAGGGAGGAGGATCTCACTGAAACTCTACTTTTTAATTTTTTTTTCCCTGTTTGAACAACTCCTCGCATTTGTACGGGGCCTTCCCCTTTGCAAAAGCCTTTCTGACATCAAATGGCTCCTGATCCTTTCTGTGCCACTTTGTGGCCAGCAGGGTGGGATTTACTCTGCATGCCACAGTTGAGGACAGCCAGGTGCAGATAGGTCATGTGACTTTTGGGAGCCAGTGGCAGGCCCAGGTTCACAGTCAGCCTCAGCCCACGCCCAGGGAGATTTCACCCCTGTTGTTGGGGTTTTCTCAAGGAATCTGCCCCTGTTCCTGCCTTTCTTTTACCTACTGGCCTCCCAGGTGCAACTGATCCCCATGAACTCTGGTCTGGGTGGGGACGACCAAAGAAGGCTTCTCTAGGTAGAGTCAATGCATAGTCTGGCAGGTGGGTCACAGGCTCTGAATCCTGCAACTGAGTCCCCACCCTGCCTCTTTCTAGCTTTGGGATCACAGCTATCATCATTTCTCCATGTTTCTTTTTCTCCATCTGTAAGGTGTAATGAAAGTTTTAGGTGATAATTGTGGACTTAGCATATCATATCAATTTCTCCTTAGATGGATGGCAAAAATGTCCATGACCATATTCTCCCCATAGAAGGTTCGTTTGCCTACATGGAAAATATGGGAAAATATGGGGTTTAGTGTAGTCCCCTTCATCAACAATCTCAGCTAGATCTTCTGGAGAACTTGCTGCAGCTTCTCCATCAGCAATTGCTGTTTCTCCTTGCACGTTTATGTTACGGAGACGGCTCCTTTCCTTAATCTCTTCCAACTTTTGTTTGCAGTTGTCTCACCCCTCTCAGCCTTCATAGAATTGAAGAGAGTTAGGGCCTTGCTCTGGTTTAGGTTTTGATTTAAGGGAATGTTGTGGCTGGTTTAATCTTCTATCCAAACCACTAAAACTTTCCCCATATCAGCAATAAGGCTGTTTAGCTTTCTTATCATTCATGTGTTCACTGGAGTAGCTCTTTTAATTTCCTTCAAAAACTTTTCCTTTGCATTCTCATCTGGTTTAACTATTTGGTGCAAAGGGTCTAGCTTTTGGCCTATCTCGGCTTTCAACATACTTGCCTCACTAAACTTAATCATTTCTAGCTTTTGACTTAAATGGAAAGATATGTGACTCTTCCTTTCACTTGAATGCTTACAGGTCATTGTGGGTTATTAGTTGGTCTCATTTTGATACTGTTGTGTTTCAGGGAATAGGGAGGCCTGAAGAGAGGGAGAGAGACAGAGAATGGCTGGTCAGCAGAGTGGTCAGAACATACTTATCAATTAAGTTTGCCACCTCATACGGGCATGGCTTGTGGACCCCAAAACAATTACAACAATAAAATCAGATCCCTGGCTGGGTAGGGTGGTTCACACCTGTAACCCCAGCACTTTGGGAGGCTGAGGCAGGCGGATCACCTCAGGTCAGGAGTTCGAGACCAGCCTGGCCAACGTGGTGAAACCCTGTCTCTACTAAAACTACAAAAATTAGCTGGGCATGGTGGCGGGCGCCTGTAATCCCAGCTACTCGGGAGGCTGAGGCATGAGAATCACTTGAACCTGGGAGGTGGAGGTTGCAGTGAGCTGAGATCGTGCCACTGCACTCCAGCCTGGGCAAGAGTGAGATTCTGTCTCAAAAAAAAAAAAAAAAAAAAAAAAAAAAAAAAAAAAAAATCCCTGATCACAAATCACCATAACAGTTATAATAGTAATGGAAATGTTTGAAATAGGGTTAGATTTTTTTTTGGTAATATTTACAATAATACCAAAATGTGACACAAAGACATGAAGTGAGCACGTGCTGTTGGAAGAATGGGGTCCATAGACTTGCTCCATGCAGAGCTGCCACAAACCTTCAATTTGTAAAGCATGAAGTATCTGTGAAATTTAATGAAGTGCAATAAAACGAGGTCTGGCTAGAGTGGACAGAAAGGGTGTTGCTCAGCTCTCACTAACCTTGAAACTCTTCGTCTTTTCTTTCTCTTTGTCTTTCCTTTCAATTTCCTGTCCTGTTTCCCGGTGCTATTCCCAGGTCCTGTCCAGTCTTCCCACACCTTTGGTCCCTTGCTGCCCCGATGCTCTTTCTCTCTTCTCTTTCATCTTCATCTGGCCAAGTTTAATCTCACGTCAAGGTTTCGCTCAAGCACAGCTTCCTTCAGTCCAAATGAGTATTTCTCGTTTGTGTCCTTTTTACAACTCATTAGTGTCATGGTAGCTGTACTTGTCCTCTGTTTCTCACTCTCCACTCGGGGCTCCTGGAGGCACAGGGATGCTACATTAGCCATCTTTGGGTCCTCCAGAGGCTTCACATGGGTGTTGAACATGTATTGTCAGTGGTTTGAAGAATATCACAACATCACCACCCAACCAAAATGATTTGCCCTTTAAGTAACCCAGGAACCAATTAGGATTCATCAGACCCATATTTGCAAGACAATTATTGTGTCTTGTAATGCATCATTGTGGATTATGATATTACCTTTGCCTAAATAAATACAATGGGGGAATTGGAGGCTTTTAAGAGTTCATGTCAACTTAAAATGAGATTATAAATAATTCTAAAAGCCCCACAACTTTATGACAGGGTGCTGGAAGAGCTATTGGGAATGAGGACGGAAACAAAATAAAACCCAAGCCAGGAGTGAAAGCGTACCCCAGACATCCTCCGTGACCCTTCCCCTGCCCAATTAGAAACTGATACAGCAGAAAAGACACGCTCACTCATAGGCTTCCAGATTCCTTTAACGCTGTTTCTCTGCTAAGGAGAGAGGAGAGGAAATAGCACCTTTGTGTGCTGTGGGCCCCACTGCAGAGGGGGCTGGTGGGGGGGCTCAGGACCCACGAGGGTCAGGAGGGAAGAAGGAATTCCCCATGCAGAGACCTCCAGCAGCGCACCAGACAGGACCCTGATTCTGGATGGCAACCCACTCTGTGCTTTTGGCAGAAGCTGTTCAAGCCCTGCGTTGGTCTAGGAATCAAGATATATGGGTCTTAATCCATGCTCTGTGGTGAATTCAGCTTCTGCGGCCAAGCAGCCACCAAGCCTCTCTGGGACTTGCTTTCCTCATCAGCCCTCGCCCTGGGGCACACCTGTCCATGCCAACCACTGCACTGGGCATGGGGGATGCAGAGATGAGTCCAGCATGAACCCTTTCCTGAAGGTCTGGGAGTTCAGACTTTGCAGGCAGCAAGTGAGAGGGAGAACTCCCTGGAGGAAGCTGCACGAGCTGAGTGTTTACAGATAAGGAGATATTCAGGTTTGGAAAAGCAGTATCAAACAAAAGCATTCTAGGCTGGGTGTGGTGGCTCATGCCTATAATCCTAGGACCTTGGGAGATGAAGGTGGGTGGATCCCTTGAGCCAGGAGTTCAAGGCCAGTCTCGGCAACATGGCGAGACCCCATCTACAAAAAACAAAAAAATGAGCCAAGCCTGGTGGTGTGTGCCTGTGGTCCCAGCTACTTGGGAGGCTAAAGTGGGAGTATCCATTAAGCCTGTGAGATTGTGGCTGCAGTGAACCATGATCGTGCTACTGCACTCCAGCCTGGGTGACACAGCAAGACTCTGTCTCAGAAACAAAAACAAACACAAAAAAGCAGAGACGCTTCAGAACGCAGGAAAAGTACAAACAAAGGTTTGGAGATATTTAAGCAACTCTTGTTTGCATGGAAACTGCAGGTTATATAAAGGTAGAGAAGGATGGAAAATGGGACTAATTTGGGGCTCAGGTTTTTGAAAAAAGGAATATTAGAATGGTCTGTGGATATCAATGCATTATATGGAACAAATGATAGGGTGGATATAATAATGCTTTAACATTTGTAAAATACTATGCAAATGCGATGTTGATTGCCAAAACACACACACACACACAACTGCGATCTGTGAGCTACTGGTATTGTTAGCAAAACATTGTTATTCTTTGAAACTCCTTTATCTGTGCATTTCTCCATAATTTTTCTGGGTTAATTTCATACATATATTGTTTTTCAGCTAATATTTGGCTTCTGCCATCATAGTCCCCAGTCAGGGCTCACTTTGTAGTTTTCTCCATAATGAGTCCAGTGGGTTCGGGAAACAGGAGTGAAGGTAAGTGTTGCTGGAGAAACTGTGAGATGCTTCTGCTGAAAGCAATCATGCCCATTGAAAGACTTGCTTACAGAGAGACACAAGAAGGGGCTTTGACCTACACTAAGTAGAGAAAAAACTCACCTTTGCATTTCCTGGGTGGTGTAGCACAGGAAAGAGTATGGGAAAGTAAAGGAAAGAATCTCTGTTTTGCCAGTGGTTTGCTGCATAACCTAGGCTGGTCACTTCCTATCTCTAAGAGTCAGGTTTTTTTGGTTGTTGTTTTTTTGTTTTGTTTTGTTTTTGAGACAGGGTCTCTATTTGTCACCCAGGCTGGCAAGCTGTGGCATGATCTTAGCTCACTGTGAACTCTGCCTCCCAGGTTTAAGTGATTCTGCTGCCTCAGCCTCCCAGTAGGTGAGATTACAGGCGCCCACCACCACGCCAGGCTGATTTTTGTATTTTTAGTAGAGACAGAGTTTCACCATGTTGGCCAGGCTGGTCACGAACTCCTGACCTCAGGTGATCCACCTACCTTGGCCTCCCAAAATGTTGGGATTACAGGCATGAGCCACCGTGCCTGGCCCTGAGCATCTGTTTTTACATCTTCAGTATATCGAGATGTTGCAGTCTCTGATGTCCCTTAGAAATAGAGTCAAAACTTTAAAAGTTTGGAGTAGCCCTTTGTTGCTCAGCCTGCTGCATTTGTGTCTCCTCAGGGCCCTGGAGCCTCTCATGAACCTGCCATTAGCCAGTTACTGAGTGCTCACTGTCACATGTAGTGGCAGAGTTAAGCTGAGCATGGCGAGGTGGAAGGGACATTCATTCTGCTGCATTCACAGGGGATGGGTTTCAGTTGTTCTAGCCACTAACTGTATGTGTCACTTTAGGGGAAGCTAAGAAAACTCCCTGAGACTCAAGTTTCCACATTTGTCAAATGGAGATAATAAGACTTTGCTTTATCTTGATCTGCATCTTGAATCTTCTTGCTATTTTGGTCCCAGCTGGTTGGCAGATCTGAAACTTCGGTCCTCCTGCCTGGCAGGCCTGTTATCTCTTTTCACCATTGTCATATCTCATAAGATGTCCTGACTCCTGGCAACATTTTGTCCATCTTGACCTGTCTTTAGTTGTTTTGAAAATGATATAACTGCCAAGACTCCCCTCTCCCACCCCTTTTTGGTGTTCCTATAACCTTCCAGATGTTGGGCGAGGCAATTTATATAAAGGTCTGAAAGATTGCTTGGAATTTTTCCATTTGACAGATAAGAAAACCATATTTCAAAGAAATTCAATCGCTTTCCTTAGGAAGATGTCTTGACTTGAAAGCCTGAGCTCTTTCCACTATTCTTCACTGTTTCAACCAAGCTGGAGAAAAACTGTGACCATTACATTGTGTTTTAGCCCCACACAGAGCAACAGTTCCACAGGCAGGCTTTGTTTAGCGCCGTCGAGATGGGCCTGGAAGAGTTGCAAATGCATTTTTAAAGTAAATCAAATCCTATTTTTAGTACCCTAAGGGAGCACATTCTGTAAAGGAAGAGTCTCTAGTAAATCCTTCCATGAAGTGAGTATTTTTTTCCCTACAAGTTTAACAATATCTGTCTAATTCATCTGCTTTCTAGACTGGGACTCTTATGCACATTTTTTTTTTTTTCTCTCAAATGGAGTCCTGCAGGTATTTGTCCAACATTTGGTCTTTATTCTTCATAAAATGATAGCAGGAATGATGCTTTGAAGGATTTAAACAAGTACATAATATTGCAATTTTACAACTGAAGGTAAGTTCGTGTTGAAATAATGTAAACGTTGTATTCAAGACTATTTATGCTCTCGGAAAGCTTCTCTTTCTAGCCATATTTTCTACCTTGCTTAACATACCTTCTGTTTCAGGCATCATGTTCCGTATTCTCTTCCAAAAGGTCCCTCCTCTCTGCACCTGTGCTCACTGGGATTTCTTCCCTTTGAATTCTCCTGATTTCCACACCACCTCTTCAATGTAGTGGGCACACTCACACACACACCCCTCTCATTCACACATACTCCTAACACACAACAGTGCCCAAGTCCTACAGATCTGCAGCGTTCAATATAGTAGCCAGTAGCCACATTTGGCTATTCAAAGTTAGTTAAAGTTAAATAAAATATCAATCAATGAATAGATAAACAAAATGTGGTAAATACATCAATAGATTATTATTCAGCCTCAGAAAGGAAGGACATTTGAATACTACAAGCAGATGAACCTTGAAAACGGCTTAATAAGTAAAATAAGACAGACTCAAAGGGACAAATACTGTGTGATTTCACTTATATGAGCTACCTAGAATAGGCAAACTCATATACACAAAGAGAGAGAGAAAGTAGACCAGCGTTTCCAGGGTCTGGGGGTAGGAGGAATGGGAAGTTGTTTAATGACAAGCTTGTCCAACCCGAGGCCCAGGACAGCTTTGAATGTGGCCCAACACAAATTTGTTAGCTTTCTTCAAACATTATGAGATTTTTTTTTAAAAGCTCATCAGCTATCATTAGTGTTAGTGTATTTTATGTGTGGCCCAAGACAATTCCTCTCCCAATGTGCCCAGGGAAGCCACAAGATTGAACACCCCTATAAATGGGTACAAAGTTTCAATTTGGGATGTCGAAAACATTCTAGAAATGGGTAATGGTGATGGTTGCGCAACTTTGTGGGTATACTTAATGCCAATGAATTGTACACTTAAAGATGGTTAAAATGGTAAATTTTATGTTACGCATATTTTACCACAAAAAAATTTAAAAAATTAAATAAAAGATACAATTCAGTTCTTCAGTCACACTAGCTACATTTCAAATGTTCAACAGCCACATCTGACTAATGGCCAGCAAATTGTTCAGAGCAGATAGAGACCTTCTCCATCATTGTGGAAGGTTCTAGAGGACAAAGCTGTCCTGATTCTTCTGGGCCCACTGATGTTTTGTTCCTCAAAGCTCCAATGAGCAGTGATTACTCCCTGCTCGGAATTCTTGTAATTATTCGTTCTGAGGCCTTTCAAGGTCTTATTGTATTCTGCATTGTATTTCAAGCTAATATGTGGTCAGCTGATTTCCTGACAAAATTGTAAGTGGGTGGAGGGCAGGGAAGAAGTTTCCAGTTTCTAGGTGTGCTCATCCTGCCCCACCCTCCAGTGTTTTGCAGACTAATCAGCGCGAATCAAACAGGTATCTGTGTATGAATGGATGAGACAAGAAGACCTGACAACAAACATTTCCTGCTATGGTCTTATCTGGGAGTGTTACCCCATCTGATGTATTTCAGAAGCCACTCGAAGAAGACATAGTTGTCTTCCATGTCTAAATTCCTCTCACAACTCTTGGGGCATAAATTAGCTGTCTTCTGTGAGCTCCTTTGGGACTGAAAGGCATGCTCCCTGGGAACTTTTGTAAATTAGATAGAAATTTGTCCTATGGATGTGTGAAGTCACTTCTCAGCTAATCATTGAAGGGAGCTGCCAAAGCCTTTCTTTCAAAAACAAATGGCAAAGTTGCTCTGTTTTTCATAACACAAACCCTTTTGCAACAAATAGAGTCCTCTTCTGGTCATTATCTTGTCATTAGAACCTCTGGCTAGATTTATTTCCCTATAAAATAAACCTAAGACCTTATTCATAAAGAAGAAAATGCAAACACGAGCTTGACCACTATCAAAGAGACCCAGTGTAAAAAGAGCTTTCTTTTGCCTCTTGAGTTCGATGATGAGATCTTGTGGCCAGACAACATTTTTTGACTGGTAAGAGCAGAAACTACCCTCCTGAGTTACTGTTTAGTGAATGAGGGCCTTTGTTTCCCACAGAAGAATTAAAAACCTATGGGGCTCCCCCGTGCAAACAGGAGTACGTTTCACACAGCGATGTTGGGATTAAATGCCTGTACCATGAAACAAGCCAGAACAATGCCTACTCACGTTTTAATCATTCACCTGGCATTCCACGGGAGGCAGTTTCACCTAAAACTAGATTAGGTGAAGAGTGACTTCTCCCAAGCACTTTTTCTCTGCAACTCTTGGATCTTTTTTTTGTATCCCCAAGTGGAAAGTAAAGAAAAACTGCCCATTTTTCTACCAGTCAAATTTGAAGATAGCAACATAGTCTCTGGGACCTGGAAGAGGCTTCTTGCCCATGCCAGAGAGGGTGTGGTTCAATCCCATCATTTTGAAGGTCAGGAAAGTGAAGCTGGGAAAAAAGTGACTTGTCTAGAGTCATACATGGAGCAGGAGCAAAGCTGAAATGAGAACGGCCACTCCTGACTCCAGCATAGCATTTTTTTCTTCTGTAACACTTGGCCATGTCTCACATTTCTCACACTCAAAATGATACTCTCCTTGTTTTTGTTTTTTTGAGATGGGGTTTCACTCTTGTAGCACAGACTGTAGTGCAACGGCGCAATCTCAGCTCACTGCAACCTCCGCCTCCCAGGTTCAAGCAATTCTCCTGCCTCAGCCTCCCAAGTAGCTGGGATTACACGCGTGCATCACCACCCCCAGCTAATTTTGTGTTTTTAGTAGAGACGGGGTTTCACCATGCTGGTCAGGCTAGTCTTGAACTTTTGACCTCAAGTGATCCTCAATATCGGCTCATTGCAACCTCTGCCCGCCGGGTTCAAACGATTCTCCTGCCTCAGCCTCCCGAGTAGCTGAGATTACAGGCATGCACCACCACAACCAGCTAATTTTGTATTTTTAGTAGAGATGGGTTTCACCATGCTGGTCAGGCTGGTCTTGAACTCCTGACCTCAAGTCATCCGCCCACCTCAGCCTCCCAAAGTGCTGGGATTACAGGTGTGAGCCACCAGGCGCCTGGCCTTTGATACTCTCCTTCCTTAAATGATTCATGACATCCGTTAAGAAGCTCAGGGAATCTCTCTGAACCTGCTCTCGTTCAGCGGCTGCCCATAAAAAAAATTAAAAAATAATTTTCTTTAAAAAAAGAAGCTCAGTGGTCGGGCACAGTGGTTCACGCCTGTAATCCCAGCACTTTGGGAGGCCAAGGCGGGTGGATCACAAGGTCAAGAGATTGAGACCATCCTGGCTAACACGGTGAAACCCTGTCTCTACTAAAAATACAAAAAATTAGCCGGGCGTGGTGGCGCACACCTGTAGTCCCAGCTACTCGGGAGGCTGAAGCAGAAGAATGGCATGGACCTGGGAGGCGGAGGTTGCAGTGAGCCGAGATTGTGCCACTGCACTCCAGCCTGGGCAACAGAGTGAGACTCTGTCTTAAAAAAAAAAAAAAGAAGCTCAATCCATGGCAAAGAATTAATGTACTAAGATGGAAGAGTGCAGCCCCGGAAATCCTACTGCGTTCCCTCCTTGGTCTGCCATCGGTTTGCTGGGTGACCTGGAACCAGACACTGTTTCCTCTGTGTCTTCTTTTCTTCTCTGCTATAAGGAGAACACTGCCAGTCTCATGGGCTTATTAGGATAAAACAAGATAATAGATGGGAAAGTGCTGCGAAAAGCCAAAAGTGCTAAGCAAATGCAAAGTATAATATCCATATGAAAACTGCTGTTTTGCTCAATGTAAAAGAGGGGAAGATGGTGAAAAGCACCAAGAGGTGCTCCCAGAAGGAAGAATTCAATTTATAGTCAGAGCAGTTTCTTAGAGATGAAACTGGTCCAAGATAGATTGTCCAAAGCCAGACGGAGACTGGAACTGAGATGTTTGGCAAAAGGTCCTAACAATGACTGTGGTCAAAGGTGACCTGAGAAAATGAGGTAAGCAGGAGAGTGTGCTGCCTGGACTTAGTGTAGTGAGAAGAGTATCGAATCCCAGTTTCACCAGGTACCAGCTGCATCTCTTGACTGGCCACTTACCCTCTCTGTGCCTTGGTTTATCCTTTGTAAAACAGGCCCCCTGATATCCGCTGGGAGGCAGATCAGAATCATCTATTTGAAAGCCCTTTGCAAACTGGGAGTAGCAAATGGAGGTGACCCAGGTCAGGAAGAAAGGGAGCCTGGGATTTATTTTGAGCCCAGATGGTGTGTGATGGCAGGCAAGGTACCAGGCCTCAGTTTCCCACTTTAAATAAGAGGACATAAAATATGGTGTGGGTTTTTTTTTTTTTTTTTTTGAAAAGGAGTCTCACTGTCACCCAGGCTAGAGTGCAGTGGCACAATCTCGGCTCACTGCAACCTCTGCCTCCCAGGTTCAAACGATTCCCCTGCCTTAACCTCCCAAGTAGCTGGGATTACAGGCGCCTGCCACCACGCCCAACTAATTTTTGTTCTTTTAGTAGAGACAAGGTTTCACCATGTTGCCCAGGCTGGTATCGAACTCCTGACCTCAAGTGATCCACCTACCTCGGCCTCCCAAAGTGCTGGGATAACAGGCATGAGCCACCACGCCCAGCCAAAAATGGTGTTTTGAGGGAAAGAGATGAGGAGGACTTGGTGGATGAGGAGGTAGAGAGAGAAACTCAAACTCTATAACCGTGGTGTTCTCCCTCCCCTGCTCTTCAGGACACACTGCAAGTTCCTGGGGATGACTAGAACCCCACAGCAGCAGTTAACTGTGGGGAAGGCCAGTTTCCTCCGTGCTAGGAGGATGCCCCGGCAGGGTGTGTGAGAGAACATGGAAGCCACTGTGTGCTTTCTTTCCCTTTTTACAGCCTGGGAACCTGGGGAAAGCTTCCCTCCCTGTGTAATAGAATGCATGTGATGGCATTTCAGGACCAAAAGGGTCCTCACAGGTCAGCTAGTCCAACTGTCTGTCTGATGCTTGGCGTCCCTGTGAGGTCCCCAGCAGGCCCCAGACAGGAACGTCACCTTCCAAGTGATGTTAAGTACTGACTAGTCCAATACTGACTACAAAAGAAGTTTATTTTTATTTTTGAAAAGTGTCCAGGTGCCAAAGATTCACAGACTTTTCTTTCCGTTTTTTTTTTCTTTCTTTTCTTTTCTTTCTTTCTCTCTTTTTTTTTTAAGAGACAGGGTCTCATTATGCTGCCCGGGCTGGTCTCAAACTCCTGGGCTCAAGCAATCCTCCTACTTCAGCTTCCTAAAGTGGTAGGATTGCAGTTTTGAGCCACCAAGCCCAGCCAGACTTTTTTTTCTTCCTCTTCTTATTTTTTTGGAGACAAGGTCTTCCTTTGTTGCCAAGGCTGAAGTGCAGTGGCACAGTCACGGCTCACTGCAACCTCTGCCTCCTGGTCTCAAGCCATCCTCCCACCTCAGCCTCCCGAGTAGCTGGGACCACAGGTGTGCACCACCACGCCTGGCTAATTTTTGTATTTTTTTTAGTAGAGATGGGGTTTCGGCATGTTGACCAAGCTGGTCTTGAATTCCTGGGCTCAAGTGATCCTCCCACCTCGGCTTCCAGAAGTGCTGGAATTAACAGGCATAAGACTTCGCACCTGGACAGAATTTTCTTTATCTAAAATGGTTTGCTCATATCCTCATCTCACAGACACTGTGTATCTACTTACACCATTCATTAAATAACAGTAACAACAACAAATACCTCAAGCACTTATTATGTGCCCCACACTGTCTTAAGTGCTTTATGGATCTTAATTCATTCATCACAATGACCCTAGGAGGGGCCTATTGTTCTATTTTTATCCTTATTTTACAGAAGAAGAAACCAGAGCACAGAGAGGTTAAGTCTTTCACTAAAAGTCACACAGCTAGTAGACTTTGGGGCCAGGATTCAAATACAGGCAAACCACAGGTCTTGACCCCTATGCATGTGGCTTGCCCTGATCACCACAGGGTGTGGGATGCCTTTATCCGCTAGCACTTTCAAAGGTCATTTTCAAATGGCCTTTAGCACTTTCTGCCTTGTATGAAGCCTCGGTATCTGGGATTTCACCTTCTCGGGGTCAACCATTCCAAAGCCCCACTGGAAGTCCCAGCCCTGTGGACGTGGTATTTGGTGGCGATAGCCGATCTGAATTGTGAGCCGGCCCAGCCCAGCGCAACATTTGCATCTCAAAGAAGCTCTGTGATTTTCTCGAGATTCCAAACACAGTAACTGCGGGGAGGGCCCCATGGTATTTGCAAGGTTGAGAGTTTGCAAATGCCTGGAGGCTGACCCCTGGATCTCCTTCACCCCGGAGACCGACCAGCACACCATCTAACTCAGTGCCTTTCACATCGTATTCAGTCTGAGAAACAGTTTTGGTGTTTTGTTTTTTCCTACCGTGTGCAAGACAACAGATGTTTGGTGACTGCATGAAAGAAAAATTTTTTTCTTTTCTTTCATTTTATTTATTTATTTATTATTGTTATTATTTGAGACAGAGTCTTGCTCTGTTGCCCAGGCTGGAGCGCAGTGGCACGAACTCGGCTCACAGTAACCTCTGCCTCCCAGGTTCAAGTGATTCTCCTGCCTCAGCCTCCCGAGTAGCTGGGATTACAGGCACACACAACCACGCCCAGCTAATTTTTTATTTTTAGTAGAGATGGGGTTTCACCATGTAGGCCAGGCTGGTCTCAAGCTCCTGACCTCAGGTGATCCACCCACCTTGGCCTCCCAAAGTGCTGAGATTACAAGTGTGAGCCACCACGCGCGGCCAGAAAATTTCATTTCTGAGGAAATGACATATTGGACCTTATTGGCTCTCAAAGACAGAAAAGATGTCCAGTTCTTTTGTTTTGTTTTGTTTTGTTTTGTTTTTCAGACGGAGTTTCGCTCTTGTTGCCCAGGCTGGAGTGCGATGATGCAATCTCGGCTCACTGCAACCTCTACCTCCCAGGTTCAAGCAATTCTCTGCCTCAGCCTCCCGAGTAGCTGGGATTACAGGCATGCGCCACCATACCCAGCTAATTTTTTGTATTTAGTAGAGACAGGGTTTCACCATGTTGGTCAGGCTGGTCTTGAACTCCTGACCTCAGGTGATCCATCTGCCTTGGCCTCTCAAAGTGCTGGGATTACAGGCGTGAGCCACCGCGCCCGGCGTCCAGCTCCTTCTTTTCCTCACCCGTATCTCCCATGAATCTTGTGACTCTAGTACCAGACAGGCCTCAGTACCATGCTCTGTGTCCTGTTCCATCTCCCTGGATGCTGTCACTCCAGTCTCTGTTCAGGAAATCCTACTCTTCCCTCCAGGATCGGCTCTCCTGTTAACCCCATGAAGGCTTCCCAGACCCCCAATGGAACAACCTGCCGCCCCCCCATGCTCCCCTTCCTGTAGAACTGGGTGCTGTGCGCAGGTCAGCACCTTGTCCCTCAGGTGTCTCTTGGGTCCCTAGGAGTCCCCTGGGTCCCACCTGCTCCCTGTATCCCTCCACAGTGCCTAGCCCAATACATAGCTCACAGGTGGGCTCAATTCAGGTTGAACCCAATCCAGAGAAAACCAATTGAAATACATCTAATTTAAGCTTTGCTCTGTCACAGGACTGTGGGATGGGAAGAAGTGATCGCCTCTTCGGCCCAGATTCCAGGTAAATACGTTCTTCCATTTCAAAAGGCTCCCTCACTGGTCCTGGAGAGGGGAAGTAGAGCTGCTCGCCCACTTGGGCTAGCGATGGAGCTTATGAATTCGGAGTTTTCATTCCACCTGGATCTAGGAAGTCTTTTTTAAGAGTCTACTGCGCCAGATAATCTCTGTTCCCCACAAGCCATTCTCTTCTGTGCCTCTAAAGGATAAAGATCTATTTGTCTCTGTGTGTATGTTACAAAAAATGAATGGGGATTTAATTACAGCAGCTCATTTCCTAAAAGGAAGTCCTATTTACGATGCACCATATGTTTTGCCAGCGGCCGTACCCCTGAGGGCTGGAGTCTTGTCAGATCTCCTTAGATAAGCAGGGTTGGGCTGCTTTGGCCTGGACTGGGCCAGGGACCTGGGAGGACAGGCAGAAGGATCCAGGAAGTGAGGAGGGGGACAAAGGTAGGTTTCCAGCCACACCCCGAGCCCAGACCACTGGAGAGCATCAGTCAGCAACCAGGGAAGGCCTCCCTTGCTTCAGAGAAGGTGGATTCAGAGGCTCAGACAATTTGTGATGATTAAAATCGCCTGGCTTTTTTCATCTACTAAAGTGGCTCTTGAGGGGGAGAGAGTCTCTCTGATCCTTCCTTTCGTGGTTTTAATTCCCCCTCTGCCACTTCTGAGCCGGTGCAGATGGCTTCCTGGAGTTCTGAGAACCTTCTAGCAAGGGATGCCGGGCAGGCAAGGGGAGCAGGGAGCTGAGGAGGGGGCTTGGCTCAGTTCTAGTACTCACTCCTTCTTTTAATTGTCTACTATGTTTTCTCTTTCATGGGGCCTACGATTTTAGAGGCCAGGAAGCTGAGGAAGGGCTGTTCAGTACTTCTTAGCTGTAGTTGAATGCAGTTGCTGGAACCTGCTAGTATTTGACACAGCTTAGGAGATTTATCTCAGTCTTACCTTTTCTCTTCTTCCTTTCCAACGTGTTCTGATTCTCTTGCCTCCTCTCTCTGTCTCGCTTTTTAAACTCCATCCCCAGAAAAGTGGTGAACGCCTTCTCCCCGCATGCTGCTTGGAGTGTAGACTGTGAATTTCCCGTGCCAGCTACAATGTCACTGGCTATGATCTCCAGTGGTGGAGGTGGACACCAGAACCTTAGAGTGTCCCTTCCAGCTCCTACACTCCATCAGGTCAATCAGCAGGCAGTCCATTTTTTTCTGCTAAAAGGGTCTGGCCACCTGTGGAGGACACCCACCTGCTCTGAAGCAGGAAGGAACCAGGCAAAGCCAAGAGAAATCAAGCGACTTCCTGCAGGTTGAGCACTTGATGGAAATTAGGATGGGAATTGCCAGTCCTTGGACAGTGGTCCTGGAAGTCTCAGAGACTCGAGACCTGATTTCATTGTAGACACGAGGATAGGGCTGAGGGCTGGCTGGTGGCTGGTTGGTGAGCGGGAGAGTGTGTCTACATAGGGATGTGCCCGCTTACCCAGTGCACATCGGGGGCCCTGCCACCTCCCCCGCTGGGGTCCTGGGAGCCCCTGGAAGACAGGGGCTGACCTGCTCAGTATCTCACACAAAGGAAGTGTTCAGAAGACACCCACAAGCACCACAACCAGATGCCCATGGGCTGCCCTCCTGAGCCTGCCCCAGGTCTCTTCAAATCCTCTGGACACAGCTGCCCTCTGCCTTCCCAAGGGGCCAGATGAAGCCTCTTTCAGGCTCTCCATTTCCGAGACTGTGGCTAAACCTGTTGGCCTCCTCTTCGCATTATCTCCAAGGAGGAATTACATGGGATTTAGATCCATTTAAGAAAGTGTTCTTCTAATTTCCTGGGACTTAAAACTCCGTCGGGCTCTCAGCTACCCCTCTCTAAGTAGAAGGTGATTTGATTCAAGATGCTTTTGCTAATTAGAAACCCCCTTTCACTCTCCTGTTACACAAGAATCCAGGGCACCACATGACCCTCTGAAAAGCTGGCAAGTTTTGCAAAACGTATTTTTAGCTAGAATCAAAGGGTGAGATTTTTGCTCAACTTTGCAACAATGAAGCTGTGATCTCCCTTGCTCTCCTCTTCACTCTTTCCCCTTTCCTCCTCTCCGCACTCTCTCCCTCTCCCCATTTCCCTCTCCTTCTCCCTCTTGCTTCTCCAGCAGGGAGGCCGAGACTGTGTGAGTGCATGCATGTGTGTTCACGTGTGTGTGTGTGCATGCATGCATGTGCGTGCCTGTGTGTAGGTGTGAGGGCCTGGTGGGAGTGTGGGCCGCAGTGCCAGGCGGCCATGCTGCATTTCTGGATGCTCATTGTTCAGTCCCCGTCTCCATGGCGACGGGAGCAGCTGCTCTGTTCTGGGCCTTGGCTGGGCTGTGCGGGGCGGCCTGCCCGCCTGTCTGCCTGCCCGCCCGCCTGCCCGGCCGTGGGAGCTGCCAGCGCCTTGCCCTCCCGCTGCCCACAGGCCCTGCCAGGCTGGGCGCAAGAAAGCGTGTTTACTAACACCATCCACACGGCTCCCTGGGCATGGTGGCTCTGCCCAGAAGATGTCAGGCCGAGGGCACCGGGAGGTGGGCCTGGAGCCAGGCTGTCTGCAGCCCGGAGAGACAGTCCCGGCCGGCTGCTGCCCTGGCCTGCCAGTCTCTGGGCGAGCGCAGGCACTGGGGGTTAAGAGGCCCCCATGAGGCCCTTTCTGAAGTGAACGTTCCCTTCCTGGAATGCCTTGCCAGAGCCTCTGGAACGTTCCAGCCCCAGCGCCCGGTCTGCCCTACCTGACAGCTCTGTCCGTGGGGGCCTCGGTCCTGCGCCGACTGCGGAGCCATGAATGTCCAAAGCACTCACAGACGCGAATAAATGATGCGTATGGGGGTGACCTCAGAGATAGCTTAGACCCACAAAACCTCAGAGCAAACCCCAGGCTGCGCAAGGACAGGTCTCTGTCAGACCGAGTCCTGTCTGGCACTGGGCTGCCCTATTGGGCCCCTTTCAAGACTGGGCCTGGCCTCAGCCCAAGCTCGGGGACTGTGATCCCTATCCCGCTCCTCACCCTCTCCTTGCTTTTCCAGATCGCTCCCCTCCTCACTTTATCTCGGCCTCTCCTTCCCCCCGTGTCTTTCTCCTAGTGCTTCTCCAGACAGGCCTGGACTCTGTGAGTGTGAGCCTGTGTTTCTGTGTGTGTCTCTGTGTGTGTCTCTGTGTGTGTGTGTCTCTGAGTATGTGTCTATGTGCATGTGTCTGTGTGTCTCTGTGTATGTCTATGTGTGTGCTATGTATATGTGCCTGTGTGTGTATGTATGTGTCTTTCTGTGTGTGTCTGTATATGTGTACAGTGTGCCTGTGTGTGTCTCTGTATGTGTGCCTGCGTGTCTGTGTGTGTTTCTCTGTGTGTCTCTGCATGTGTCTTCGTGTGTGTCTGTGTGTCTGCATGTCTTTGTGTGTGTGTGTGTCTGTGTGGCTCCGTGTGTGTCGGTGTGCCTGTGTGTCTGTGTGTGCCTGTGTGTGTCTGTGTGCCTGTGTCTGTGTATTTCTCTGTGTATCTCTGTATGTGTGTCTCCGTGTGTGTATGTGTGCTTGTGTGTGTCTGTATGCGTGTCTCCATGTGTGTCTGTGTGTGTGAGTGTGTGGGTCTGTGTGTGGTCTGTGTGTGTCTCTGAGTATGTGTCTCTGCATGTGTCTGTGTGTCTCTGTGTATGTCTATGTGTGTGCCTGTGTATATGTGCCTTTGTGTGTACGTGTGTGTCTGTGTGTGTGTCTGTGTATGTGTGTCTGTATATGCGTGCATAGCGTGCCTGTGTGTTTGTGTGTGTGCATCTGTGTGTGTGTTTCTCTGTATGTCTCCATGTGTGTGCCTGTGTGCCTCTGTGTGTGTCTCTGTGTGTCTATGTATGTGTGTCTCCATGTGTGTCTGTGTGTGTCTGTATGTGTGTCTCTGTGTATATGTATGTGTGTCTATGTATCTGTGTGTCTGTGGATGTGTGTGTGCGTGCATTACCTTTGGGAAGTTAAGGATATTTCTTCTCTGAACTTTGCCATCAGCACTCAGCCCAGGGCTGAGCCGTGATTGACAGGTTACTAGAAGCTGGTCTGAAAACCTGGGAGCAAAGGGCCAGATGGCCCCGGCCTGCAGCCGCATCTCTCCCTTCCTCCCCCGCAGAGGTGAACTTGCTGTCTGTCTGCTGTGCTTTCCTGAAAGCCCCCGGCCCTGAACTGAAAACATCTGCCCAGCGTTTCCCTCATGTCCTGATCCCTCACCACTGTTTCCGTAGGAATTCCTGCCGAATGCAAACTGAGTTCTGTGTAAACTCACCCCTGTTCCCCATTGACTCAATGATCATCTATTACATACCTGTCAGGGCCAGCCCTGGGAATCATGGCACAGTTTGGGAGGGCCTAGCCTTGCCAAGGCCCCTTTGTCTGTACTGCAGCTGTTTCCTGGTCAGATTCTGCCCTGTGCCTGCACTGAGCCTGGGCATTTCCCTTCAGCCTCTAAGATGTACATCCCTCCAGGCCCTCCGGATCTAAGACCTGTCACTTGCAAGTCACCGAGAGTGCTTTCTCCCTCAGGAGTTTGTACCCCACCTCTGACCTGGGATGTGGAATTAGAAGCTGCCTGTGTCCTGAGGAAAGGGATCTCAGGCCCCGGCCAACACTCTGGAAAAATATTCTCAGGGTATCTATCTCCAGGTTCCTGTTTGGTCGCCTGTGGTCCCTTGAGGGCAGCCCTGACCCAGGCCAGGACCTGCACAGGCATTTGGGAGGTGCAGATGGGGGCTTGTGATGCCCAGCCCTGGCTGGGGCATGGGAGTTGGAGAAGGATCTGTTCATGAGGAACTGGCTGCTTGCAGGGGCAGTGGTGCCCGTGGTCTTTTTTTAGACTGAGTTTTGCTCTTGTTGCCCACACTGGAGTGTAGTGGCAAGATCTTGGCTTACTGCAACCTCCTCCTTCGGGGTTCAAGCAATTCTCCTGCCTCAGCCTCCTGAGTAGCTGGGATTACAGGCATGAGCCAACATGCCCTGCTAATCTTGGTATTTTTAGTAGAGGTGGCGTTTTACCATGTTAGCTAGGCTGGTCTCGAACTCCTGACCTCAGGTGATTCACCTGCCTCAGCCTCCCAAGGTGCTGGGATTACAGGTGTGCCCGGCCAGTGCTGGTGTTTTAAATCATTCATTCAGTGTCTACCACACACTAAGCATGGGATGAAGTGCCTTCCACATGAGCCCTGCCATTTAATCCTCATAGGGATCCTGTGAGGTAGAAATGATTTCATTTTGCAGGTAGGAAAGTGAGGTTCGGAGAGTCTAAGTAACTTACCCAGCTCTGAAGAACCCACCTGTCTTCCTGAGTCATCCTGCCTCACAGGGCTGGTTCATGTCTCTCCCTAACGGTGCTCTCCAGAATCAGCTTCTCCTGGAGAAGTCAACAAGGACACTTCATGAGCTCCACCCACTGCAGCACCCTCCGCCAGGCTGCCCTAGCCACATTTTACCTCCAGGCCTCTGCTTGCCTGCCTCTAGTTGATTTCTTCTGTCATTGCCAGAGGGAGAACCCTCAAATCCAAATCACTCAAGTAAGCAAGCAAGAAACAGCAAGAAAGAGGAAAACGGAGCGCAGAGGACACTTGGGAGTTGAAATGTGGGGTATACCAGATTTCCCTGGGCACAGGCTGAGATTTCTGTTCCCTTACGTGCCTGGGATCTATCAGCAGCTTACGCAGGTTGAAAGCTCTTGGTAAAGAGCCCCACCATTGGGCGAACCCAAGGTTAGAACAGAGAGTCACTAGTGAAGATGCTGGTGACTTCGGTAAAACATGACTGCTCATGATTTGGAAACAGAAGTTAAAGACAATTTGAAAAAGGTCCCCAAATCTCTGCTTAAGGAAGAAAGTCTTTATAAGGACTTGGGCAAATAGTCCCATGAACGAAGGGTCAGGGGGGCCTCTTTTGGTGATTTATTTATTTATTTATGGAGTCTCGCTCTGTCATCCAGGCTGGAGTGCAGTGGTGTGATCTTGGCTCACTGCAACCTCCCCCTCCCGGGTTCAAGCGATTCTTCTGCCTCAGCCTCCTGAGTGGCTGGGATTACAGGTGCCCACCACCATGCCCGGCTAATTTTTATATTTTTAGTAGAGATGGAGTTTCAGCATGTTGGCCAGGCTGGTCTCAAACTCCTGACCTCAAGTGATCCATCCGCCTTGGCCTCCCAAAGTGCTGGGATTACAGGCATGAGCCACTGCACTGAGCCCGGCCTTGGTTATTTTTTGACTGAAGATTTGAGAGGGATTTTGAAGAGAAATAACTCTTCCCTACACTCCCCAAAAGACAAGCTATCAACATTTTCTAGTCCTGCCTTTCTCACTATTTGGCTAGTGACCTCAGAACAAGCTCTCTGTCTCTTGGGGCCTCAGTTTCCTCTTCCGCATATGTCTAGATACTCTCTAAAACCCTACCATCTCTAAAATTGTGAGAATCTCTCTTTTGGAACTTATAATTCATCCCTATTGTGACTGAAATGCTAGACACATAGCTGTAACATTTTCAATAGAAAATAATATTAAACTAAAACAAATAATTTGAACTCTGATGCACAAACTGGAAGATCAACAGGATAATACAGCCTGACAGTAACTTTTAATTTAGACAGAGATATATGAAATCAAGAAATGCTGAACTTCATTTCAAAATACTGTAATTGTTCAAGGTTGAGGCTACCCAATTCTCTGCATGCCTGTGTGCGTGTTTTAAAGCACTAGTATTATATATTTCAGCTGTTATCATTCAAAGAGAGCTGGCATCATGTGTAGAATTGAGAGTCATTGTACTCAGTGTATAAACGGAAAGACATCAGCCCAGGGGACGAAGCTTTCATGCTTATTTATGAGAAAATGCTGTTGAACTAACCTTGAAGTAAAAATCTTCTGAAAAAAGAAAATCTTTCTTGTGCGTTGCAGAGGCCTTTCTCCTGAAGCGCACACACACACACACACACACACACACACACAAACACATAAACACAAATACACATACACACACATAAACACACACACATACACACATACACACATAAACACACACACACACAAAAACATACACATACACACATACACACATACACACACACACACACAATGAGATTAAAAAAAAGGGGTTGGCAGGGCGTGGTGGCTCATGCTTGTAATTCCAGCACTTTGGGAGGCTGAGGTGGGCAGATTATGAGGTCAGGAGTTAGAGACCAGTCTGGCCAACATAGTGTAACCCCATCTCTACTAAAAGTACAAAAATTAGCAGGGTGTGGTGGCGGGCGCCTGTAATCCCAGCTACTCAGGAGGCTGAGGCAGGAGAATTGCTTGAACCCGGGAGGCGGGGGTTGCAGTGAGCCGAGATCATGCCACTGCACTCCAGCCCGGTTGACAGTGCGAGACTCTGTCTCAAAAAAAAAAAAAAAAAAAAACGAGTGGGAGGGTTTATGTGTAAAGAATCATTTTCTTTTCTTTTCTTCTAATCAGGTACATATTTGAACTTGAAATTAAAAAAGGGGCATGTTGATTAAAGTGGTTGTGGATGGGGGTGGGGAGATCCTGCCGACTTGATCCTTGTGTCCAGCAAACCCTTGGCGGAGATCCTTCAAGGAAAGTTCCCCAGAGATGTTTCTTTCTTTAGAGGCTTGGGAGGTTCTGAGCGCACCCACAATACCAGTCAAACCACATTCTCAAAAGCGTCCTATACTAACAGTCCATTCCAGTGAGTTCTCCTAACTTCATGCTGGTAGCAACAAGTGAATAGAGCCAGGGTCTGTGAACTGGAAAGGGACTTAGAAATCCTTTAAGCGACGCCCTTAATTTATAAATGAAGAAACAAAGGGTCAGAGAGGTGTGGGGAGAGCCTGAGAGGCCAGGTAGGGCCTGGACCCAGGGCTCTTCTCATCTCAGCGAGGTGGACCAAGTATTGGGGCTGAGCAGGGCTTCTTACCAATGCATCCATCATCCTCATAAAGATTCCCGGCATCTTCTGCTGGGCACAAGGCCTCTGCTTCTGTCATGAGAGACAAGGCATAGAGTGCAAGTTCCTTGAGAGGGGAAAGCCTGGTGACTTTGGGGTCAGTGCATGTGATGAAGCAGAAGGTTTTCTGGGGGCTTAGCATGGCAGAGGGGCAGGGAGGAGAAGGCTGAATGGAAAGAGCTGGTGTGGGCCAGAGAATGGGAAAGCTTGTGCACAGGGAATGCCTGGGTGGGAGGCAAATGCTTCTTTACGCTTTAAGCTGTAGGTACTATCTGGTTTCAGCTGGGACTGGGGAAGCTAGTAAATGACTATTTCCTGCAGGCTTTGCTTTTCTCATGATTTCCCTCTGCAGCTCATCATCTTACGACTGGATATTCTCACTTTAGTCCTATCAATATGCAGATGTCATTTATCAACATGCAGATGTCATTTTCCTAATATCTTCTGCAATGGACTAAAATGTTTGCGTCCCTTCCATATTCATGTGATAAGACCCTAATCCCAATGTGATGGTATTTGAAAGGTGGACTTTTGGGAGGCGATTAGATCATGACAGTGGAACTCTCCTGAATGGGATTAGTGCTCTTATAAGAAGAGGCTAGAGAGATTGCGGGCTCTCTCTGCCGTATCAGGACACAGCAAGAAGGTGGCTGTCTGCAAGCCAGGAAGTGAGCCTTCATCAGACAACAGATCTACTGGCACCTTGATCTTGGACTTCTGGCCTCCAGAACTGTGATAAATACATGTTGGTTGTTTATGGCAATTTGGTACAGCAGTTCAAACTGACTAAGAGATCTTCTTCTTCTTTTTTGTTGTTTTGAGATGGAGTCTTGCTCTGTTGCCCAGGCTGGAGTGCGGTGGCACGATCTCGGCTAACTGCAAACTCCGCCTTCCGGGTTCAAGCAATTCTCCTGTCTCAGCCTCTTGAGTAGCTGGGACTAAAGGTGCCTGCCACCATGCCTGGCAAATTTTTGTATTTTTAGTAGAGATGGGGTTTCACCTTGTTGGTCAGGCTGGTCTTGAACTCCTGACCTCAGGTGATCCACCCGCCTCTGCCTCCCAAAGTGCCGGGATTACAGGTGTGAGCCACCGCGCCCGGCCACCTTCTTCTTCTTCTTTTTTTTAAAGCCCAATTTCTAGTTGGAAAACCTGAGACTCAGAGAGGTGAAATGTCTTGTACAAGGACCCCACAGCTGATGTGTGTGGACCATGGCCCTTTCATCTGCTTACTCTCAGCCTAGTGGATTCTTCTTTCTTGCCTTTAACACGATGCCCTTGACTCATAGACAGAGAATGCTGGTAGAAGAGCACGAGCTTATCCTGTTCTCTGTTTCCACTGGATAAACAGATGCTCCTTGAGGCCGTGATGGAATCATACAATAGTCAGCAACTTTTCTAGGGGCTTGCATGGGTCACACCCTGCAAAAGATTCAAAGCCACTTAGGACTAAGTGCATCATCTTGAGAATCTTTGTCTATGGGATTATTTCTTACAAGACAACATCTTGAGAGACAGAGAGGGGTGCCCAAAAGCCCATGGTTTGGTAACTAGGCTTGCTGTGGGTGATGGGGTGAGTTACGTCAACAATTTGCTCCTCTTTTTTCTTTTTTTTTAAAATTTGTGAAATAAAGAGAGGAAGACCTTCCTCAGGGGGTTGTTGGCTGACGTGAGGAAATAAGATAATGGATGCAAAACACCAAGCATGGGGTCTGGCATGTGAGTGTGAAACAAATGTCCGCAGGCTCCTCCCAGGGTGCCCCCTGACGCCCTCCCCTCCACTGCAGTCAAACTGAGGTCTCACTGTCTTCCAGGCACGCCCACCCTCACTGAGCCCCTATCTCAGATCTCACCCCTTCCCCTGACTCCGATGCTCCTTCGCCCCATATCTGTCTGTTGAAGTATTACCCAGGCTTGAGAGGTACCGCTCAAATGCCCCTGTGTAAAGAGACAATTGTGCTCGTTCTTTTTTACAGGACTGAACACCTCCTGCCAGGCAATGATCTGCTTTTGTGTATGTTTCTACCCAACTCTTCTTGTTTGTTGGTGGAAAAGAAATGGCCATAGTTTGAATGATGGCTTTTTTTTTTTTTTTTTTCTGGGAGGGAGTCTCGCTCTATTGACCAGGCTGGAGTGCAGTGGCACGATCTTGGCTCACTGCAAGCCCCGCCTCCTGGGTTCAAGCGATTCTCGTGCCTCAGCCTCCCGAGTAGCTGGGATTACAAGCGTGCATCACCGTGTCCAGCTAATTTTTGTATTTTTGGTAGAGATGGGGTTTCACCATGTTGACCAGGCTGGTCTTGAACTCCTGACTTCAAGTGATCCACCCGCCTCAGCCTCCCAAATTGCTGGGATTACAGGCATGAGGCACCGCGCCCAGTTACAATGATGGCTTTTTAAATTGATGAACCATGTGACCATGGATCACTTACTCCAGCATTTCTGTGCCTCAGTTTCCTCCCCCATAAAATGAGGATAAAATGAGGATAACAATAATGACATCCCAAAGAAACTAGAATAAAATCATGTGTAAACGGCACAGCATCTGACCCAGGGTGCTCACTCCATCATGTTAACCACTGTTAATTCTTATTAGGCTGTAACTGTGGAGTCCATGTCTTACTCTTTCTTGTTGTTTGTTTTTTTAGAGACGGGGTTTCACTATGTTGCCCAGGCTTGTCTTGAATTCCTGGGCTCAAGTGATCCACCTGCCTCGGCCTCCTAAAGTGCTGGGATTACAGGAGTGAGCCACCATGCCTGGCCAGTCTTACTTTTTTTATCCTTTGTAATGTTTGGGGATAGAGTTAGCACATGGTGAAGGTTTATTGAACCTGAGAATGAATGGTGGTTTGCAACGAAACTAGGTCCATGATTCGGTGGTATGCTGGGGGGCGCGGGTGAGGAGAGAGAGAGAGAGAGAGAGGGAGACAGCATCATGAATAGCTCGAGCCAGGGACTTAGCTGGACCTGTGTTCAAATCTTAGTGCTGATGCTCACCCACTATGTGACCCTAGGCAGTTCAACCTGTGTCTCAGTGTTTCAACTCTAAAATGGGGAAAATAACACCAGCCTCATAAGGGAAGTATGGGTCCCTTTGCAGACACCCTCTCAGCAGCAGCTTGAATGATTACAGTGAGGATGGTTTTCCACAAGGCTTTTCTAGGGGGATCCCCACACTAGCCCTGGATAGGGTGCAGAGCCCGTCCTGGAATGGAGGGAACAGGTGAAGCGCCGGACTCTCCTGGGGACAGGCGTGCTGCCACGTGTATCCCCAGCCATATGGTGCAAGAACACTAATACAGTTGTCTGTGCACAACTGTAACCGACAATCTGCCAATTGTTTGTTTTTGAAGGCACCCCCCACCATGTGACAGGTGGTTCCACACCACAGTGGAAGTACTGTGAGAGACAGAACAAACCCTGTTTGCCCTGGGGCCCAGGTCAGAGAAAGGACAGAAGCACATGGAAATGATGGCTACAGGAGATTTTAAAATAAAACAGTTGACCATTAGAAATTGGGGACCACTTGGCAGGGAGATTTGAGGAGATAATTTTCCACTGTGCATCAATTTCCTCACCTCTAAAATTCAGGAGTTAGGCTGGCTCACGGCTAAAGGCCTTTCCAGATCCACCATGCTAAGATTTGAAGACAGATGCCTTCCGTATCCACCAGTTGGCTTTTTAAGGCTTTGACCAAAAGATCTCTTGCTAATAACATTTCCAGTGTTCCACGTTCATCTGACCATGTCACTCCCCAGCTCGAACCCTTTGGGGCTCTCCGTTGGCCATAGCATAGCCTTCCCACCCTCTTCCCCGGCTCACTCAGCTCAGGAGTTGACTTCTGCTGGGAGCCCCCAAGGACTTCTTCTCCAGGTCAGGTGCTCCTTCATGGTGCCCACGTCTTCTGTGGACCTTTGTCTGGCTCTTATTGTGCTCTTTCTTTTCTTTCTTTCTTTCTTTCTCTCTCTCTCTCTCTTTCTTTCTTCTTTCTTTCTTTCTTTCTTTCTTTCTTTCTTTCTTTCTTCCTTCCTTCCTTCCTTCCTTCCTTCCTTCCTTCTCTTTTTTCTTTCCTTCCTTCCTTCCTTCCTTCCTTCCTTCCTTCCTTCCTTCCTTCCTTCCTTCCTTCCTTCCTCCCTTCCCTTCCCCTTCCTTCCTTTCCTCCCTCCCTCTCTCTTTCTTTCTTTCTGTCTCTCTCTTTTTCTTTCTTTTCTCTCTTTCTCTCTCTCTTTCTTTCTTTCTTTTTTTTTTTTGAAATGGAGTTTCACTCTTGTTGCCCAGGCTGGAGTGCAATGACGTGATCTCAGCTCACTACAACCTCCGCCTCCTGGGTTCAAGCGATTTTCCTGCCTCAGCCTCCCAAGTATCTGGGATCACAAGCATGCACCACCAAGCCCGGCTAATTTTGTGGGGTTGTTTTAGTAGATACGGGGTTTCTCCATGTTGGTCAGACTGGTCTTAAACTCCTGACCTCAGGTGATCCACCCGCCTCGGCCTCCCAAAGTGCTGGGATTACAGGTGTGAGCCACCGCACCCGGCCTTTCTTTCTCTTTCTCTTTCTCTTTCTCTTTCTCTTTTCTTTTCTTTTCTTTTTTGATGAGGTCTTGCTCTGTTGCCCAGGCTGAAGTGCAGTGGCATGGTATCAGCTCACTGCAACCTCTGCCTCCAAGGTTCAAGCGATTCTCCTGCCTCAGCCTCTCGAGTAGCTGGGATTACAATCACTTGCCACCACGTCTGGCTAATTTTTGTATTTTTAGCAGAGACAAGGTTTCACCATGCTGGCCATGTTGGTCTTGAATTTCTGACCTCAAGTGGTCCACCCATCTTGGCCCCGAAAGTGCTGAGATTACAGGCATGAGCCACTGCGCCTGGCCCTTGCTGTTTCAACATGAAAGTTGTGCGGGCCTGGCCTGCCTTCCCTGTTATCCCTCCTTTCACAGAAATGAGGAAAACAATGAGAGAAGGTGAGAGAGCTGGAGGTGAGGTAGAGAGAGTCAGTAGGAAAGTGTAGGAGGGAGGAAAGAAGATAACCTGAGAGCAAGGGAGGAAGAGAGAGAGAGAAAGAGAGAGAGAAAAAGAGAGAAAGAGAGACAGAGAGAAGAAAGGCAAAAAACAAAGAAGGGACTAGAGAGGAAGCCGTCAGTCCTTTGACTTGTTTGTGCTGTAAGTCTTACATCTATAAAATAGGTGTAAAAACCTTCACCTAGGGTGGGCATAGTGGCTCATGCCTGTAATCCCAGGACTTTGGGAGGCTGAGACTGGAGGATCACCTGAGATCAGGAGTTCAAGAGCAGCCTGGCCGACATGGTGAAACCCTGTCTCTACTAAAATTACAAAAATTAGCTGGGGGTGTTGGCGGGTGCCTGTAATCCCAGCTACTCGGTAGGCTGAGGCAGGAGAATCGCTTGAACCTGGGAGGTGGAGGTTACAGTGAGCCAAGATCATGCCACTGTACTCCAGCCTGGGTGACAGGGCCATCTCTGGGAGAGTGAGACCATCTCAAAACAAACAAACAAACAAACACCTTCACCTAATAGCTTCACAGTAAGGATAAAAAAGAGAGTCATGTGAAAAAAGCATTGTACCCTCTAATCTTGGGGATACTATCAACTACTACAAAAAAATGAAAGAAGTCACTCTGTGTATGCAAAGGCATATGGAGACAATCAGCGGTAATGTGTGCAACATACACAGCATCTCGCCTGCTCATAGAAGGTACTCAATAAACAGTAATTGTTATCATTATAATGATGACTCTTGGCCTAATGAAGCCGTGTCTACCAGGAACATCTGACTTCTCAACACATTTCTGAAAGTCTAGCCTTCCTCTTACCCAGGCCTTTTTTGGGTGTCTGATACTGTGCTGGGGCAATTGGGACACAAAGTCAAAGAGGACACCATCTTTTTCCTTATGGGATTTATATCTGGTGAAATCACAGAGTCAGGAAATGCCAGAGCTTTCAGAGCCTGTGTCCCAACGATTTCCTTTTTTAAGTGGAGAGAGCTGAGAGGAGCTCACACCTTAGCTTGTGGCAGAGCAGAAGGGAACTCATTTTTTTTTTTTTTTTTTTTTTTTGAGACAGAGTCTCACTTTATCACCCAGGCTGGAGTGCAGTGGCACGATCTCCACTCACTGCAAGCTCTGCCTCCTGGGTTCACGCCATTCTCCTGCCTCAGCCTCCCGAGTAGCTGGGACTACAGGCACCTGCCACTGTGCCTGGCTAATTTTTTTGTATTTTTAGTAGAGACGGGGTTTCACCGTGTTAACCCAGATGGTCTCGATCTCCTGACCTCGTGATCCGCCCGCCTCGGCCTCCCAAAGTGCTGGGATTACAGGCGTGAGCCACCGCGTCCGGCTAGGAAATCATGTCTGAACTCTAGTGTGGAACACAGTCTACCAAAATTTAAGGAGAAACATCAAAGATCAATAAACATGAAAGTAAGCAAATACTACCACTGTTCTCAGAGGAAGGGAAAAAAAAACAAAACATGTTTCTCATTTTTCTTTTAAGCCATTTCTATGTTGCTTTTCGGAATCAGGCATGTATTGCAGTTTGGTGCTTGGGTTTTGCCATTGACATTGCAACTATTTGTGCAAATTAACCAGAATATAGTAAAGTAGCAAGCTCTACTGAGGGCCTGGAATCCATTTCATGTCCTAATGCATAGTCATTACTCATAATATGTTCAAAATGTACTCCTTGGAACCCCAGCTTGAAGTACCCAGAGATCAATTTTCAATGGACTAATAGGTGACATTAAACATTATTCATAGAAACAGTGTTTATTTAATCTTTAATGCTACCTAATGCATTTTGGTCAAAGTCCTCAGTGTATGTTCAGGCTTTATTGTGTGGAAAATGGATGTGCTATTAATAAGTCAATACAAATACAAATATGGTTTCAATTGGAAATCATTAGGTTGCATTAAATGGCAAATGAAATCCATAGGAAGGATTTGTTTTATTTTGTTTGTAAGGAGGAAAAGGAGCCTTGAGAGGCATTTCTTCGCTCGGTAATGAGGAGGAATGATTGGTTTCTGCAGAGGGGTGGATTACAGGCTAAGCCTTGCGTTATTCTCGTTAGGATGGGCATTGGCACAGCTGTTTGCTGCCGTGGGCCAAGCCGAAATTGCTGTGTGCTTTGGAGTCAGCCAATGCCTCCCAGCACATAGCGGGTGGAGTCACTGCAAAGCTGTCTCCTTCCTGATGCTGGTGGCCCTGGGTGGACCTCAGCCCTCTTGAAGTCAGCTGGATCTCTGAAGGCACTGACTTGGACGCTTCTATTCTCCCGGCTCAGCAGCAGCACCTGTGAAAGAGCATGTAGCCATTTACGTGACTAAAAGCTCCTTATGAGTAGAAAAGCAGCCGAAACAGGTCTTCCGCTAAAGCAGAGATTCTTGGGCAAGTACAGTGGAGGGGGTTACCTCAAGCCTGTTGTAGTGAATGAGAGTGGAAACAGATCAGGATTCACATTCTGGTCCCTCCATGTTTCATCCGTGTGACCTAGAGAGGAGAGTGCTTTCACCATCTGAGCTGTGGCCTCCTCATCTCCATTTTGATGACTGCATGAGCTCATGCCTGGAAACGCTCCCACAAAGTGGGGCTCCACAGACGTTTGCTTCCTTCTTCCAGTCCTGGGAATCTATGAATGTATGCTTGAACCCTTTCTGCAAATCATTCCCTTTATCCCACCCAACTACAAGGAATATCCAGGCCAGGGCAAAAACAGATAGTTGTTCAGAGCTGCTTAGTATTTTTAATGAACAATTTCATCTATTTTTAACTCATCATATTCTTTCTGCTGCTGCCCAAACTGGGCAGCTGATCTGTGTCTCTCGCTTGGCACAAAGCAGGTGAGACCTTGCACGCTTTTATTTCAGTGGTTGTCCCTTTGCTGAGAAGCCCTGGGCCATCTCTTCATCTCAGTGAGAGGTTCAACAGGGCCCAGAGATGGCCCTTCTGGCTCCCAGGTGGCCTCTGTAGAGCCTGCCAGCTGCTTGTGAAAACATGAGGTTGGATGGGCAGTCAACCTGTAAGGAAGTTCCAGCAGAAACATAAAGTTTCTGAGAAAAGTTCCCCCAGTCTGCAGAGCATCTTATGGCCAGAGGGACTGTGGTCTTCTGGTTCCATCTCCAGCAGAGACAGGGGAAGGAGAGGCAGGTAGCTTCATTCAACACACTCTCCAGAGTTACCCCAGAGCAGCTGAAATCTACCCAGATCAAAATAAAATATAACCCACGCTTGCATAGCAAGTACCATGTGCCAGGCAAGGATCTAAATGCTTTAATTCAGTTCCTCCTTGCAACCATCTCCATTTTACAGTTGAGGAAGCCAAAGCACAGAAAGGCTAAGTCACTTCTGAAAGGTCACGCAGCATGTAGGAGTGGAGCGAGGGTTAGAATACAGATCCTGTTCCAGAGTCTGTACTCTTACTCAGAGCACTATCCGCTTCTCATGGTATAAACACCTGCTTAGGGAGGCAGCGAGGCGATCCAGAATTCTGGTGGATTTGGAGATGTTCTCCCAGTACCTGGCTGTGTGGCCTTGCCAAGTGATCTGGTCCCTTTGAGCCAAGTGTGTTATTTGTACTACCTGGCAGGGTTGAGTGGAGGTTGAGAGACGAGTGATATTAAATGTGTACCTTATTGCCCGACACATTATAGACACGCAGACACCTCAAGCATAATTGCTGTTAGTATGATTTCAATATAAAAAATACATGTGTACTTTCTTCCTGGAGATTTGCACTTGGTAACATCTGAGCGGTGGAATCCAGGGGAGGGAGTGTCCCTAGAGGTCCTCGGTTCTTACACCCGTCCCTTCCTGGATCCCTTCTTCAGCAGCCCCGTGGGTTCCTTGCATACCTGCCATGGTAGGGCCGCATGGCCTGTGGCAGTAGCTCCTTCTAACACACAGCTGTGGAGTCAGGTAGATCTGAATTCAAATCTTGACCTTCCCTGCTACTTTGTGACCCTGCACTGTGGACAGGGCCCTGGACCCCTCCGAGCCTGTTTTTGCAGCTATGAGAAATGTTGCTGAGTTACTGTGAGGTTGAAGAGGAACTGCTATGCCCCATGACCGGGAAGTCACCTGGCACATAGTAAGATCTCAGCAAGTGGCAGCTACATGTGTGCTTCTTATCCACTTTGGGAAGTCTAGGTTATCTTGTGCACAGAGATTTTTTTTCTCTGTGGCTTCCACTCACTGCTTCTTATTCTCCCTTGAGACCACGCAGCCTAAGACTAACCTCTCTTCTACATGACAGCCCCTAGGCTTCTGAAGCCTGTTTTCCCGACCTCCCTGAATCTTCTTTTCTCCAGGGAAAATGGCCCAGGTCTTCAACAATTTTTTCCTGTCCCAGATTTTGGTCATTTTGCACATCGTTGTTCATCTCAGTGATATCACACGTTCAGTGCTTACATCATCAATCTTTATTTACTTGATTGTGACCAAACTGTGGATGTTTTCCACCATCCCAGGGCCTGGGAAGAAAGCTAGGATCAAATGCTACCTTGGCTGGGGCAGCCATTGCGTGTTGAAGAGCCATGTGCATAGCAGAAGCAAAGTGACAACCATTGCTCTCATTTGACCTCTGGGGAACCAGGGAGTAATTTAGGACTTGAAATGTGGGATGCAAATTAGTGTCTGCCTACTCACTGGCTTCAGGAAAATGGCTTTCATTTTCCGAGGGGATTACAGTAAATTACACCTGGAAGAGACAACCTAGAATGATGCCTCAAAGTGCCCTGAATTAATCGAAGGGTCCTCGACACACATATATGTGTCGTGGAAGTGGAAGAGAAAGATGGAGACAGGGAAAGAGAGCATTTAATAGATTAATTAGGAAGAGAAACTGGCTTAGCTCCCCTTTATTGTGACAGTTTCTGAATGCTTGAGTCTTAAGTATAGGAAGAATACAGATAATGATTACCACTCTCTTTACCTGGGGTCTCTAGCATTGAATATATTATCCTAATATAACGTTCATAGGTACCTAATTGCAATGTCAGAGCTTCTCTTGGGTCTCAGAACACATTACAAATCAAGCATGGTGAAGCCAAATTAAGATATGAGCTGAGCGAGCTCTCCTTTCCTACAAAAGAGGGCCTGGCACGTGCCTGGCTTCCCTGGACAAAATTACAAGAGATAGATGTCATAAGACTCTCAACGAAGGGAAGCATTTTTTGCATTCTTCCCCTAGAAAGTCCAACATGGAGCTGGGAAATTGACATGAGGGCAACAATATAGTTTGGAGGAGGAAAAGTTCAACAAATGGGATCATTTAAGCTTAAGAAAGTCAGCCCAAGCGGTCATCTAATCGCAGTGCTGGAGGACAAGAGTCAGTGTCATTCAGTGGAGAGTCAGGCTTTGCCTTTGCAGACTGAGAACAGATTGAGTAGGGAGGAATGAAATTGTAGCACCAAGGACCCAGGTAAACCATCAGTGAGAAAACCCCAGGAGTGAGAGCGAGGTGGTTCATCTGCAAAGGGTTATTTAAGGAAGTCAGAGGATTGCTTTGGCTAAAGTTTTTTAACGTCAAACTCATGCTTTCAGAACAGTTTTGAGAGAATTCTTTCTGGAAAAGGATCGGGTGGCGCTTGGCATGCTTCACCACGGAATTCTTCTGCCATTCCCTGATTAGGCATGTTTCCTAGCAATTAGATCAATTGGGTACCTGAGGAGTCTGTAAGGAAGGGAACCAAGCCCTTTTCTTGGGAGCTGGCAGCCTGGGCAGAGCGTGCGAGGACTCTGCCAAGAAAGCGGCCCTGAGGTTTCCCAGGGAGGGGCTCCCAATGCAGGAGGGCAGTCCTGGGCTTCATTTGCTTCACAGCTGACTCCATGCTGCTCAACCTCAAATGAGATTGTAAAACTCAAAAGTCAGGAGATGAGGTTTTTTTGGACTTAGTCACTATCTTCTTATTGATAACTCATGTGAAAAGACAAGCTCACCTTTTCAATAGTTAAAAAAGGCTCAAGGATCCTCATTATTGATAGGAAAGAAATGTGTGTGTGTATCCACAGGCATGTGTTGCATCACGATGTTTGGTCAACAAGAGCCTGCATATGTGACAGTGGTCCCATAAGATTGTAATGGAGCTGCCCTATTCAGGTGTATCTTTAATTTACTTTATTTTAGAGACAGAGTCTCATTCTGTTGCCCAGGTTGGAGGGCAGTAATGTGATCTTGGCTCACTGCAGCCTCTGCATCCTGGGTTAAAGTGATTCTTGTGCCTCAGCCTCCCAAGTAGCTGGGATTACAGGCATGCACCACCACTCTCGCCTAAATTTTGTATTTTTAGTAGAGATGGGGTTTCACCATGTTGGCCAGACTTGTCTCAAACTCCTGACCTCAGGTAATCTGCCTGCCTCAGCCTCCCAAAGAGCTAGAATTACAGGTGTGAGCCACTGCACCCAGCCATTTTTTATTTTTTTATACCACATTTTTATTGTACCTTTACTGTGTTTATTTTTGTTATTTATTTATTTATTTATTTATTTATTTATTTATTTATTTATTTTTTGAGATGGAGCCTCGCTCTGTTGCCCAGGCTGGAGTGCAGTGGTGCGATCTTGGCTCACTGCAACCTCCACCTCCCAGGTTCAAGCGATTCTTCTGCCTCAGCCTCCTGAGTAGCTGGGATTACAGGCACGTGCCACCATGCCCAGCTAATTTTTGTATTTTTAGTAGAGGGTTTCACCCTCTACTAAACAGGGTGAAACAGGGTTTCACCATGTTGGCCAGGCTGGTCTCGATCTCCTGACCTCGTGATCCACTCGCCTCAGCCTCCCAAAGTGCTGGGATTACAGGCATGAGCCACCTCACCCGGCCTTTTTATTTTATTTTATTTTAGTTTTTTGAGATGGAGTTTTGCTCTTGTTGCCCAGGCTGGAGTGCAGGGCATGATCTCGGCTCACTGCAACCTCTGCCTCTTGGGTTCAAGTGATTCTCCTGCCTCAGCCTCCTCACTAGCTGGGATTACAGGTGCCTGCCATCACGCCCGGCTAATTTTTTGTATTTTTAGTAGAGATGGGGTTTCATCATGTTGGCCAGGCTGGTCTTGAACTCCCGATGTCAGGTGATCCACCCACCTCTGCCTCCCAATGTGCTGGGATTACAGGCATGAGCCACCATGCCCAGCCCCTTTACTATGTTTAGATCCATTTAGATACATAAACACTTACTGTTGTGTTCCAGTTGCCTAGAGTATTTGGTACAGTCACATAGTATACAGGTTTGTAACCTAGGCGCAATAGGCTATTACTGTTAGCTTAGGTGTGTTTCTGTAGGTTCATTCTATGATGTTCCCAGAACAAAATCATCTAAGGGTGAATTTCTTAGAACAGACCCCTGTCAAGTGACTTATGACTGTATATTCGTGTATATATCCCTTTATATATGTATGTTTGTGCATGTGTGTGTATTTATGTACCACACACAGTCAATTCTCACTATTCTCATTGTTCATGGTAGTTGTGTTCTGTGAAGTTGATATGAACACTGAATTAGCAAATACAGAACCATCGTTCCTAGGGGAAATAAGCAGTTAGGTTCCTGTGAGCCTCAGGTCAAACATTTTTGTTAGCTGATCAATATGAACCTTGTTTTCCATGTGTTTCTGTTTAGGAACACCTTGTTAAATTTATATGATTGATTCATTCACATGGAACTCATGGTCAGCAGCACTGTAATTCATGCCACGGCAGGTACATCACGGTCTCCTTGTGTTTGAGAATGCTAGACAGAGCTTCAGTGCTAGCTGGGGGGCCATTTTAAACAGTGAAGTCACCACCAGAAAAAGCACAAAAACGTGAAAAACATGGCACTAGATAGAACTCTCAGAAGACACTTGTGAACAATGTGAGGGCTAAAACACAAAGGCAAACTCGCCTTATTCCACCTTGGCTGGGAAAATGTGCATTGAATGATTCAAGATTTTCACTGCTCTGCACATGTTCATGAGTGACCTTGAAAACACGTGAAAACACGTGAGTACTGATTTTTGGGTTACAAATACATTTTTTTCTTTTTTGAGACGGAGTTTCACTCTTGTTGCCCAGGCTGGAGTGCAATGATGTGATCTCGGCCAGGCTGTTCTCGAACTCCTGACCTCAGGTGATCCACACGCCTCAGCCTCCCAAAATGCTAGGATTACAGGCATGCGCCACCACGCCCAGCTACAGATACGTTTCAGTGAGTAGATGAAGTTGCAAAAACAAAGCCCTGGATAATGAGAATCGACTATATACAGAAAATTGGTAGCTTATTTACAGAACACGATCTTCCAAGGAACTGAGTAAAAGGCACCAAGTAAAATCCTTTTGTTGTTTTTTGTTTTGGGAGCTCATCAGGGTGAGAACGAGAGCAAGTGCTTGATAGAAAAACCATCAGTTCATCATTTCGTCGCTTGGCACCTGGAGCGTACTGTAACTTGCAGAGCAGAAGGCTCGGCACTGACTTGATTCCAAGATGGGTGAAATGATGCCTCCGGCAGGGAGCTAATAACGTAGCTGGGGCAACATACATAGGGTTTAAGTGCCCCCTGGTAAGAGTGGAAAAAGGTGTGGAAGATGTTTCAGAGACAGCTTTGAGGAGGGGTGACTGGGAAAGGCTTTTACAGGAGGAGGCAAATGAATTGGGCCTTCAAGAATGGGAGTATTTGGAGGGGTAGAAAGATCAGACTGCAGAGACCATGAATGTGTGTGTGTGTGTGTGTGGTATTTTGTATGGGTGTGTGCATGGGGGTGTATGTTGTGTGTGTGAATGTGTATGTGAGTGGTGGACCCGGGGTGGTGCGGTGGTGGCAAGTGACTGTCTTGAGAAGTTACAGAGGGTAGTGGTTAATAGTATGAAGCCACATTGCCTGGGGCTGAATCTTCCTTCTGTCCCTAACCGCTTGTGTCATCTTGGGCAAGTGACTTAACTTCTCCACCCTCCATTTCTTGTTTATAAAATGTGGGTAAGTGTAGTATCCCTCTTTTAGGATTATTGTGAAGTCAAAATGAGTTAATACTTGCAAAATGGCTAAAACAGTGCCTGGCACAGCTGGATGCTTCATAACTGTTTACTATGATTGTCTGCGAGGCTGGGGAGACCTGGCTAGGAGTCTTGGAATAGGAGGATTTGGGCTGACCTGGAGGGACATTACCTAGGTAGTGATGTCAGGGACTGGGGGAGTCCAGGGCTGCATGAGATGTGGGGAGTGGGTCAAAGCAAGAGGATTATGGTGGAGTCGGTAGGGCAGTGTCTGTTCCTGTGGCTGTCACTGTGTGTGGTGAGGATGGGAGGAGCTGCATCCCATGAAACCAAGTGAGGCTACATCCAGGGAAGGTGAGGTGGGAACAAAGACTAGAGGGCAGGCACGAAGAAGACAATTCCAGGGCTCATGTTTCTGGAGGCCAGCCTGGCCAGGATGAATTGTTCTGGAAGAAAGAGAACATCTTTTGAACACCCTGGGCTTGTGGGCTGCTTTGTGAACTGGGGATTCTCCCTATCCCCTCTGCCCCCACCTTGCCTGCCTCTACTCTGTAATGCTGTCTCCTGTCCCTCGGGATTCAGATGGTGAGAAGTTGACTGGCTAGCAGCACAGTGAGAGCGGATAACTACCAGGATGAATGAAGGGACCTGACTCACGGCTATTTAGAATGTCACTGGGAACGAACTGAGAAGGTCCATTTCCATCACCATCCTCCCCACTGGACTGTGAGATACTTGAGGACAAGCCCCTTTATTACCTTTTCATCCCCAGTGGTCTAGTGCCATGCTTCTAACATGGGATGGGCTTGACAAATATTTGTTCAATTTATGGGGAAACCGAGGCTGGAAGGAATGAAGGGACTAGTGTTCAATGCATCCAATTAGTTGGTGGCATGCTGGTTCTCTGAATATTTAAGTTTCCCTCTCGGGCTCTCTAGAAAGTTGTGAAGTGAGCACCCTTTGGCCTTAGGGACCCCCGCATGTGTTTGTTTGATTGTGAATTCCGTCTCCCCTTCCCTGGTGCTCCACACCTGCTCCTCCATCAGCTTTCTGTTTCTGGCCAGAAGGGTCTGCCTCACTCATAGGCTGACCCCGACTTGTTTCTCCTTCTCCTTCTTCTCCTTCTCCTTCTCCTCCTCCTTCTTCTCCTTCTCCTTCTCTTCCTCCTTCTTCTTCTCCTCCTCCTCCTCCTTCTTCTTCTCCTCCTTCTCCTTCTCCCTCCCCCTCCCCCACCCCTCCCCCCTCCCTCTCCCTCTCCCTCTCCCTCTTCCTCTTTCTCTTCTTCCTTTTCTTCTTCCTTTTTTCTTCCTTTTGTGACAGGATCTCACTCTGTAGTGCAATCATGGCTCAGGTGGTTCTTTCACCTCAGCCTCCCAAGTAGCTGGTACTACCAGTGCATGCCACCACACCTGGTTATTTTTTTTTTCCTTTTTGTATTTTTTGTGGAGATGCTTTCCTTGCTGTGTTGTGTATTTCCACACTCTGTTTTTTCATTTTCCTCAGGCTGGTTGCAAACTCCTGAGTTCAAGTGACACTCCCCACACCTTGTTTTCCCAAAGTGCTGGTATTACAGGCGTGAGCCACCGCACCCAGCCACCCTCCTTCTCCTCTTTCTTTCCTTTTTGGTTTTTTGAAAATCACTCCTCCCAGGCAGATCACTAAGGTCAGGAGTTCAAGACCAGCCTGGCCACATGGCTAAACCCCATCTCTACTAAAAATACAAAAATTAGTCGGGCATAGTGGTGGGTGCCTGTAATCCCAGCTTCTTGGTAGGCTTAGGCAGGAGAATCACTTGAACCCAGGAGACAGAGGTTGCAGTGACCCAAGATCACGCCACTGCATTCCAGCCTGGGTGACAGAGTGAGACTCTGTCTAAAAAAAAAATAAAAAAGTTCATGACTCAACCATGCCAGAAAGCATGGAGACTGCAAAAGGAGACAGATGATTAAGAATGTGTACATATGTATTGCACTGATTAGCTATGTTAGCACTACATATCCATATGATCTTGGTTGAATACAACAAAAGAAGCAAATAAACTGTCTTGTCCAACCTCTTATATTTTCAGGTGTGGCCCAGAAAAATTGACCGAATTGTCCCAGGCATTATGGTTGGTTCCTGGCAGATCTGAACCGAGAACTCCAGTATCATTCTCTCCTTCTAGACAGACACACACACACACACACACACACACACACACGCACACACACATGACAGGGGCACATGTCCCATGCTGCTTTCTATTTAAAAAAAAAAATGACATCTGCCCAGGAATCACATTGCACAATGGCAGTCCTTTCTTTTCCTCTTCCTGTGTTGAGTCATTGCCCTTGCCTGTGAAGTGCCTGCATGACCACGTTGCCCTATGGACTTACTCAGAAGAAAGGAGTAATGATCAGCTGATGGGTCAGACACTCAGGGGTACACAGCCGGCCCCACTATGGGAAGCAGAGATGTGCTGGGGGTCAGAGCAGCCCTGGCCTTGCTGTCCCTATGTAAGATCTCTTCTTGTCTCTATAGAATGCACCAGAGCTCTAAACATAGAGACTGTTTATAACCAAAGGTCATTTTCCTGGTAGAACAAGGAGTCCTCTTTTGCTTTGGAGGCAGATGAGTCTGGGCTGGCTCATAGTGTTTGATGTGAGATGGCTGTGCTCAAGTTTCCTGGCCAGAAAGTTAAGCTGTGGCCCTTCAGAGTTTTATAGGGCCCAGCACAATCTTCTTGCCTCCTGCCTGGGCCCCAGTATGCCCCGAGGCCACACCCACTGTGGCCAAGTGCATGGTCCAGGGAAAACAGGAGCTGCCTTTTCAACTCTGCTTCCTTGATCATAGGTTTAACCAATAAGGCTCATGACAACTACTCTTTCTGAGCACATTTGATGAGTTCCATATGAGACACATATTATCTAATTTAATGCTTATGATAATCCTTCAGAGGTGAGATTTCAGCTCCCTTTTAAAGTCAGGAAACTGAAGCTTAGAAGAGTTAAGTGATTTGCTCATAGATTGTAAACTGAGCTTCTTATATCGCCGTTAAAACAACCCTGGATTCTGTCCTCCTCAGAATCACGACTCTGGAGAAGTCAAATGGGTTTTACCATGAAAGACGAGTAGGACTTGCATCCTCCTGGTGTCCACTCCAGCCTCACTTTCCCACCAGGAGCCTGATCACTGTCCTCCTACGAGGTCTGGAAGTGTCCTCATGGAATGTCACCTCATGGACTTTTTATTTTTTAGCTTAACTGAGCCTCAAGTTAAAATCGCTCAATCAACAAATGTTTTGGGGATAGATTGAGCTCCTTGAAGGAAGTGAGAGATTCATCACTATATCCCTGGGGCCTGACACATAGTAGGAATTCAGAAAAGTTTTGCTTAAAGAATGAATGAGTACCTCCTCTGTGCCAGGCACTGGACAAGAGCAATAGGGAATAGAGATGGATGAGCGAGCAGTCCCTTCCCTCAAGGAGCCCAGAATTTAGGTCAGAGGAGAAGCCACATTTGCAAGTGGAAAGCAAGTTAACAGTGCAAGCATCCCAAGTTAGGGTCCAGATGGGTTTTACTGTCAGGAAGAGGGAAAGATTCCTGTGGTCAGAAGGGTTCCAGTGCGCAGAGGTCTGATTTGTGTGGCAGGGTCCTAATCAGAGGAAGAACTTCTTAATATTCAGAACTGTCTAGCAGAGTCCCACAGGACCTATAAGGCAGGCATCTCTCCTTCCCTGACAGGATTCAGGAGACAAGAAGGCAGGAAAACTGCATGTGTGTTGGGGGTGGGGGGTTGGGGTGGGTGGCAGGGGGCTATTCTTGCAGCGGGAGAGAGATTGGACCTAATGATCTCTTCTGTGTCTATATTTCTTTCTTTCTTTCTTTTCTTTTTCTTTTCTTTTCTTTTTTTTTTGAGACAGAGTTTCATGCTTGTTGCCCAGGCTAGAATGCAGTGGCACAATCTTGGCTCACTGTAACCTCTGCCTCCCAGGTTCAAGCGATTCTCCTGCCTCGGCCTCCCAAGTAGCTGGGATTTCAGGCATGTGCAACCACGCTGGCTAATTTTGTATTTTTAGTAGAGATGGGGTTTCTCCATGTTGGTCAGGCTGGTCTCAAACTCCCAATCCCTGGTGATCTGCCCGCCTCGGCCTCCCAAAGTGTGGGGATGACAGGCGTGAGCCACTGTGCCGGGACTTCTGTGTCTAAATTTCTAGTTTCAACATTGAATCAGGCGATTTTTTCAGATAAAGTTATTTAAAACCAAAACCCAAACAACAACAACAAAAAACAGTATCTACAAGACAAAGTCAGGGGCTCTACTAAAATGTTGGGGGAAACTCTTTTAGGCTTATTTCCACGCTTTGTTGCATCTCATCTTAAAATTCTCATTCCCAGACGGGACTTAGGGAGAGAGATGGAATCTCAATCTCATTGACTCATTGCTGGTGGCATCTCTCAGAGATGGCTACTTTTCCTTCCATGAGGGTATCAGAACCCTCTTGTGCCGCCAAAGAATCTGCTCTGTTCTAGGGCACTGCAGTCCTGCGAGTTACGGACATGGAGCCAGGTGAGCTCTAGTTGGGCAAAAAGCCCAGCTCCCTGTCAGGGAGGGAGGGAGACGGCTACGACTTTCAAGGTCACTTGGCCATGAGGTGGGGACCATTCTTCCTCAAGGCCTCTCCTTTGCAAGGCTCCTGTGTGCCCCTTCCAGAGGAACTCTGAGGGCCTAGACCCCTCCTACCTTCTGCTGCGATGTAGTTGTCTGTTTTATAGGTGAGGGAGGGGAGTCCCTGTGAAGTTAAGTGTATTTGTTCAACGTTACAGGTTGAATGTGGGGTCAAGTCTTGGGATGAAATCAAATCATCAGTAGCAAGTCGCCCTTCTAAAAACCCAAACTGCAAATGTGTGCCCAGAGCCTATGTTGGGGAAGTGAGGTGGTGTTCCTGAACGAGACCATTGTTAGAGTTAAGATGAAGCAAGGGCCGAGTGGAGTGAGTGACCACAGCAATGTGGAGGGGCCTGTTTTTCAAGGCAGTTTAAGAGAGGAAGGAATCACTTTATTATTGGGGGAATGTAAAAGCGGTCACATGGAGTTGGGGAGAAGGGTAAGCTGAAGTTCTGGGAGGCTTCCTGGAGGAGGTCGCCTTTGAACAGTATCTGGAAGAATGTACTCAACAATTGACCACTGGTACCTCCCTCCACTCCCTCATTTGTCAATCTGTTTATTCATTTACTCATTTGCCCTGCATTCACCTGTCCCTTCATCCATCCACCATGCATTCACCTGTCCCTCCATCCATCTACTCACCATGCATTCACCTGTCCCTCCATTTATCCACCATGCATTCACCTGTTCCTCCATCCATCCACCATGCATTCACCTGTCCCTCCATCCATCCACCATGCATTCACCTGTCCCTCCATCTTCCACCATGCATTCACCTATCCCTCCATCCATTCACCCACCATGAATTCACCTGTCCCTCATCCATCCACCATGCATTCACCTGCCCCTCCATCCACCCACCATGCATTCACCTGTCCCTCCATCCAGCCACCCACCATGCATTCTCCTGTCCCTCCATCCAGCCACCATGAATTGACATGTCCATCCATCCACCATGCATTCTCCTGTCCCTCCATCTATCCACCATGAATTGACCTGTCCCTCCATTTATCCACCATGCATTCACCTGTCCCTCCATCCATCCACCATGCATTCACCTGTCCCTCCATTCATCCACCCACCATGCATTCACCTGCCTCTCTATCTGTTCATTTTTTTTTATCAATCCATTCATTTATTACATAGATATTAAGTTTCTACTGTGTGCCAGGGACAGTTCTGGGTACTTTCACATACATTCTTGTTTAATTATAGGAATTCTATCAGTTAGGTAATAGTATCCCAAATTTACAGATAAGGATGCTGACTCTAGGCAACAAAATTCTTCCCCTTTTACCCCTTTACAGTCTATCTCATCCTGCATCAATGAAGAAACATCTTATCTTCAAAAGCTCCCCCAACCTGCTTCACCAACCTCCCTGCCTCTATTCACTTCTCCACTCTAATCCATTCATGTCTCAACTGCCTGAGTTATCTAAGACACAGACCGAAGCAAGGCACATTTCTTGCCAATAACCTCACAGGGCTTGCTTTTGACCAGGGGCCAAGTCTCATCCATGGAATTCGATGGTGGAGACCCTGCATAACCTACTTTAACTGACTTCATCTCATGTGTTTTTCTCACAAACTTTTATTTTAGTTAAATTAGGCAACCCACTGTTCTCTGAGCACCTCTGCATTTTTCCCATTTCGGAGCCTTTGTTCACTCTATTTAAAATTACCCACCCTGTCTAAATTGACCTCCCTGCACAGTACAAATGTGTTAAGTTGAATTCAATTCCAAATGTGCCCTAAATCCTCCTTCCTTCAGGATGTACACAGAAGGGCACTTTCCAGATCTTATGGTGCCTCCTGGAACCCAGGACAATAATTGCAGCCCCCAACCCCAGCTTGTGGGGCAGGGAGCTATTTCTAGTTGATGATATTGGGCAGGCAAACACCCTGTTCTCAGGTTTAGTTCCCAGGAGTCTGCAATGCCTCAGTCATAGCGAATGGTTCCCAGTACCAGCCACCATATTGGATATTTTGACTGTGTGCCCTCAAACTGCATACATAGTATTTGTTATCATCAGGAAATATATGCCATAGGCATCTCCTTCTGCCCGGATCCTTTCCTCCCTTAGCTGCTGATTCAAACCCCATCCTGAGGTTTACCCAGCCCTGACTTTGATTTGGTCACATGCTCAACTTCATTCCTTAGAGATGTTGATGTAGATGTCAGATTTGCCTGGTAGTTCTACTTTGTTAATCAGCAGGGAATGTTACTCATTGTTCTTGTAAAATAGTATTAGGAACTAAATATTTATGTCTCCCCAAAATTTGTATGTTGAAACCCTAATCCTTAATGTGATGGTATTTTGAGGTTGGGCTTTTGGGAGGTAATTAGACTGTGAGGATGAAGCCATCATGATAGGATTAGTGCCCTTATAAGAAGAGACATAAGAGCTTACTGCTTCTTTCTCTCTGCTCTCTACCATGTGAGGACATAGCAAGAAGACGGCCATCTGCAAACCAGGAGGAGAGCTCTCACCAGGTACCAGATTTGTCAGTATGTTGATCTTGGACTTCCAGCCTCCAGAAGTGTAAGAAATAAATGTTTGTTGTTGAAGCCACCAGTCTATGGCAATTTGTTATAGCAGCCCAAATGGACTAAGACAAATGGAAAAGTAAAGCACTCTACCAGCTTCCCAGGTGGGTTTTCATCCGTTTTCACATAATTCATTCCATAAATTAGAGTGGGAGTTTTGCAGACATGGCATCAAAGCACCTGCTTTCTGTAGAAGGTAGTTCAAGGCCAGTGCAACAAAACAAGGTGCTCAAAAGTGATGCAAGGATGAGAGATGCAGGAGCACCAGGGACAGGGTGGGAAGTAGAGATTCCCAGAAGGTGGGGACAGATTGAGGCTCCAGTGTGGTTTGGGGCCATAGTGCCAGATGCATACTTATTTGGAAATAAAAAAGAATTTTTAGGCCCTGTCAAAATGTTTTCTCAACATAGCCTGGCATTAAAATGGTCTTGTTAAGCAAAGACCAACTAACTTTGGAGGAGAGATCTGCTCTGCCATTCACACCAGCTCAACGCTGGGGTCAGGGGACCAAGGCTTTCATCTGGGCTTTCTCTCAAACTTGCCATAAGATCTCTTTTCACTGCATTTCTGTGATTGGCTTTCTCCTCTGTAAATTGAATACCAACTTGCAGAGTGACCGAAAGGGCACATACCCTAATGCTTTGAGCTCCTTGCTTTGTTGTACTGGCCTTGAACTACCTCCTATAGAAACCAGGTGCTTTGATGCCATATCTGCAAAACTCCCACTCTAATTTATGGAATGAATTATGTGAAAACAAATGAAAACTCACCTGGGAAACTGGTAGAGTGCTTTACTTTTCCATTTGTCTTAGTCTATTTGGGCTGCTATAAGCAGTTTGAAAATGTGCAAAGCCTCCTCCATGTGCAAAGCTCTCAGAATGATGGTTTAACAAAGGCATCATGGCCAGGTGAGGTTGCTCATGCCTGTAATCCCAGCGCTTTGGGAGGTAAAGATGGGAGGATTGCTTGAGGCCATGACTTTGTGACCAACTTAGGCAACATAGCAAAACCCCATTTTTACAAAATAATGAATGAGTGAATGAATAAATAAATAAAATAATAATAAAATAAAAACTAAAAAATTAGCTGGGTGTGGTGGTGTGCCCCTGTAGTCCTGGAAACTCAGGAGGCTGAGTTGGGGGGATTGTCTGAGCCCAAGAGCTCAAGGCTACAGTGAGCTATGATGGCACTGCTGCACTCCAGCCTGGGAGACAGAGTGAGATCCTGTCTTAAAAAACAAACAAACAACAACAACTACAACAAAAAGGCGCCTTGGGAGAGGAAGCTCATTCCCAGCAGACCTGTGACACAGCCTGTCTCCCCAGCGAACCCAGACCATTTCCCACTCTGTGGGCAGATTGACCAAGCAACAGCACTTTTCTGTCTTCATCTGGAGTCCCTGGCAGAGGCCACCTCACTGAGGTTCAAGGCAATCCAGACTCTTGGGTAGAGCACACTCTGATGGTGGCACTACATCAGCTTGCACGAGCATGTGGCACAGGGGCCAGGCAGGAGCTGGTGTCTGCAAGGAGCCGGGAAGGGAGGGGCTCCTAGGCTTGCCACGGCTGCAGTCTCCAGGAATGAAAACCTGTCCTGCCAGTTGCATATGTAGCAATTTTGAATGCAAATAGCCACTTCCCAGATTTTTTTTTCTTTCTTCCCAGCAAAACACCCACATCATTTCCTTCCTTTGTTGGGCCCTTCCTGAGACCACTGGCTGGGGGCACATAGTAGGCACTCAATAAATATTTGCCGAGTGCGTGAATGGGTGGTAATCCAGCACTAATCCCCCTCTCTTCAGCTCCCCACCCCCAGGAAGAAATAAAAGATGTCCATTTGTGGCTTGGCCACATTCAGGCAAACTTCCATATTGCTGCCAAGTCCTGCCATCTGCCACCTCCGAGGTGCAGGTGCTGGGCACCCACAAAGCCCGGCCGTGGGCACAAAGGCCCGATGTGCACTGATAATTGCCGAGTGCACAGCCCGCCAGGCCGGCCAGGCTGATGCAAGTTTGCTGGGTCTGCTGAGATTTGCATACAGATGGCCAGTCGGGGCGCAGGGCCGCCGCCACCGCGACAACGCCGCCCGCGCCCCGGGTAGACCGGCCGCAGCCCCTTTAGAAGTGCGGGAGGCTTTGACTGCAGCCGAGCCCCAGAGAGGCCTCATTCTGCCTGTCCTGAATAGTCCGTCATTCAAAGCAACGCTTTGAAATTTGAAAAAGAGAGAGAGGAAAAGAGAGAGAGGAGAGACTGAAAAGCAGAGAGAGAGAAACAGAGACACACAGAGAGACAGGCAGAGACAGAAAGAGAGACAGAGACAGGGAGACAGAGACTGAGACTGAGACAGAAAGATTCAGACAGAGACTGAGAGAGGCTGTGAGACAGAGACAAACAGTGAGAGAGCTAGAGAAAGAGAAGGAGAGCTTGGAGGAAGGGGAAAAAAAAGCAAATTCTTTTCTTTGTGAGACTGGGGAGTGTTGGGCAAGGAGCCAGGGGGCTTCAAGAATGTGAGCGAGGCACCAGGAAGGAGGGGATCTCTGTGGAGACGCAGCTTCGGACGTGTGGCATGCACTCTCCTCCTGGTCATCCGGAGCAAGGGTCTTCAGAGCCCGAGATGCGCGACGCGCAGGAAGCACCAGAGAGGGTGGCGGGAAGAAAAGGCACCTCCATCACTTTGAAATGTCAGAGGCAAGTTGCGGCTGCGTTGAAACTAACAAAAAGAAAACACCTGCACACGCAGAAATTTTTAAAAACCCCTGTAAGCAAAACCACAAGCTCCGAAGGTAAAGCCGGAGGAGCTGTCCCTGAGTCGCGCCCGGGAGCCCCTCCGCTGTCAGTAGGTGCCGAAGGCATTTGTTCTTTGTGTGTCTTCATCTCATTTGGTTTGGAAACGGCTCGCAGGGGGAGTGTCCAGGCCTCAGGGACACGCCCGGGCGCTCTGGGCATCGGACACATGGCAGGTGTTCCGGCCTCGCCTGATTCAGCCCGGCTCTCTGTTTAACAACCATCCCGAGGCCTTCGCTTCATGTTTACTAATACCCCTCGCCCTCAGTCCTCCCACCAGCTCCCCCACCCCACCGACATCAGTGAATGACCAACACAGCTAAAAACAAGAAAGGCGTTATTGAGAGAGGGTTGCCTCCCTTGTCCAAACTAAATGAAAGGGAAATAGAATAGCAACAGAGAGTAGCTATTTATCATGTTCCTAACGGAACGTTCCAACCTGCTTCCCGTCCTGTGTCACCTCTGTATGAGAAATCTGGACGCCCGCCTAGATTTTCCACTGTCACCCTCAGCAGCCAGGCAAGCCCCGGGGCGTCGGCTCTCCTGCCTTTAACTTGCTACTGTCCATCTGCACTTTCTGCAGGCTGCCCCATGGCCCGTGGGGGCGCCTCTAGCGCTCCTTTTCTTCACCCTTGGCTCCTCACCCCCCAACCCATCTTCTCTCACTGCAGCCAGAAAGCTGTTTCTAAAACACCATTTTAGTTATATCTCTGTCTTCCTTAGAACAGTCCAACGACGGATGACTGTCATCCTGAGAATAAAGACCAACCTCTTCAGGTTGGCATGGAAACCCTCATTGGTCCAGTTGCTCTCCTGCACCTTGCAGGCTGGCCCTGCACCTTGCACCTAATGAACAAACTGCTTCTAGATTCCTCCCTAGTCTGGGTTGTTTCACGTCCTTGCCTCTTTCCTAAAATGGCGTCACTTCTTGGCTTGCCCTTACCTCACTTGATGAACAAGATGAGGCTCCTTCCTTCCTCCTGCCTACCTTTCCTTTTTTCTTCCATTCAGCTGGCAAGTACTTTTTTGGTACCAAGCCGATCTCAGGTGCTGAAGAGAAAGGGATGGAGAGAGGAACACTTTTGTCTTCCACACTTTCCCCTAGTATTGTAAGGCAAGCAGAGGGGGTAACAGTGGGGCCCCCTGCCGTGGTACCCCACACCCCTTCCCAGGCGAGACAGGATGGTATGGGGCCCCCTGCCATGGTACCCCATCCCCCTTCCCAGGTGAGACAGAATGGTATGGGGCCCCCTGCTGTGGTACCCCATCCTCCTTCCAGGCGAGATGGCTAAGGAGCCCCCTGCCGTGATACCCCACACCCCTTCCCAGGCGAGAGAAGATGGTATGGGGCCCCACACCCCTTCCAGGCGAGACAGGATTGTATGGGCCCCCTGCTGTGGTACCCCACACCCCTTCCCAGGCGAGACAGGATGATATGGGGCCTCCTGCCGTGGTACCCCATCCCCCTTCCCAGGCGAAACAGGACAGTATGGGGCCCCCTGTTTTGTTACCCCATCCCCCTTCCAGGTGAAACAGGATGGTATGGGGCCCCCTGCCTTGGTACCCCATACCCCTTCCAGGCGAGACAGGATGGTAGTTTCCACCGTCTGGATCCAGACATTGACTGTTTTTCCATCAGAGGCAAAGCCAATGAACTCAAGACTAGTGAACCCTGAACCGAACGATTTTCGTCAATATTTTCATCATATGTTTATCGTCTGAAACTTTGCCAAGAGCTCAGGGGAAGTTATTCCCAGAGGATCAATCACAGAGAGTCAATCGTGAAAGAGAAAAGGGAAGTTACTGATAATTTGACCCAGACATAGTTTTATGATCTCTTTTTCCTTTCACCACTTGAAAGGTCAGAACAAAACTCACTTTAGATGCTGTATTTCATTCTTTCAACAAATATTTGACTCGAATGAATGAGACTGTGAGTGAGGTATTTGTGTGATGATTTTCTGTGAATTAGCTCTGAAATGTGAATATTTTCATGCTCAGGAACATACCCCTATGTGGTGACTTTCTCAGAATAACTTTGTACATGCTCTTCTCATTCACTGCAGGTCTTGCATGGATTTTGGCCAAAAGCAATACAGTCTGGTCTAACCAGAAATGGAAAGATGTGCTATAATTTAAAAAGCGTTGCAGGGAGCAGAATAGCTAAGTAAAATGGTTTCTTGCCTGGCTTTTAGTTGACAATAACCCTTCTTCAGGCTTCTGCTGATTCCTCCATAACTTAGCAATAGGCAGAGCATTTTCAAGGGCTGGGCATTGGGGGGGTGGCAGAGGGGAGGGGAGAATAAATGATCATAAATATGAGAAAACAATATAAGTATTGTAGATGAGCTCACAAGCACTTTGGGAAGCCAAGGTGGGAGTAGCTCTTGAGGCCAGCTCTTTGAGACCAGCCTGGGCAACACAGTGAGACTCCATCTCACAAAAAATAAAAAAAAATTAGCTGGGTGCATTGGTGCATGCTTGTAGCCCCAGCTACTTGGGAGACTGAGGCAAGAGTATCGCTTGATCCTGAGAGGTGGAGGCTGCAGTGAGCTATGATCACACCACTGCACTCCAGCTGGGCAACAAAGTGAGACCCTGTCCCCTCCCCCAACCCCCCCCCCCCAAAAAAAAACGACACAATATATTGTAGGTGATTTCAAAGTGTTCACCTTAGTCAGTTTCATCTCATTTCAAACTAAATTTGCATCAGTGTTGGAAAGACAATGTGGTAAAAACAAAGAGAAGAGACAATGTCAGAGGAACTATGGAAACCCTGTTACCAGGGATATGATTTGGGGCCAGGCACTCACGCTTGCTGAACACATTTTTCTTAGCTTTAAAGATAATAACACCTCCTTTCTAGGCTTTTTGTAAGGATTAAGTGAAATAATGTATACCCAGTGGAGTATCTGGCAAATAATATGGTGCGAAAAAGGTATTATTATTATTATTTATATTTATTATTGGTAAGAACAAAGTAAAAATGAAGAAAGAAACCTATGGACGGTTGGATCTTTTACCCACAGAAAGTATGCAACAGAAACAAATAATTATTGCACCTTAGCTGCCCTGTTTCTAATTGTACTTCATTTGCAACATTTTCTTTATGGCAAGTTCACAAACATGAAGTGGCACTAACTTTATTTAGAGTACGAAATGGCTGTGTTCCCACTTCCTAGTCACTTCAAGGGGCAATAGCTATTGAAATATAATATATTATAAGACATCACTCAGATAAATTCCATTTAATTCTATTCAACAGATATTTCTGGAATGTAACAGACATTTCTGGAAGAGCAAGGCACTATGATGTGGGCAACAAAATGACTAGAATGAGTAATACATGTAAGAGCTCTAACAGATTACTACAGCAACACAGCCTGGGATGTTCAGTGCCCTGACGCTGAACCCCGCCCCGCAACTGACTCAGGGACCTTGAGCAAGTTACTTAACTTCTTCTTCAACTGTAAAAAGAAAATAGTACATTTGATCTTGCAGGGTTGCTGTGAAGAAGAGAAGAGAGTAGAGATAGACAGGTAGGATACCTGGCGTTGGGGCACAAGCTAGTCTCAGGCAATTTTAACGTATGGACAAGTGTAGCCATGACATTGTCATCAACGGGCATAGCAACTTGTTCTCTTACTATGATGCTTTCCTTGGCTTCTTCTCTCTGCTCCAGGCCAGAGGCCACCAAAGCTATGGGCTGTCAGCCCGGGGCAACAGTAGGCATGAGAGAGGCAAGTTAGCTTTTCAGTGCCACGAAGACTAGAGCGTCTTGGAAAACTGGGGCCTCCCTGAGCCTTGCTTTCCTCCTTTCACTAATGGGGAGATTCTGCCCTTTCTTTCTTTCTTTCTTTCTTTCTTTCTTTCTTTCTTTCTTTCTTTCTTTCTTTCTTTCTTTCTCTTTCGTTCTTTCTTTCTTTCTCTTTCTTTCTTTCTTTCTTTCTTTCTTTCTTTCTTTCTTTCTTTCTTTCCTTCCTTCCTTCCTTCCTTCCTTCCCTTCCCCTTCCTTCCTTCCTTCCTTCCTTCCTTCCTTCCTTCCTTCCTTCCTTCCTTCCTTCCCTCCTTCCTTCCTTCCTTCCTTCCTTCCTTCCTTCCTTCCTTCCTTCCTTCCTTCCTCTCTCTCTCTCTCTTTCTTTCTTTCTTTCTTTCAATGGCGTCTTGCTCTGTCTCCCAGGCTGGAGTGATTGGTGCAATCTTGACTCACTACAACCTCCACCTCCCGGGTTCAAATGATTCTCTTGCCTCAGCACCCTGAGGAGCTGGGACTACAGGCGCACAGCACCATGCCCAGCTAATTTCTACATTTTCAGCACAGACGAGGTTTCATCATGTTGGCCAGGCTGGTCTTGAACTCCTGACCTCAAATGATCCACCCGCCTCAGCCTCCCAAAGTGCTGGGATTACAGATGTGAGCCACCATGCCCAGCCTAGATTCTGCCTTCTTGGACTTCCTCCCAGTGTGGGGGGAAGAGAAATGAGAAGACAGGCAGGAGAGGGCTCTGTAAATAGTAAATTGCCATACCAGTGCAAAAGATTGTTGTCAGCTCCCCAAAAAGGAGGCACAGAGACAATCCTATCAATGAATGAGCTCTCTCAGTTTTGTGTGACTTCTGCAAGGAGGTTTTGTTTTGGGCTGGTGGGGAGCAATTGCCAACCCAGTCTACAACCTTCCCACTCAACGTGTGGTCCACGGACCAGTGGCATCTGCGTCACCTGAGAGCGTATTAGAGATGCAGGACCGGGGTCCTCAGGTCACACTTAACAGAGCTGAATCTGCCTTTTCACAAAACACTGAGTCGTAGGCACATTCAAGTTTGAGAAGCAGTGGTCTACAGGCCTTGGTGTTAAAAGAGAAAGAAAAGGCATTGATAACAATGTGCTCAGTAGAAAATAAAGCCAATGATAGCCAAGAAGTGCTGTGGCCCCGGAGGAGCAAAGCGATGAGCTGTGGGCACCCACCTTCGGGGCTTTGTGGTTACTTGGGACCATGGCAGAACTAATTATAAACAATAAAAGAGAAGGTGAGAAAAGAGTAAGGGGACCTCTGTACTCAAAAAAAGTTATAAAATGTTAGGCTTTCGCAAAATATAGGGGTTCATGCACTGATTGTTTTCTGGGGTACAGCTTCCCCAGAGCCTCCTTCAACCACCGATAGTTCAGCTCCGGCGGTCACATCAGATCACGTCGCATCATTCCTCAGACAAGCCTTTTAGGAGCTCTGCAAGAAAATCCAGGCAAACAGCTGTCTCAGAGGAACAGCTGTTTCAGAGGAGCCTAAATTCTTTGGAAGATCCTACTTAGCTCAATCAAGGCTTCTAATGAGGAGATAGCATTTAGGAACTCTTTGTTATCAATTGGTTAATCATTAGGTCAACCTGCACTTATTGATGGTTGGACTAACTATCCTTAGAGGCACCGTGACATTTTTACTTTTACAAGATTACTCAGAGGTGGATCTCATTGTCTCCCCATGCATTTTCAGGCTGTCTTACATTTCAGTGCCAGGTTCCTTCTGCTTAGAAACCTTTCTCTTTCATTCTTTTCTCAATTTAATGCTTAATGAGGGACTTATTATCCCTTAAGACTTAGTTCAGTTGCCACCTCCACAGTGTGACGCCGATCTCAGGGGGATCCTCAGCCCCATCAATTTTGGGTAAGAGTACACTTGGAAGCTGAAGACCTGGAAAGGGAAATTATTCCCTTAAAACTTCCAGCGACTTCTTTCCTCATGGGAAGTCTTTGTGTAATGGGGCAAGATGTCTGGCATTACTGGCAGAGCACCTCCTTTGTGGATAGCACTTTCTAGGTGTTTTGCAGCCATTGATTTATGTCATCCTTACAAGGACCTTCCCAGGTAGGTGTTATTATCTCTGTTTTACACACAAAGAAAACTGAGACTCAATAGAGCTAGGATTTATACACAGCATTCTCTAGCTCCTTCCACCCTGTGCAGGTTCATGGAGTGGGGAGCAGGGTGAGGAGTGGAAGGTGGGGGTTGAGGGGAGGGAGGGAGGCCCTGTCTGTGATGGGGATCCCCTGCGAGGTATCACCAGGTTCCTGGACTGACAGTACCTGGAAGTCCAGCTTTGGAGGGAGTGCACATGAGGATTTCTAATATGGGTTGCTCAGGCCATTGTCCATCTTTCCTAAGTCCATGGATTTCTTTAGGGGGTGGATCAGGATCCTATAGCCCCAAACACCTGGATGGGCTAAAATGAGAGATCCCTTCCAGCTGTAATGCTCCACAGTACCATGAGACTAGAGGAAAAACATACCCTTTTTTTCTTTCTTTACTAAACTTTCTCTCTTTTCTTGTTTCTTTTTGTTTCTTTCTTCTTTCTTTTGTTTTTTCTTTTCTTGTGTATTTAGCCATTATAACTGGTTAGAAGCCAGAGATAGTTAGGCGTCTTCTGGTTGAAACAGAAATGGCCCTGTTAGCTGTGGACTGCGTCCAAGCTCCTGAACAGCGCCACGAAAAAGATCTCCATATAAATGGTTCCTTCAGGACTCCCCTTTCAATGCTTTCTTGGTCTTGGGGGTCTGAAATGGAGCCAATTTGAGGGAGTTCCAGGCATTTCCCACAGGGCCTCCTTCCCAAAAGCTTTTCAAAGCAATCCCAGAGGTCCAAGCATCCTCTCTAACTAGGGACTCTCGCCATTGTGAGGAATTTGGAAAACTTGCTTGTTAGGTCCCTGACACCTTTGCCCCTAACAATTTGGAAATCTACAAACCTGGCTGGCACATCCTCCAGTGCAGAGACACTACCCAGGACAATAACTGGCACATAGTAGGTTTGCAGTGAATGTTTGTTAGCTAAAACTATAAAATATATAGAAATTCTCAAATACACTGATGGCCAAAGGATTTCTTGGTGTCCACACAGTTACTAATTACACTTTTAATAAATGGAATAAACTAGTGACCTATGTATACCCTTAAATATATGAAAGAATCTCAGTAAACTCACTGATATTCCAAGTTTTCTTGCATGAACGTGAACCCTGGAGGTATTACGTGTTTGTTAAAATAATAATAGCAAAAGCAGGCCAGGCACAGTGGCTCATGCCTGTAATCCTAGCACTTTGGGAGGCCAAGGCAGGTGGATCACCTGAGATCAGGAGTTTGAGACCAGCCTGGCTAACATGGCGAAACCTGTCTTTACTAAAAATACAGAAAAATTAGCCGGGTGTGGTGGCAGGTGCCTGTAAACCCAGCTACTCGGGAGACTGAGGCAGGAGAATCTCTTAGACCTAGGAGGTGGAGGTTGCAGTTAGCTGAGATCACGTCACTGCACTCCAGCCTGGGAGACAGAGTGAGACTCCATCTCAAAAAAACAATAATAAAACAAAGAAAACAACAACAACGAAGTCACTTCAGCAAAGAACAGTAGGAAAAGGTACGGTCTTGGCAGATGTTGGTTTGAACCCATGTTTTCTTCCTAGTAGGACTTCAGATAACTGCTTGATCTCTTTGAACCTGTTTCCTCATCGCTATTAGCTTTTTAAAGCATTTTCTTGAATGAGATAAAAACTAAGAAAACACTTTGCAAAGTATAAGCTTATTCATACTTCTATTTATTTAGGTTAATTTTTAGAAGCTAGCAAACTGAGCTTTAAAGGAAAAAAAACCCACATTCTAAATGAACTCATCCTGAGTTAATAGTATTTCATTGTGTTTAAAATGTGCAGTACGTGGGAAGAGGGAGCTGAGGCCCAGAGAGGTTTAGTAACCATCCACATCTTCACAGCCCTGGCATCTGGCCTGAGGAATTATTCTCTTGAACCCCAGACTCCATGCTTTAGTTTCCTTCTTCTCATTGGCCAGAGAGCAGTCAGCGTACCTTGTGTCTTTTTTGCCCCCAAGGTCACCATTGTGCTGTGGAAACTTGGACAATTCTGCTTTCTCCGGGTTGCTGTTTCCTGGTATGTAAAGTAAACATGAGGGACCTGAAAATCTCGAGGGCTCTTTCCCATTCCAGTCTTTCAGCATTCTAGTTCAGGTTCACCAGAAGACAGTTGTAGAAAGAGCATGCTTAGTTTGCACATTCAAATCTCCCCTTGGATTGAACAGACTCCTTGCTCCCCTGAGCTGGCACACATTTTTTTTTTTTTTTAGGCTCAATTGCATCAGGTGTTGTACTGTGTTTCAGTTTCCTTGGGGGTAGGAAATATATCTCATGAATATTTCTTTTTATCTTTTGAAGACCCTAGCACAGAGCTGGCACAAAATAAGTGTTCAGGAAATGTTTGTTAAATTGAAAACCCATCAGGCAATTGGTCAGCACCTTGATTCTACTGCCACTAAAATGGTAATGAAGAAAACTACAGAGAACCAAGGAAAAATGACTAAGACATAGGATCAATGAAAACAGTGGACACTGAGATAGTCTCCACACTCTGATTAAATCAGAAAACGTTTGCATCTGGACAACGGTAGAACAGGGTAATAATAATAGTACCACCCCCCAACCAATATCTCTTGAACTTACATGTGTCTAGTGGTTTTTTAAGCTCTTCAAATATATTATTTCACTTAATTGCCACAAAATCCTCATGAGGAATGTAATAACACTATGTGCATTTTACAGATTAGGAAACTGAGGTGCAAGAAATTTAAATAACTTGCCTCGGGCCCCACAGCTAGTGGATGGCAGAGCTGGGACATACACCTGAGGACCTCCTACATGGCAGGCACTTTCGGTGTTCTACAGTGATTAATTCAGTTAATTTTCACAACCACCCTCCCAGGGAGTTATTTTTATCCCCAATTTACACCAGAAAAAACCTGAGACTCAGAGAGAATTCGACAGAGCCAGGAACTGCTCCCTATCCAACAGAGATCACAGAATAGCAGCAAGAGAGGCAAGGGGACACCCAGGTATGAGCACGGTCTCTGAGGCTGTTTTGTTCTGCCTGGGTTCTAGCCCTGCTCTGCTGTTGGAAGCCATGTGAACTTGGGCAAGTTGCTTAATCATTCTGTGGCTCAGTCTCTTCATTTGTAAAATGAGGATAATTTCAGGTAATGACCAGTGCCTTGAAGAAAACTCAACAGAGTGATGAGAGAATGATACAATCACGCCAGGCATGCGGAGATGAGCATCCCAGCTGAGGCTGTGTGTATTCAAGGAACAGAAAAGCTCTAGTGACTGGTGTATGGAGAGAGGGGAGAGTGGTAAAAAGAGGATTTTTCTAAAGAGAGAGTCTAAGCTCCAAATAGGACACAATATAGCCTTGGAGATTAATGTGGATTCTGCATAATATTTGATTTTTCTGAAGTTGTCCTTTATGTTAATACAGCAGTAAACATTTTAGAGGAAACAAATTTGGAATGAAATAACAAAGAAAATCAGTTTCTGAAACTGATCACTCACTGTGGAATCTGAAAGTCACATTTTTCTCACTGGTCAGGGAACAGCTCATTCTCCATCATATTGTTCTTGTTATCACTATAATGATGATCATATTAAGGCAATTATTAAAAATAATTATTACCATTGTTTATTGATTTATAAACGTGCTTTCCAAACTGTAAGACCCTCATTTATATATAAAGAAAGAAAGACCATTAATGAGCAGAGAGCTGGATACTGTCAGCTGCTGCTTTGATGTGTTAATTGCAAGTCATTCTAATCTTATTATTAAAGAAGAGCTTCTGCCAGGCAGTGAGCCCAATTGTAAATACCATATGTACTTGAAATTAATCCGACTGCATTTATTTTGAACACTCCTGCAATTTTCACTTTATACAACTGTTTATTAAGCATCTACTGTGCCCATAGCACCACAGCCAGCTTTTTGGTTGAATAAGGAGCAATAAACGACATGACCGTGGCCTCTGCTTTCAAAGCTCTTAGAGGCTAGCTGAGATTACTAGATGCATCAGCATGAAAAGTATAGGGAATAGGATTTAAAATCAGATGTGATTGCATGTGCCCTGTGACTTTGAGCAAGTTATTTTGTATCTTTGAGCTGCAATTTATCATATAGAGATAGTGATAGAGGCAGGATCACATAGAGGTTACACACTTGGACTCTGGAAACAGACTGAGTTCTGACACCTCTCAGCTGTGTGATCTTAGACATGTTACTTAACCTCTCTGTGCCTCAATTCCCTGTCTGGAAAATGAGGGTAGTGATAGTTCTTGCCTCATGAATTTGCTATGAAGATTAAATTAGTTAATAGTATAAAGAGCTTAGAAGAGTCCCTGAAAAATGATAAATTCTAAGGGTTTATTAAATCAACGAAATAAGTAATGCCTATCTCACAGTATTGCTTTTAAAATTAAATGGAATAGCATATAAATTTCCTAGTATAAAACTTTGCATATAATATTCAATTAATGTTGTTTCTTCCTTTCTTTGCTCTTTTTCTTCCTTTTAGAATAGTATACCAGGAGCATTTTCTGCCTATGTTTGCATATGAGATGTAGACTGGTGGTTCACAAACTTTGCTGCATGTTAGAACCAGTTGGGATCTTTAAATATTCCTGATTCCTAGGCTCACCTTAGATGAAGTAAATCACATTGACTAGGGATAGAACCCAGGAATCAACATTAAAAAAAACTGTCCCACGATTTCAATGTTTAGCCAAGTTGGAGAACCAGTAGAATATAGAATAGCAGGGGCCCAGAAGGTTTCTTGGAGGTCTTCTTCTTTTTTTTTTTTTTTTTGAGATGGAGTCTCACTGTGTTGCCCAGGCTGAAGTGCAGTGGTGTGATCTCTGTTTCCTGCAACCTCCGTCGCTTGAGCGATTCTCCTGCTTTGGCCTCCCGAGTAGCTGAGATTACAGGCATGTGCCACCATGCCCGGCTAATTTTGCTAGAAGGTTTTCACCATGTTGGCCAGGCTGATCTCGAACTCCTGACCTCAAGTGATCTGCCTGCCTTGGCCTCCCAAACTGCTGGGATTACAGGCATGAGCCACCGCACCCAGCCAGGAGGTTTTCTTTTTATTGGCTCATAGAAGTTGTCTTTGCAGCTCAACCTCCTCAGCAACTGAAATTGTACCTTCCACAATCATTATTGGCACTTGTGATGTGTGGGGTACAAAGGGTGCATCATTGAGCAAGGAAAGCAAAGGCCCATCCTCATGGAATTTTCATGAGAAAGTGGAGGTAGACACATGTGGTAAAGGATAAATATAGTGCTAAGAAGGACAGCAGTGCATGCTACAAAGTGGAGAAAACAGCAGTGGTGTAGAGTAGTGCAGAGTGTGGGGTAAGCTCAGGAGAGCTTTTCTGTGAAGTTCAATGTTGGAGCTGAGCCCAGAGTGAGGAGATGGTGCCCCTCACGGGAAGAGCACCACAGGTAGCAGCAACGGCTTCGTGAATTAGAGGGGCAGAGGCTGTGAGGCGGCTGCACAGTGGGTGCTGAGGAAGGACCTGGACAGGAGCACGGGGCATGGAGAAGTGGAGCATGGAAAGGCAGACCCTGGGCTTGCAGGACTTTTTGGAGATGCTGAGGATTTTATTTGGGTTTTGTTTGACCTGCAATAGGAAGCCACCTGAGGCAGATAAGTGATCTACTTTACATTTTAAAAAATGGTCCCTGTCACATGGGTAGGGGCTGGGGCGTTAAGGGTGAGCAGTGAGTGCAGGGGGACTGGTCAGGAGGCTGCAAGTGCAGCTCAAGTTAGAGGTGACCTTGACCACCTTTGGACAAGGGTGGTAGCAGTAAGGCAGGATGGCATCAGTTGGATTGCAGAAACCCCATTGAGGAAGAGCCCATATGTATTAGTCCGTTTTCATGCTGCTGATAAAGAGATACCCGAGACTAGCCAATTTACAAAATAAAGAGCTTTAATTGGACTTACAGTTTCACATGGCTGGGGAGGCCTCACAATCATGGCGAATGGCAAGGAGGAGCAGGTCACATCTTACGTGGATGGCAGCAGGCAAAAAAAATAAGAGCTCGTGCAAAGAAACTCGTGTTTTTTAAAACCATCAGATCTCGTGAGCCGCATTCACTATCATGAGAACAGCATGGGAAAGACCCGCCCCCATGATTCAGTCATCTCCCACCGGGTCCCTCCCACAACATGTGGGAATTATAAGAGCTACAATTTGAGGTTTGGGTTGGGGCCACAGAAGCAAAGCTTATCACTCACTATAGGACTTGCTGATGGACGGGACCTAGTAGGTTCAGGAAGGCGCAGAGTCAAAATGACTCCCAGATGTTTGGCCTGAACAAGTGAATGGATGGTGCCATTTTTAGAGGGGGAGGACTGAGGGAAGAATGGATATCGAGAGGGTGGGAACAAGAGCAAGAGTGATGAGACAGGAAACCAACAACTCTGCAGCAGACAGGTTAAGGTGCCACGTGACATTCAGGTGGAAATGTCTGGGTCCCAGGGAAAGGGTCAGACTGAGATCTCAATGCAGGCAGTGTCATGTTTAGAGGACATTTAAGCCGTGTGCCGGTTGAGATCCACCTCCCTGAGGCTCAGGGTCAGCTGTTGTTCCCCAACATTCTTCAGGCCCCCTTCCCACTGGTCGGAGGCTCGTAGTAGGGTTTCTGGATGTCTTGGGTTGGTACCCGTGGCCAGGCTGGGGATGAGGTGGAGAGACTAAAACTCCTGTTTTTACTGGGAATGCCAGGCCTATTCAGAATCCGGCTCAGGAGCATTTGGGAGAAGCTGTGGTCTCACCTTGAATCAGCTGTGAAATTTCTACAAATGACATGGCCATGCTGTGCAGAACAGCACCTGGGAATAGGTATAGTCTAGAGGGATTTCAAGCATTCTTTTTTTCTCTCTCTGTCTTTCCCTGGAAGCAGAGTTGAGTTGGTTGCCTCGGCAAACTCATCTCAGTCATCTTAAAACTGAGCTTTGAATTTCTTTTCCAGCAACTTCCTGGAAGCAGCACGGTTGAAAGAGCCCTTGGCTGGAAGCCCAGCTGACTGGCTTTGTGATCTTGGGCAAGTCACTTAACCTCCAGGAGCCACGGTGCCTTCATCTGCAAAATGAGGAGGTCAGATGGGGTGTTGGCTCCACTCTCTTTTAGCGCTAATGATCCGGCTCCTTAAAGTCAATTGCTTCCTCTGCTCCTATCAAAGAAGTGAGGCAGAGAGAGGTGGGGAGGGGTTGCCTGCTCGGATCAAAGTGTTGCCTCCCAGAGCCCTTGCCTTCAGCCTGTGGGATTTTCTCATCCTGCCTCTTAAAAACTAAAAGGAAGAGAAATGTGACAATTGAAGACCTTTGTGGATTCTGGGGTGGGACTTGATCAATACTTGATCACCTACTCAGAGCCTAAGCATAAGCTCCTCTTTGGGGAACTAGAGAGGATTAGTCAAAAGAAAGAAGAAAGGAATAACAATAATCATAAAGAGACGATTCATTTCCAGCTCTTAAGAAAGTCATATTCTAATTGCTCAGTAAAGCATAACATTATCGAACCCTTACTATGTTCTAAGAAATGAATGTTAGATAAATGTGGTATATCATTTAATTCTCTTTTAAAATGCTAAATACTTTCCTTTTTATCAATTTTCAGGATAGCTTTGTGCTCAAGCAACTTCTAAGATAAACAATGATGTTTAAAAATTTATTATGAACTCAAAGATTTTTATATATTTCACTTTTTTCTTTCTTTCTTTCTTTCTTTTTTCTTTTCTTCTTCTTTTTTTTTTTTTTTGAAATGAAGTCTTTCTCTGTTGCCTAGGCTGGAGTGCAGTGCGCGATCTCGGCTCACTGCAACCTTTGCCTCTTGGGTTCAAGCAATTCTGCTGCCTCAGCCTCCCAAGTAGCTGGGACTACAGGTGCCCACCACCATGTCGGGCTACTTTTTGTATTTTTAGTAGAGACAGGCTTTCGCCATGTTGGCCAGGCTGATCTCAAACTCCTGACCTCAGGTGATATGCTCATCTCCCAAAGTGCTGGGGTTACAGGTGTGAGCCACCGCACCCGGCCTGTATTTCACATTTTAATCCTTTGGTTTCCTTTTTTTTTTTTTTTTTTTGAGACAGAGTCTCACTCTGTTGCCCAGGCTGGAGTGCAGTGGCATGATCTCGGCTCACTGCAACCTCTGCCCTCCGAGTTCAAGCAATTCTCCTGCCTCGGCCTCCCGAGTACCTGGGATTACAGGCACCTGCCAACGGGCCTGGCTAATTTTTTTGTATTTTTAGTAGAGACAGGGTTTCACCATCTTGGCCAGGCTGGTCTTGAACTCCTGACCTTGTGATTCACCTGCCTTTTGGTCAGGGGCAATCCTTCAAATTTGCTCCTATGTCTTTTGACACAGTTTCCTTGTTTTTTGGTACATTACTTCATTCTTACAACAACCCCAAAGAGATAGACACTATTATTATCTGCATTTTACAGATGATGAAATGGAGTACTGCCCAAGGCCACAAGGCCATTAAAGGTGGCTTTGGGATCTGATCGTCACCACTACACCATATAAACGATTTGAAGAGATACATTAACACACACACACACACAAAAGGATTCAGTAAGCGGCACTGAGTGATGTATTCCTTTTGATCAATTCATTGGCTATTTGTTGGCTCCAATCACATGCAAATTTCTAGGTCTCTGTGGAGCTCATGTTCCAGCAAGCATACTTGTGGACATTGGTGCTCAGGATACTGAGTAGGAAAGGAATTCACTGTGGGCTGCGAAAACCTGGGGAGACCCCCGGGATGGGATTGGAGATGGCCTTTGAGGCCTGATTAAGAGCTTGTCAGGGAAGAGGCATTTCAGGCAGAGGATGGCATGAGCAAAGGTTCAGAGGCAGGAACCGGGCTGGCAGAGGAGGTGGCAGAAACCCACCTTGCCTCAACCCTCTCATTTTCCGTAAGTTTGACCCCAAGACGGGGGAGGCTCACGGATCAAGTGTGTTATGCAAATGATGCTTAAATGTCAAAAGAACACTCAAGTTCTCCGTTGTGGGGGAAGTCACGGGTTATGGGAAGATTTGCCCCAAATGGTCTGCAACATTATGCTATAGTTTTTATTGAACTGTTCCCATACAGAATGACAATGATAGTCCATTTTGCATGGGGTTTAGAGTGGTGTGTGTGTATGTCATGGGATCTCCCCAAGGTAGATGCCATATCTGTTGGTCACTGTGTCCTCAGTAATCACCATACAGGTTGGTTCTTAATAATTTTTAAAAATAGAAATAAAAATTCCTTTAAGACATCATAATTGATAATCCCACTATACGTTCCAGAAAATCTGTTGCAAAGAAATAATCAGGACCCAGACAAACATTTATACCAAAAATGTTCATTACAGAAGTATTTGTATGAAAAAAAAAAACAAAACCTAAGGTGAATGCTTAATTACACTATGGTCCATCCTATGCTATTCTAGGTATGATTGCAGTAGAACCGGAACCTGATGTAGATATTAAATAGCATGTTTACAGAGAGGTGTTTTTTTTTGTTGTTGTTGTTTGTTTGTTTTTAAGAACGAGGCTCACTCTGTTGTCCAGGCTTGAGTGCAGTGGCACAATCTCGGTTCACTTTAACCTCTGCCTCCTGGGCTCAAATGATCCTCTCACCTCAGCCTCCCAGGTAGCTGGGACTACAGGAATGCCCCATCATGCCCTACTAATTTTTTTTTTTTTGTAAAGATGGGGTTTCGTCATGTTGCCCAGGCTGGTCTCAAACTCCTGGGCTCAAGCAATCCTCCCGCCTTGGCCTCCCAAAGTGCTGGGATTATAGGCATGAGGCACATGCCTGGCCCTACACAGAGTTTTTCATCATATGAGATATTCTTAGGACATACTGTTAACGCAAAACATTCAGGGTGTGAAATTATAAACACAAAATGACCCCAACTATGTAAAAACAAATGCATATAAAAAGCCTGGCAAGAAATACACCACAAATGTCAGTAAGTGCTTGTCTGTGAGATGCTTGTTATTTTCTTCCTTTTGCTTTTCTCTGCTTTCTAAAATGGGTATGCCTGACTTTTATAATAGGCAGAGCAAAAGTCACGGAAAGGGTGGCTATTGCGCTTCTTTAGATCCTGACTCAACATTTTCACGAGTTAAAAGTAGAATGTTATTTTTGCCACCTAAAACCCAACATGAAAGCCATGAAGGGTGATGAGCGCGCTGGGAAGGGTGGGTGGGTAAAGGTCCCAGCGGAGCCATCCAGGCAGAGGAATGAGGTCACAGAGTTGGCGTGATGAAGGGCTGGGGGGTCCCCACCTTGGTGGTTCCCACCCCTGCTCCTGGGCTACCTGAAAAGGTAGCTGGGCAAATGCTGGGGGAACCTTCAATTTTACGGCAATTAGGGGCACCCGTGGGCTGGGCAATCAGCCGAGGCTCTGATCTGGTTAACCTCGCTGGGGGTCAGGCCGCGCTGACCTCGCAGTGTTCTCACTCCGAAGCCGCAGCTGGGTCAGTGCTCCCATTGTGTGACCGGTCGACATTAACTCCCGGGCCAAAGAACAGGGCCTGCTCCCCACAGCCCTGCCTCCCGCCCAAGTGGGCCAGCTTTGTTCGCTTCCCATTGGCTCCCATTGTGCCTACTCAGGGGGAAAAAGCCTGCGTTCATTTCCTTACTCTAATGGCTCCATCCTCTTCCAGCCCATAAGCATTTTGTCACTGTGACCCCAGAGGTTATTCAGGCCTTTTGATCTTGCCTACCTCCAGCCCAGTTTCCCAGCTGCCCTGCGGACCCACCACCCAGAGGGTGAGCCTATGGGCAGGATTGGGCCCCGGGCATGAGGAGGGGTTACCTAAGCGGGGGCGGTGTTGGGGGGATTGGAGACCAGGGTGGGGTGGGCTCCAGCGGGAGGCATTTCAGTCTTTCTCTCCATCAGAATCTCCTCTCCTCCTGGAAATCAAAGGCCCAGGGCCTGGGGCCTTCTTCCCTCGGGGAAGAGCCAGGAGGAGCTCTCTCTAAGGCCTCCAGCCCTCCATAGCTGCCCAGCGAGCCGGGCCTGTCTGTCTCCCACTCTTGGCCCCGGTGCATTTCCTAGGACTTTCTGTTTGCTTGCTGGACAGTCTTGTTGTCCCTGGATGTTCAGCCCTGCCCCCCTCACTCCGTCTTCCACAAGTTCTCCCCCACACTCCACATTAATGTAACACTGCCCTATCCCTGTAGCACGGGGTCTATGACAACACTTTGGTGGCCAGCTGCCGACAGCCCAGCTACTTCCCCTTACCTTGGGGTCCACTGTGACCGCCAGCTCCTGGGGACAGATGCCTTGCTTTCTGTATTGTTGGAGCCTCCCTCCCCACCCCACAGCCTGGAACAATGAAGGGTAGTGTTCAGTCCCTTTGAGCCAGGAATAGGGTGACTTCGGATGTTTTTAGAAGGAGCTTTATAGACTAGACAGGAATGAATAAGGTTTATGACCCAAATTCTTCTGATAGGCGTCTAAGATGTTGAGAGGTGGTAGAGGTACTGGAAAGGGCTTGGTGAGTTTTTAAAACATGAAAGGATCGATTTATTTGCTCACTTATTTGTACAAACAGGAATGGAACCCCTTCTCTGGATGACTGTTAAATTGCTCTTAGCACTGGGAAAGCAGACGGTAAAAGACTCTAGTCCTGCCCGTGCTGGGTTCGTAGTCTGGTAGTGGTGACAGGTACACAGAGAGGAACTCACGACCCACCAGGAGGTCTCCTGACAGCTCAGCCCTTATGCATGTTTAATTCTACACAGAGGGAGAAGGAGCTGGACCTTAAAGAAAAGGTTAAACTTACTGAGACAGATGTAAAATGTCCACCACACCAAATTTATTAGGCAATATTGTATAGCCTGGGAGAATTAATCTATTTCCTCCAAAGTGAATAATCTCAATTCAAATTCCAATTAATGGCTTTGAGGAAACTACACTGAAGCATCAAACAGCAAATTAAATACAGCCTTTTCTGTTTGCCTCTCGACAGCCGGATGCACTTTATTGACATTTGTCTCTATGCCTCTTCAGGAAATTTGGGCTCGCCCATCGGCAGCCAGCCAGCACTGCCTGTGCTCCGTGCCAGCCCTTCAGGAATCTACCTAGAGTCCCCTCTCCAGCAGGGTGGAGTCTATTATGGGTCGATTAGCTGCTCCTTTTCAGCGCAGATTTAACACTGTCCAAAAGGTAAACTTACGTTTTCTCATTAGTACATTCTCCTTCATTCATTCATTTCCAATCTATAATTAATTCTTTCTCAGTTAATGAGTTATTTTCATTTCTTCATTACACAAGTGCTTTGCTAAGTGCTTGGCACCATGCTAGGTTTAGGAGTTATAAAAATGAATACAGGGTGGTCTCTGCTCTGAAAAAAAATTATTTTAGTGAGGGTCTCTGATGAGGCCACCTGGGAAGTGCTGTGCTGAGGGAGAGAAACATATTAGGGAAACCTTTGGGAGGGGCCTTAACTCTATTTGGGGATAGCCAAGAAGGCAAAAGCTTTGCTGGACAAGACTACACTGAAAGCTTTCCTTTGTATTTTTTGAAAAGTGTTTTAAGAGATGGACTCTTGCTATGTTGCCCAGGCTGGTCTTCAACTGGGCTCCAGTGATCCTCCTGCCTTGCCCTCCCAAAGTGCTGGGATTACAGGTGTACACCACCATGCCTGGCTCCTTGAATGTGTCTTAAAAGTTAAAGAACTATCAGGTGAGGAAAAGGGGAGGGGTGGAGAGTTGTGTTTAAGGTCAGAAGGCAGGTGGATTAATCGGGGAGACCTTGGAAACAGGGAGGAGGTTGGCATAGGAATCCAGGCTGGACCCCAAGTAGGCCCTGGCCCTCGTTTCCGCAGCGCCCCTTCAGGGTGGGGATTGTGCATCCCATCAGTGTGGTTTCTTTTTTTTTTTGGAGACGAAGTCTCGCTCTGTCACCCAGGCTGGAGTGCAGTCGCCCAATCTTGGCTCATTACAACCTCCGCCTCCTGGGTTCTTGCAATCCTCCTGCCTCAGCCTCCCAAGTAGCTGGGACTCCAGGTGCGCACCTCCGTCCTGGGTTAATTTTTTGCATTTTTAATAGAGACTGGGCTTCGCCATGTTGGCCAGGCTGGTCTTGAACTCCTGACCCCAGGTGATCCACCCGCCTCAGTCTCCCAAAATGCTGGGGTTACAGGCGTGAGCCTCCGTGCCCAGCCCCATCAGCATGGCCTCTGCTGGAACATCCCACTGTGTCCTGGGCATGGGCCGCAGTTTGACCATGACCTCCTGATAGACTGCAGCTCTGGACACCAGATTTGCCCATACCACTCTTTAGCAGGACCTACCTTTGTCCCTCATAAACTCCCTAGCAGCATGGGGAAGCTCCACCATCCTCCAGAATGGTTTGCCTGGTCTGTGCAAGTAGCTTTCTTTCTTTCTGTTTTTAGTTTTTGGAGATGGAGTTTCACTCTGTGGCCCAGGCTGGAGTGCAATGGCGCCATCTTGGCTCACTGCAACCCCCACCTCCCGGGTTCAAGCGATTCTCCTGCTTCAGCCTCCTGAGTAGCTGGGATTACAGGCGTGCACCACCACATCCAGCTAATTTTTGTATTTTTAGTAGAGACAGGGTTTTACCATGTTGGCCAGGCTGGTCTCGAACGGCTGACCTCAGGTGATCCAGCTGCCTTGGCCTCCCAAAATGCTGGGATTACAGGCGTGAGCCACCTCACCCGGCCGCAAGTAGCTTTCTAGAACACTCACTGCCTCTGGACAGTCCTACATTTAGTTGAGCGGCGTCTTCTCCCCCACCCCACTCCCCGGATATGTGGACAGATGCCGCCGAATGCACTGTCTGGATGTGAGGCAGAAATATAATTATTTTCCTTTCTCATAAGGAAAAGCTAATTACTAGAAGGAATCCTAGCATAATTACACAGTTAGGCTTAGCGTCTTGGTACACATTGCTTCCTGGCAAAGACGTCCAGTTACCTTATAGCCATTTGTTGGAGGCAGGGGCGGCCATTTCTGATTCTCTCCTGCTCCCCTACCCCATTGTCTGCCCCTCACTGATGACCCCTTGGGGTGGGTAAACTGAGTCAGATGCCCAGGTAACAGGACCAGGGAGCAGTGCCTACAGCCGTCGGCTCCTCACTGTCCCTTGTAGGGGAGTTACCAGGCCACTCACACAGAGGGGAGAGCTGGTGCTCAGGGAGCCTGTGCCACTCGCTCGGGATCTCTCCTCTCCCTGTAGGAATTGAAGCTGGGATTGGAACCTGGGTCTCTCTGGCTGGAAAGCTTCCCCCTTTCTCCATGACAGCCTCGCCATGGGATGTTTGACTTAGCTGTCACAGTGCCCCATGTGGACGGCCAGGGAAGGAATGAGGAATGTGCTTCTCAGTGGGCCGGGCCAGGTAGGGGGAATATTTGCAGTGTGGTTGAGCTCCTACTGGCATGCCCTGGCAGAGAGGGTGGGATCCCAGGTGTGGTCCTGGGGGGTGGAGGGCAGCAGTGCCCAGCCCAGAGGGGGTGAGTGTGTCTCATCAGGGGTGCTTCCATCCCTGGGGGCCCACCCCATCCCAACACAGACAGGGAGGCAGCGCTCTACAGAGGAGGGCCAGCTGGCTTTAAAGTCTGTGGTTTTCTCCACAAGGAGAGATGGGCCAGGAGACAGTATGAGGATGTTCCAGGCAGAAGAAAGAGAAGAGCAAAGAATTGAGCAAAGGCCAAATACTGGAAGTGGGTCAAACTGGCAGGGGTGGAGTGGAGATGGAGGGTTTGGGGGGAAGTGGGGTGGAGGGGAGTGTTTTGTTGAGTGAGTGGTGACTACTGGCCCGGATCACATGGCACCACTGTGAGTTCTCATCTGGAAGGGGTGGAGCTGACTGCAAAGGTTCCTTCCTATTTGACACTCTGTAAGTCAATATTTAAAATATGCTTAAATAGTTAGAATGCTGTTTGGACACATTGATCAAGGATGTTAAACTATTCATACCCTTTGACTTAGTAATTCAACTTCAGGAAATCTTTCTGAAGAAAATAGACATATAAACAAGGATGTTTGTTACAGCATTGTTTATAACAGGGAAAAATTGGGAATAACCTAAAGATCCAGCACGAGGGGATTCACTGCGTAAACTCTATTACATCCTGACAACAGGTTTTCAGACAGTAGTTGAAAGGATGTTTGTGAAGACTTTATAAAAACAAATGGAAATGGTTATATCATAATACTATGGGGGAGAGACACCAAGAGGTCAAATGATGCATTTAGTCACAATGGTGAACACACACAGTCTCATAGAGCAACAGACATGGAACTAGCATACGGAAAAGCTAGAAAGAAGTATTAATGGTATTTGTCTTTGGTTGATGAAACTACAGGGAATTTAAAAACTATTTTACTTTGCTAATAAAAAGGACAAACTTGGCTTGCCAGGGTGGCTCACACTCATAATCCCAGCACTTCGGGAGGCTGAGGAGAGCGGATCGAAGAGTTCAAGACCAGCCCGGGCAACATGGTGAAACCCTGTGTCTACAAAAAATACAAAAATTAGTCGGGTGTGGTGATGTGCATTTGTAGTCCCAGCTACTCGAGAGGCTAAGGTGGGAGGATCGCTTGAGCCCAGGAGGCAGAGGCTGCAGTGAGCTGTAATTGTGTCACTGCACTCCAGCCTGGGTGATGGAGTGAGACCCTGTCTCAAAAGAAAAAAAGAAAAGATAAACTGTATTAATATGTTAAAAAAAGTTAAAACACAAAATAGGAGCAACAAAAACAGGACAAAAACTCTAGGACAAGGGCTGGACAATTCTCATTCCTCTCTGGCAGCTGCAGACTATGACTGGTCCATGCCTTGGCAGGAGACAGCCTCAGGCCATAGAAGAGACCTTGGAAACAGACAACCATGTAAGGAAGCTTTGGAGGTGGGGGTGATGGGGGACCTCAGACCGAAAGGCAGGTTTCTTAGTGAGTTCAACTCCCCTGAGGCTCTGACTGGAGCCGTCAGGTCGCACTGAATCTCAGGGGTCTGTCAGCACCTGCAGTGCCTGAGCTGACATGGAGAAAGTTGTGAGTCTATCTAGGGTTTTGCAAAATGTTAAAATGGCCTAATTTCTGTCTTTAAACTTCTTAGGACACAGTGGGAGGCCAAGTGGTTTGACGGTCGAGTTTAGACTGTAAGCTCAGAGAATCAGGCCCAAATCCTGCTTCTACTTCTTATTCCTCCTAAATTCTTGGGTTTTGTCTGTCAAAGAGGGAATTATAACCCAGGCTCCAAAGAGGTAGGCACAGGAATTTAAAGGAGGTCTTGTCTGCAAAGTGCCTGAAACAGAGGAGGGCTCAGCACCCGGTAGCTCACGTTTGCAGTACTCTTCTTAGCTAACAGGTAACCTGACTTCACTGCTTCTTTCTTTGTTGGTGAGAGGCGTTTTCCTGGTTGTGAGCAGTGGCTGTGACCATCCAGTTTTAAATTGGCCAGTTTGGTTAATGACATGGCCTAGCAGGCAGTCCTCATTGTGTGATGAGCACTAAATTAGTCCCACAAAGGAAATTGCTTTACTGATGTCCTGTACTGGTACCAATGAGAATCTTCTTCTCTCCCCAGGATAAAGCAGGTGGCCAATTGCTCCACGCTGCCGAAGGGTTTTACATGTCTGAGACCTGGAGGCAAAGCTGGCTTTTACAGGGGCTGGCTTGGCTCCTGGGGAGGTGAGCTTGTGTGCCCTTCTGACATGTCTTCCACCTGCTTGGCACCAGTTTAGTGAACACCTTTAGGTTCCATGGCTATGAGCAAAATCTTCCCATTGTTGCTAAATGGAGATTTCACAAAGGTTGATGACACGTATTTTCTGACCAAATGGTTCAGGGAAACCCTGAGAGCTCCAAGATGACCGAATAAGCTAGGGGCTTAGATGGCTAGGATTTTTGGGGTTGCAGGGGAGACTATGTTGTCTAGAAAGGCCTGCTAATTGATGCCTGCTATTCCACCATGCCAGCCCCAACTCTGCAGAGCCTTGAAGGCACTTAGGTCTCAGGTCTCTTTTTCCAAGGTAGACCATCTTGGGAAGGTCACGTCCTATACCATTACTGGTAGCTGTCATTAGGTCAGGTTAATAGGAATTAGTAAGGATAGAGTGCTGGCTAGGTCCTGAGAAGCATGGCCAGGCAAAAGTCAAACCAGACAGGAGAACAGCAGTGGAGACAACACAGACCAGCCCTCTCTGATCCCCTGGGATTTAGATTCCATCTGTTTTTAAGTGTAGTTTGAAGTTAAGCCTAAAGCATGATAATGATTAAGGTAGGAGAGAATCTAGGGAACCATCTTGCATGGGGGTGGGATGGGTATGGGATGGTGTCAGGGAGATAGTGAGTGACATTGGTGCATGATGCACAGGCAGGGGACATCGAGGGCTTGGCTGTTCAACTAGGACCTGAGGGGTGGCCGAGATGACCCTCCAGAGTCACTTTCAAGCCCAAATATTTGCCTTCCATTCTTAATGCAGCAGAGAAGTTCCTTCTGATTTGTTGATCTCTGGTTGATACCCGAGCATTGGGGTTGTCATGGAGTCAGGATCGACTGAGGAAAGTGAATTGGGAGCTGCCACAAAATCGGATTCATGCCCACATGGCTATTCATACATTTCATACATTCACATTAAATGCTGTCATGTGAGGACTCCTAACGTCCCTGTGCCTGGACTGTAAGTAGGAAAAGGACCATAGCATGTCTGGGCCATACTTTTTCAGATGGGGAGAGTGAGGTCCAGAGGGGAAGTGACTTCCCCACTGTGAGTCACAGAAATAATTCACCCCAGTCACCAGGCCCCTGTTTTCTTGGTTTCTAGACCCTCTATCTCCTTTTTGTGCCCTGAGTCTTGGATCACTCCCCCCAGGCAGGGCTCTTAGGCGTTTCCTGCCTCATGTGTACAATTGTGAGGATTTATTGTAGCTGGGATTTTGTTTCAAGCCTTTAATATGATTAGCAAACATCAAATATCAAAAGCTTATCTAGTAAACACCTCCCGTCCATGCCATGGATGTTATGGTCAGCTCTGGATTGAAGTCGAGTCACATTTCAAAACAGATGCAATTTCAAGAGGCCAGAGCGAGGCCGCCGCATCTGCTGGCTGTGATCTTTCGTGTGCAGTAAATGGCATTGTTGGAGAGCTGGGCTGTAAAACTCAGCCTGGTCAGCAGGACCTGCTCACAATGCAGGGAGCTTTCCGGGGGATTTTAAAAATGCAGTCGAGCACTCCGAGCCTGGTGGGCAGTCTGCCGGGGCAAGAACAAGCCGTCTGTTCAAGACTGGGATGTTCAAATCAAATATTTGTAATCTTTGACCAAAATTTAAGTGATACTCTTAGGAACCAGTGGGGTTTCCAGGAATGACTCTGTCAGGGGAGGAGGGAGGGAGATGGTGAGCGTTTGTAAAAGAAGACTATGGTGCCTCCCAAATCTCACAGTTTAAGCCAACAGAAGCACACTTCCATCCTTTTCCTAGACACGAGATTAAAAAAAAATTCTTTGTTCTATTTGTGAGTAAAAGTGCTGGAGGAATCTAAGGTCTGCTCAGTGGTGTTTCCCTTGGGTCCGTGGATATTGTGGCGAAGTGCAGTGCGTCTTGTTGGACATATCAAGACCAGAGGCTGGGCTCTGTCCCAGTGCCACTGAGCACTCCAGCTCTTCTTCACGGATGCTGGGTGTATTTATGTGAGCACATGTGTGTGAGAGAGCAGGAGAGTGGGTGAGTACATGGACTTCCGAAGGATTCCGATCGGTGCAGCTCAGCCCCTACCATGTCCAGGCCACTTTGCCCTTCCTGCTATTCCCATGGGAGGCAGGAGACACCCTATCTGGAGGACTAATGTTTCCCCAAGTACCACAGCCCATGGAGTTCAGTGACCCGTTCCAGCTGTTTCTGGCGGCAGCGCTGAAGCTGTCGGCAGCCCGGCGGGTGGCAGGGTGGGTTACACCGTGGAAAATGCCTTCCTAATGGGGCAACAGCTGCCACCGGCAAGAGCTCCAGGAATTGGTGTAATGAGAGAAATTGTTCTCTGCTGCTGGGTATGGCTGATTTCACCCATAAAGGAAGATTTGCTGCTTCCAACAGGGGAGGCACTCTCTTGTTTAGATTCCTGTAAGTCGATGAGGAGTGAGCTGTAGCCATGAGAAAGTCACCAAGGACTCTTGCAAGAACATGGGGCTTTGCTCTGTATTCTAGCTGGGGGTGAACTGGCCCAAGCTTGATACCATCTGCAGTGTACCGTGTTGCTGAAGTTCAAAGTCACCTGGGTTTCTCAAGGTGAATCCCAATCTAGGTGCTGCATCTGGGAGGGGGCAAGAGCAGAGTGAGAGGGCAGGGATCATTCTCACAGGACTGGAGGGTGGGACTGGAAGGGATTTCCACCTGCCTGCCACAGCCAGTGGCTCAGGGTGTTGACATTGCCACACTGACCATTGCTAAAGTCCAGTGAGGCTTCCCTCACTCCCTTCCTCCCTCCCTTCCTTCCTTCCTTCCTTCCTCCCTCCTCCCTGTCTCCCTCCCTCCTCCCTGTCTCCCTCCCTCCTCCCTGTCTTCCTCTCTCTCTCCTTCCTTTCTTTCTTCCATCCCTTCCCTTCCCTTCCCTTCCCTTTCCTTTCCTTTTCTTTCTTTCTTTCTTTCTTTCTTTCTTTCTTTTTCTTTCTTTCTCTTCCTTTCTCTTTCTTTCTTTCTTCCTTCCTTCCTTCCTTCCTTCCTTCCTTCCTTCTTTCCTTCCTTCCTTCCTTCCTTCCTTTTTAAACTTTTATTAAAGTTATTCAGGCACACTATTTAAAACTTCCCCAAGGCTTCTTGTGAAAAGCAGCAGTTTCCCCCACCCTCTTTCTTCTTGTTTCCTTTTCCCCAGAGGCAGTGACTTTTAACTCTCCTGGTTGAATCTTGTTATTTTCTTCCTCCCCTTTCAGCAACATATTGTTTCTTGATGTGACAGCTTTAGGAACAATCTGTACACTTTGCACCATGGAAGATGAACATTTAGCTTCTTTTATATCGGTCCCTGTCTCAATACCACTGGCGCCAGCGCCAGTGCCTGATCCTGAACTAGTTTTGCTACTTCTCAGACCCGGCTTCATCATGAAGGTCGGCGTTAGGGTTACTGATTATTTCCTTTTCTGCCCAGGTCTGTTTAACTGGTGGACACCAATCACCTTTCTGTTGCCTGTAGTGCTTTCCCACTGATAGAATTCCCAGTTCACCTACTACAACTAAATGACTCAGAAAAGTGTCCAGAGAGCTGGAGATGCAAGTGGGAGGAGGGGGTCCCTAGTCGTGCTCAAAGCACCTACTTTTCTTGCTAACTCTAAAGGAAGGAAAGCAAGGGCTTTCACTCTGTTCAACTCTGGACTCTGGGTTTGGGAGCATGATTTTTTTTTTTTAATTAAAAAAATGTGCCCATTACAGTAAATTTCTATTGATGTAAACATTGCAGTTCTCCTGACAATGGCCCTCACATCACAACTCTGGGCAGGGAAGAGCAAAGGGGCTCAAGCAATAGAATGGAGCCCAGACACTCGCAGCCAAGTGAGGATAAAACTATTTCTCAGTGAATGTGGAAAATGTGGAGTTAGGAGCTAAAATTACCCACGAAAAGGCTGACTGGTGCATGCAGACCCCAAAGCAATGCGATGTATTCCATAAGGCAGGGAATTCTTGGAAAACCTGTGTGTTGGTAAAGTGTGTCTTTCTCCACCTTTCTACCCCTGCAATACTGTGTGATAGAGAAACCTAGTTGAGATTAGAAATGCACTTTTCTCAGGGCTCAGGAGACCCAGGAGAGGTGGGCAGGGGACACATAAATAATAGAGGAGATATGGCAAATGCATTAGAAGTGAGCCATCTGTCCCTGCTGCAGAACTGAGCCGTGAAAATGTGATTCAACCACAAGCTCTCAGAACAGGGAAGGACCAGTTTACATTTATGACAGGCCCTGGATGGAGCATCGTGCTTGGCACAAAAGTGGATGCTTGAACCGAATTTGTCTTCAATAAATCAAACAGCTCATTTTGCAAATAAGTAAACTGAAACTCAAAGAATTAAACTGGCATGTCCCGGGTCATGCAGCAGGTTCATGGTGGGGCTAGTAGAGCAGCCCAGATCCCCTGACTCCTCTACTCCCTGCACCTCTTCTATTGATTCATTCAGCACAAACCTGTGCCAGGTACTGTGTAAGATGCTAAGGAGTAAAAACGCAGAAGAGGCTGGGCGTGGTGGCTCACACCTGTAATCCCAGCATTTTGGGAGGCTGAGGTGGGTGGATCATCTGACGTCAGGAGTTTGAGACCAGCCTGGCCAACATGGAGAAACCCCATTTCTACTAAAAATACAAACATTAGTCGGGAATGGTGGCGGATGCCTGTAATCCCAGCTACTTGGGAGGCTGAGGCAGGAGCACTGCTTGAACCTGGGAGGTGAAGGTTGCAGTGAGCTGAGACGGTGCCATTGCACTCTAGCCAGGGTGACAGAGTGAGACTCTGTCTCTAAATAAATAAATAAGTAAAAAGACAGAAGACCAGACTCTGTGTCAGAGGAGCTGAGAGTTTGGCTGGGAGGCCACAAGTAAACAAATAATTACGGAAGTGTGGAATGCTGTGATGGGACGAACTTATGCAAAGGACTTTGGGAAAATGGAGAAGGGGGAATTAATTTAGATTAGGAATCAAGGTGGGGGGGGGCTCCCAGAGGAAGTGATAATTGAATTTGATCATGAAGGATGAATCAACTCAGCCCAAACGAATATGGCCAGACTTCCATTATACGCTCTGTTGACAGAAGATGCCAGGACAGCTGGGAGGAAAGGGTCTGGAGGCAGGGAGATCAGGGAGGAGGCTCTCGTACTTCTCCAGGTGAGAGAAGACATCAGCTTGAACCAGCAGGACAGTGGCAGGGAAATGTGAAGAAAGGGAAGATTTGAGAAATACCTTGGTCCAAGAGGTGCATCACCCTGTGGTTGGCTGGAGGAGGGTGGGAGAGGGAGGGCCTAGGCTGACTCCCAGGGTCCTGACCATCCAGGTATTTGCCTGGATGGTGATGCCATTCACTGGAATGGAGGACACAAGAGATGATGAGAGAGGTTTTTGGGGAAAAAGGGTAAGTTCAGGTTTGAGCTCCCAGCATTTGACATAGGTGGACATGGGTGAGAAATCTAAGAAAAATATTCAGCAAGCAGTTGAACTGAAGGCTTTTAAATACAGAAGAGAGAAATTGGAGGTGTAGATGGTTGTCAAAGTCATAGAAAAGGAGTGGTATCCGTCAGGGGCACGTGCAACAACAGAAGAAGCTTGAGGGCAGAACCCCGAGGAACACCAACATGTTGGGGGGGGACACGTAAAGGTGTCTGCAAAGGAGAACCCAGAGACATAGGAGGACCTGCTGTCAAGGAGAGAAAGTTGATTTCAAGAAGGAGGTGATGGTCAATGTGTCTAATGCAGCAGGAAAGTCTAGGAAGGAAAAGACTGGTGAAGCCCATTGGGTCAGGCAATGTGGTGGAGAGTGAACACCAGAATTCGGTAGAGCAGTGCACCTTTGGGAGCCAACTTTCATGTCATACAGACACTCTCTCTGGCCTTGGGATGAACAGAGGATACCAATCTGCAGTCCTAGCTCCTAGAGACCCATGGAAGAGCTGACCTAGCAGGCCAGGGGATGGATTCCAGCCCAAGCTGAGGCCAAGCCAGTTTGACTGATGAGGAAATAGTGTCCATTTCTTCTTCTTGACAACTCTATACCCTGGTGAATGTTTTTTCTCCCCACTCTGACTGGTGTACACATTTATGAGCATCCAGTGCCCAATGTTTGCTGCTCTTTCTAGGTGGAGATTCACCAGAATGAGATATTGCAGAACCAGGATTCAAAGGTAAGGCCCACAGTCCACAGAGTTTTAAATTTTTTTTAAATTAATTAATTAATTAATTAATTTTTTTCAGACAGAGTCTCGCTCTGTCCCCCAGGCTGGAGTGCAGTGGCGTGATCTCAGGCTCACTGCAAGCTCTGCCTCCTGGGTTCACGCCATTCTCCGGCCTCAGCCTCCCCAGTAACTGGGACTACAGGCACCTGCCACCGCGCCCGGTGAATTTTTTGTATTTTTAGTAGAGATGGGGTTTCACCCTGTTAGCCAGGATGGTCTCAATCTCCTGACCTTGTGATCCTCCCGCCTCGGCCTCCCAAAGTGCTGGGATTACAGGCGTGAGCCACCATGCCCGGCCGTTATTTTTAAACTCTCTAACAAGATCTCCTTCCTGATGGGAAGACTGAGCTAAGCAGTTTCATTTCTTCTTTTCTTGAATAAATCCACTGGCAAATCTTGTATGTGTGATCTCTAAACCTTGGGTTAGATGAGGACCTTGCATTTATTCTTTGGATGAGAAAAATAAATGGCAAAGATGGGCCCCAGATAGACATGTGGGGTATGTTATACATATTTCTGCTTGTTTGTGTAATAAGCCATTTAGGAACCAGACAGATAAAGGGTATGTGTATTTTCCACAGATTATTTCCAGATTTTTACTCATTTAATAGTTTCCTATGAGTGTCCATGGTGGGGTGGCTGGAGAGCCAGTTTTGACTTTGACCCAAATGGCGCTTAAACCTTTTCATTAAAATTCTGCTCTTCTAAAAAAAATCAGAGGAGTTTGAATTGTCACGTCAATGAAACAAGACCATTCAAGACTAGAGAAAAGAGACATGGGAATATCCTGTGTGGGGAGAGAGAAAAGCATCACAGGTAGTTGGGATAAGGTAGAATTGCAGGTGAGAACTACCTTTGTTAAGCTTCTTGATCCCAAGGCAAGAAGGAAAACGAGCTGGTTGTATAATTGTCTACATTGAAATTACATAAATACAATCAGCAATGATTTTAGAGATTGTATAATTGTATATTTAGACAAAAGGGCTGGTATGGAGGACAAGGAGCCCCACTGGCTTCAACACTCCCATCTGCCCCCATCCTGGTATAGGGCTTCACGAAAAAGTGTAAGTCACTTTTCTCATTTAGCCACTTCATTTCACAGATGGGGTAACTGAGGCCAAAGAAGTGAATGCATTTGCTCAATGTCATTCAGTTAATTGGTGGGTGAACTGGGACTAAATTCTGAGTCTTCTGCCTGCTTTTCTATCTATAGTCATTTTATGAGTCTTCAAGAAAATCTATTATTTAAGGTTTGATTCTTATTAAATCCACTAAACATTGGCCAATCTCATCATTCAGAGGTAGGTCCTATTAACATTCAGACACACACAAACGCAAACACAATTTATAGGTTATATATCCATTTATTTTTGCCTTTCTTGACTTAACATTATATCATAGTTTCTCATATTGTTACACATTTTTCTTTGACTGTGATTTTTAATATTTATATCAGGTATTGCTGGGTGTAGTGGCTCATGCCTGTAATCCTAGCACTTTGGTAGGCCGAGGCTGGTGGATCACTTGAGGTTAGGAGTTCGAGACCAGCCTGGCCAACATGGTGAAACCCCTTCTCTACTAAAAATACAAAAATTAGCCAGGCATGGTGGCAGGCACCTGTAGTCCTAGCTACTAGAGAGGCTGAGGCAGGAGAATTGCTTGAACATGGGAGGCAGAGGTTGCAGTGAGCCAAGATCGTGCCACTGCACTCCAGCCTGGGAGACAGAGAGAGACTCTGTCTCAAAAAAAAAAAAAAAAAAAAAGATATTACTATAAGGATATATCATATAATAAACTATTGGAAGGATTGGCTGTCTTTTATCCCCAGGTAAAATCTGTTTAAAGACATGCACATCTGCCCAGCCTTCTGGGGGAAACAACCCCAGGAAAATTTTCCAGCTCTGAAAGCTCAGCTCACCTTCCATATAGTGATATTTGAGAGGATGACCTGTAGCTTCTGAATTCCAGGGAGTAGCTTCCATTATTTCAATACTTTTGGCCAATGTCTTCCCACAGCTTTATTTCCACAACCACGGCTTGGCTTGCTGTCTGGGCTGGAAGCACTCAGTGCTTCCTCACTCAGCTGAGGAGCAAGGGGAAAGCCACTGACTTATCCAGCATCAGTAGCGGAATGTCCGAAAGAGTTGGGCATTGACCAAAGAGGACATCGATTCTTTGGGATTTAGAAGGGCTAACATAAAATCGATTCCTACAAGACTAACAAATTGGGAAAGAATAAGGAATGGTGTTCAGAAAGATGACCTCAGTCATGGCCAGGCCTGAAAGCACCTCCGAATCATCAGAGAAAAATTGCACTGCTGCCAGGGTGGTTATAATGTCAGGTTCTGTTTATGATGTCTGGATGCCTTGAAAATTAATCATTTAAGAAAAAACATTATTTATTTATGACCCATACTCTACTCCCCTGCTCTATCCCTCCCCACCTCCTTAAAGGCAACACATTTTGGCACTTTAAGTTGGTTTTTCCATTTTCTATATGCTTCTATTGGTATTTTTAGATTTATTAATGCCAGGCATTGTGCATATTGACTGCAGGTGCGCTTCTGGTGGATTACATGTGTTACTGATTCTTTTTGTTTTTTGAGACAGAGTCTTGTTCTGTCACCCAGGCTGGAGTGTGGTGGTACAATCATGGCTCACTGCAGCCTTGACCTCTTGGACACAAGTGATCCTCCTGCCTCAGCCTCTGGAATAGTTGGGACCACAGGTGCACACCACCATGAAGGGCTAAGTTTTTTATTTTTTAAATTTTTTGAAGAGACGGGTTTTGCTATGTTGCCCAGGCTGATGTCAAACTCCTAGTCTTGAGCAATCCTCCCACCTTGGCCTCCTAAAGTGTTGGAATTACAGGCATGTGCCACTGTGCCTGGCTGTATTACAGATTCCTGATGGAGCACCAGAATACAGAGTGAGATATTACAGAACTAGAATCCAGGAAAGAATAGTTAACCATCACACGACTTGAGTAGACTTGAGGAGTTCAATCTGTCATAACTATTCCCCTCAATTTCTCTCTTTCTATTCTCCCCATAATGCTCACTTTACAATTTGAAGTTAAATTGATAGTATTTACATTTTTACTATGAAAATATTGTTCACTGAAGAAACAAGTACTGTATGAGTACCTCCCTTTTTAAATAGAATATTTTTGTTTCTTTTGGAGCTAATAATTTTTTCATTTTTTTCTCTTTTGACTTGAATAGTACTACGTACATATTTTTCTGTTTAATTGAGCTTGTTAATCATTTTCTTTTGCCAGTGCTTATATAAAGCAGATAATCTGCCAGTTGCATTTTCCCACCTGTAAAACTCCCTCCCGTAGCGCTCCATCTTCTGCTCCGGTTCTGAATGACTGTTTTTTGAGCCTAATATGCAGCTGTCATCCTGGGATGTGGTAGACTGCTTGTTAAACATATTCACTGCACCTTCTTGCATGGGGATTATATTTCTGTGTCCCATTGATACCTGGCTTTGTCACGTAATTTGCTTTGGCCAATGAAATGTAAGTAGAAGTGTAAGTAGTGTGTATCACTCTGGAGAAGGAACTTTAGAACCAGGAAATGGTTTATCATGGTCTCTTTTATTTTCTGCCATGACAGTTGTCAATGTTTCAGATAGAGAATGCTAAGTCAAGTCAGATCTGGGGTAAAGAGGACATGGAGCAGAGCTATAGCCAACCCACAATGGACATGTAACAAGAAGAGAGCCTCTGTAGTTGTATGCTACAGCCTGAACTGGCCTATCTTGTTTAGGCCACACAATTGATGATTGTAGCCTTCCTGCTTTGGCAGTTGCTGTGTTCTGAATGTTTGTGTCCCTCCATAACTTGTATGTTGAAATCTAATTCCCAATACAATGGGGTTAAGAAGTGGGGCCCTTAGCAGGTGATTAGATCATGAGGGCAGAACTCTCAGGAATGGGATTAGTGCCCTTATAAAAGGTCCAAAGGAGCTAGTTTGTCCCTTTCACCATGTAAGTATACATAGAAGGCACCATCTATGAGCAATGGGACCTTACCACCCATTGAGTCTGTTGGTACCTTGATCTTGGACTTCTCAGCCTCCAGAACTGTGAGCAACAAATTTCTATTGTTTATAACTTACCAGTCTAAGGCATTTTGTTATCGCGGCCCTAACATACTAGGACAGCTGGTCTGTTCCTAGCTTGCTTGCTTGCTTATTGTTTAATCTATTGTTTTGATGGAGCATAACCTATTCCAGCTTCCTAAGAAATGGTGCACAGAACATAAAACTTGTGAGTTCTTGCTTAACTAAAATTTCCTTTCTTCTATCTTCACATTATTTGGCTAGTTTGGTTGGGTATAGTGGTCTATGTTAAAATTACTTTTAGAATTTTGAAGATGTGGCTTCTTTGTTTTCTAATATTCTGTGTTGCTGTTGAGAAGTCTGATGCCATTTTGATCCAATCCTTGGAAGAAAATTTTAATTTTTTTCCATAGAGGCTTTAAATTTTTTCCTTATCCCAATGAGTTGAAATTTTACTCTGATATAACTTTCTATGGCTGTTTTCTCATCATTTTTTTTCCTGTATACTTTCAATCCTGGAACTCGTGTTCTTTCCTTCTAGAAAATTTTTTCAAAAATAATGATTATGTCTTTGATAATTTCTCCTCTCTGTTTTATCTTTCTGTAATTAGCATTAGTCAGATGTTAGATATTCTGGATTGATCCTGACATTTCAACTTTTCTTTCCTATGTTCCAACTCTGTTATTTTAAAAAAAAAGGATATTTGAAGATTCCTTATTTTCTGGTCTTTCTATTAAGTTTTCTATTTTAGCTGTGTTGTCTAATTCATAGGAATTTACAAGAGAATACAGAGGAGATGACTTTGGGAATTTAATTTATGACGTTTAGATTTAAAATTTGCATAAACCTTGAAATTGCTGATGTTGGTGTCTTCCACTTCGCAATACCACCCCGCAGTTCACAGATGAGAATGATAATTTCCAGAAAAGAAAATGACTTAAAGTAATAGCACGTCCTCCTAATTCTAGGTCAGCTTCTTTCCACCCCCAATGTTGTGCCTTTTCGTCTTACTGTAGCTGAAACTTTATTTCAATTCTAATAAAGGACACTTTTAAAATTAGCTTCTGAATGGAAGGAAGCAATGAAGATTGGTTAGGGCATCATTGAAAAGCAGGCACTTGGCCGGGTGTGGTGGCTTACGCCTGTAATCCCAGCACTTTGGGAGGCCGAGGTGAGCGGATCACAAGGTCAGGAGATCAAGACCGTCCTGGCCAACATTGTGAAACCCTGTCTCTACTAAAATACAAAAAATTAGCTGGGCATGGTGGTGGGCACCTGTAGTCCCAGCTACTTGGGAGGCTGAGGCAGGGGAATTGCTTGAACCTGGGAGGTGGAGGTGCAGTGAGCCAAGATCGCACCACTGCACTCCAGCCTGGTGACAGAACAAGACTCCATCTCAAAAAAAAAAAAAAAAAAAAAAGAAAAAAGAAAAGCAGGCACTTATGTGGTGGTGAGCTAGCATCACTTGGGGCTGAGATGAAAATCCAATGCCTCTCTGGCTCTGACTCACACGGAATCTGTCGAGTTGTTTCATTTTTTTAGACATTGGTTTCTTCATCTACAAATTGAGGAGGTGGGAGTAGGTCTTTGCTCTTCAAACTCTTGAGGTTCCATGGGGTGCCTAGGGCCTTAAGGGCTTGGGGAGGGGGCGGAATGAGGGAAAGGGAGGTAGGGCTCTGGGTCCTTGCTCAGCTTCACCTGAACAGTTCCACTTAGTCCCGTTTTATGTATTTGGTTTTCATGTAGGCTTTTGTTGCTAAAAAAGGTTTTGTGACTAAATGTTTGGGAATCACTTCACCAACCTTCTGTAGGTTTTCTTTTGGCATTGTACTTTTCCGGTACTCTGATTAGAGATGTTCTTTTAGGCTCTCAACTTTGACTGGCTGAAACTTATAAGCCATCAAGCTCTCTGGCGTTCCTATAAATTAGGATGCATGTGGAGGTAATTACCATTCTGGAATTCTAAGCCCTGGAATCCTGGTCAATTCTTTTTTTATTATTTTATTTATTTTATTTATTTACTTTTCTGAGACAGGGTCTGGCTCTGTAACCAAGGCTGGAGTGTAGTGGCATGATCTCTGCTCACTGCAACCTCTGCCTCCTGGGCTCAAGCGATCCTCCTACCTCAGCCTCCTGAGTAGTTGGGACTACAGGTACATGCCACCACGCCTGGCTAATTTTTGTATTTTTTTGTAGAGATGGGCATTTTGCCATGTTGCCCAGGCTGGTCTTGAACTACTGAGCTAAAGTGATCTGCCCACCTCAGCCTCCCAAAGTGCTGGGATTATGAATACTAGTCAATTCTTAAACTGTCTTTCAAATCAATAGTCTCACTGCAGACACTGTCACTCAATACATATTATCAATGCCAACACAATGGGAAACTGGATCCTGCCATTTTCTTGATTAGATAGTAGAGACAGGCTGGATCCTGCCATTTTCCTGATTAGATAGTAGAGACAGGCTAAAGTAGAGTCTTAGCTGTCATTCTGCTGTCGGGGTCCTGCTTCCCTCCACGGAGAATCAAAGTCTGGATGTCAGACTTTGTTCCCTTGGCTGAGGAGAGGGACAGAAGAGACCAGCTTGTAGTCCCTTGCCCTTGGGAAGGAAACTGGTTTTCTGCTCTGTTCAACCATGTTTACTAATCATTAAAGGAAACAATAGATGTAGGCCAAATGCTGGTATCAGATGAGAGGGTTGAGAGTGAGCAGATCAGTGTCGGAGCCTGGGATTAAGGAAGTCAAGGTCAGCAGTGGATCCCTCGGAGGCCCAGAGAAATGGCTTGGTTAGGGCACGTCTGCTACCTGGGGTGGGGGAGGCAGAGATTCGCTTCAAGATGAATCGCATTCGCCTTAGAATTAGAATGCCCTTCCTAGAAAGCCCTTAGAGATTATGTGATTAAACCTCCTTATCTTACACATGGAAAAACTAAAACCTATAGAAGGGACACCTCTTGCCTGTGGTCACCCACAATTAATGTTTTATTCCTCCCAGTCCACACTTGTGCAGTCCTCACATATCTCTGAACAGGGACTGGGTACTTAAATTAGGTAACTGGCAAGGAGGTTTTTTTGAGAAGGGAAGGTGAGGGAATTTTTCGACCTTGTGCCATTGCTTGAGAGGCAGAAGCCAACACACCATTAGTTAAACCCAGACCAAATTCATCAGCTTGTGAGACTCTAGACCCCACACCTGTCTAAGGACTGCAAAGAGCAGTCAGTGTACATAAGAATTCCCTCCTGCCTCCTGTGATTCTCAGCCCTCACCAGCCTGGGCCCATTGGTAAATTTATCTTGAGTTAAAAATACTGCTTCTACCACCAGCACACGCCAAATAGAGTCCTTGAGACACCTATGCACTGAAGCACCTACACGGTGTTTAGCACTGATACGGTACTCTGCCCTTTCTGAGCCTGGTAGTCTGGCTGTCTGATAGGAGCAGGGAACCCACAGATATCATCTACTTCCGTAAAATTCGTTCAATTAATGAGCATCCACCGGGAGAAGAAGGATCATTTTCAGCCTCCCTGACCACAGGCTTTGGTTTCAGGACAATGCAGACTGGGCAGCAGATCAAATAAAGCCATCACCAGCGCATAGGACAGTCTCAAGGGGGTTAACTGTCCCTGTCCTCTACAATTGTTGCTGGGGAGCAATTTGCCCTTGAATCTTCCATACTGTCCCTAAATTGACAATTTCATTTCCTTCCAATCCCGCCCCCTGCCCTGAAGATCTGCTGAGGCTGCGAGTTCCATGTGAGAAGGCAGGAGGATAATAGGTGAGTTCCATCCATCCGTCAGCCATAATGGTCGCGGACACTCCACGCCTTTTGTCTGCTGGTTTCCCTGAGGATGCAGGCTAGGGACCTGGGGTATTTACACTGCCTTTATGTGTGTGGTTTTTAAATCAGCCCTCTTGTTTACTTCCCAGCCTTTACCCAGGCTGTTTACTACCTTTGGAGGGGCCAGGCCACTAAGTCAACATGCATTAAGACCCAACATCAAAATGTCATAATGCGAATGAGCAGAATTCTGAAAGGCCAGGGACATTGGCTGCTCTGTTGGGTCCTGTTTAGTCTGAGGGTAATGAAGAGCTCACAGATGACCTGATTTCATTAAACTAGGTCAGACTCAGCTGAAAAGCGGCTATGACTCTCACCCAGTTATATAGCCAGCTCTTCCTCTCTCCCTGCCTCCCTCCGCCCCCACCCCCACCTCGGGGCTTGAATGCTTTCTGGGAATTAACGCTGAGTTTTGTCAATACAGTAGCTAAATCTCCATGGAATAATTGGACCTTTCCCTTCGGCTTCTGTTTGCGCAGTGGCAAGGCCAGGCATGGGAGAGAAGCGGGTGGACTTTAACGCAGCATGTATGATTCAGTTGTAGCAGTTTGCTTTTGAGCCAGACATTCTGAGTTACAGCATCTTATCTGAGGGCTGTATTGACGGAAGCAGCTGAACTGACTCAAAGAGGAGTTATCATGCAAACAAGGCTTTCAATGTGTCCAGGCTCACCAGCAACACACGGGCCCTCTGCATCTTCAGAAGCCTCCTGGTGGGGAGTAGGAAAGGGACCAGGCAGAGGGTGGAGGCAGGAAGGAGTGGTGTCTGAAGGCTGCTGAGGGAGGAGAGGTGGTCCTCCCCCGTCCCTCCTTGCCAGGGAAAGACTGAGTCTGTGGTGGGCATTCCAGGCAGGCAGAATTCACTTCATCCATACAGAAGAAAGCATTTCTAACAATTAAAACTGTCTGAAGATTGGATGGGCTGTCAGATGAGCTCACTTATACTTTATTAAGCACCTACTATGTCTCAGACTTTATGCTGGGGACCTTGCTCTGAGCTCTGCAACATCTCAGTTCATAAGAGATGAGGAAACCAAGGTTTAGAAGTAAGTGACTTATGTAAGGTACCAAAACTAATATGAGGCAGACACAGGATTTGAACCCAGATCTTTCTATGTCCATGCTCCTTCCACTGTCCCCTCTGCCCCCACCTCTTGTTCAGGGCACATGGGGGATGGCTTATTTTTGCTCCATGATGTCTGAGGCCTTAGCTATGAGACTCAAAGTTTGGGGACTGAGATCACTGAAGGCTTGCTGCGTCACATGCCTGGTGGTGAATGCTGGCTGTTGGCTGGGGGTCTCGGTTCCTCTCCACATGGACTTCAGTGTGTGGACTCTCCATGTGGGTTGCTTGGGCTTCCTCACAGCATGGTGGCTGGGTTCCAAGGGTGAGCGTCCCAAGACAGAACATAAAGTTGGAACACTTTTTCAGTCTATGCTTGAAAGTCACACAGTGTCACTTCTGCACATTGGTATTAGATAGAATTCATTAGAAGCAAGTCACTAAACCTGCCTCATGTTCCAAGGGGAGGGAAATTAAACTCAATCTTTTTTTTGTTTGTTTTTACGATAATACCTTTAAACAATTTTTCTGATTATAAAAGTAATGCATGAGTAAGGCAAAAACTCCAAACATTGTAATGTAGAGCGTATGACACCCTTATGCTAAATTCCCAAATGAAAGAATCATCAATATGTGTCGTTTTCTTGTTGCTTTTTGTATATTACTATTGCTTTTTGAATATTACTATTTGTATTAGGGTTCTCTAGAGGGACAGAACTAATAGGATTGAAGTATATATGAAGAGGAGTTTATTAAATAGTGTTGACTCACACGATCACAAGGTGAAGTCCCACAATAGGCCATCTGGAAGCTGAGGAACAAGGAAGCCAGTCTGAGTCCCAAAACCTCAAAATTAGGGAAGCCGACAGTGCAACCTTCAGTCTGTGGCGAAGGCCTGAGAGACCCTGGCAAACCACTGGTGTAAAGTCCAAGAGTCCAAAAGCTGAAGAACTTGGAGTCTGATGTTCAAGGGCAGGAAGCATCCAGCACAGGAGAAAGATGAAGGCCAGAAGACTCAGCAAGTCTGCTCTTTCCATCTTCTCCTGCCTGTTTATTCTAGCTGCGCTGGCAGCTGATTAGATGGTGCCCACCCAGATCGAGGGTGGGACTGCCTCTCCCAGTCCACTGACTGAAATGTTAATCTCCTTTGGTAACACAGACACACCCAGGAACAATACTTTGCATCCTTCAATCCAATCAAGTTGACACTCAATATTAACCATCAAACTATTCTAAGTAGTCGTATGACATGATTAAAGTGGTATTTTGGAAAGATCACTTTGGTGGCAGCAGTAATTAGAGGGAGAGAAACTGAAGTCCAGGAGACTACCTAGGGGTTAGCATCATTATTTAACAAATGTATGAATACCTTCAATGTTGGCTTCTCATAGTCAAGTCTGAAGATAATAGGGGACTGCTTTAGGGGAACAGAAAAAATTAAAGAGGAATGGATGAATTCAAGAGACACTTTCAAGGAAGATTCATTAGGGTTAGTGACTGGATTGTGATTGGGGCAAAGGAGAAAGAGGAGCAAAAGGTGCCTGGGGATTTCAAGTGTGAGTTTTTGGGAGAATCACCCATTATCAGCTCGAGGCAAGTCAGGGATGGAAGCTCAGTTTTGGGGAGAGAGATGAATGGGATGTATTTGGACTGAGCTGTCAGAAATCACTATGTTTAGGAGCTAAGCAGAGAAGCCACTCAAAGCAATAGGCAAAGAACAGCCAGGTTTGGGAAGACAGAAGCAAGAGCATGCAGGCCCAGAGCAGAGGGGAAGAGATTCAGAGAGGGTGGCTACGGTGCCAGGTGCCGTAGACATCTCAGAGAGAGTAAGGCTTGGGAAAGGTGATGGGCATATAGAGCGAGCAGTCATGGTTGACTGAGCATCCTTGATGCCAGTGAAATGGCAGAGGCAGAATCCAGATTATAAAGGCAATAAAGAATATTAACAGCCCTAAACTCAATCTTTTGATGAGAGGAGTGGCAAGGTTCTAGAAACACACATGGAACCAGAAGTATTGCTGAGGGCTTTTTGGGAAAATACAACCTAAAACAATATTCAAAATCCTTAAGCTCGTGTTCTAATATGTAAGAGGCTGAAAGACTACCTCCTAGGGTTGTAGGCTTAAGCCACAGGTTTCCCAGACTTTTTGGATCATGGTGCTCCTAGGCCAAAAAAATATGTAACTGTTCTGTTTAAGTGTTTATATATATATATATATATATATAGTATCTCCTAATGAATTAGTAGGTATTTGAAATAATACTGATAAATGGAAAGAAAAAGTACTGTCTTTATTTCTTTCACAAATAACTACAACTCACAGGATATGTGAGCCAGTTGGGCCCTATGCACCTTCTCAGATCTTGGAATCTGATGGGCCACTACCACCTTCACCGCCCGTTCCACATTGGTTTTCACACTGCACGTGCCTGTTATCCCTGCAACCACCTCAAACTCAGCTTTGCAAGGATATGATGTCCTTGAAAGGGATGCAGCACAATCTAATGCTGAAACGGTGAGCAGCCTGGAGCTCAGAGCTGTATGTTGCCCTGTGGGTGTTGGGTATGGCTTCTACATTTAAAATACTCTTCAGGTTGGGCATAGTGGCTCATGCCTGTAATCCCAGCACTTTGGGAGTCTGAGGTGAGTGGATCACCTGAGATCGGGAGTTCAAGACCAGCCTGGCCAACATGGTGAACCCCATCTCTACTAAAAATACAAAATTAGCTGGGCATGGTGGTCCATGCCTGTATCCCGGCTACTTGGGAGGCTGAGGCAGGAGAATCGCTTGAACCCAGGAGGTAGGGGTTGCAGTGGGCTGAGATCGCACCACTGCACTCCAGCCTGGGCAACAAGGACGAAACTCTGTCTCAACAAAACAAAACAAAATGGAAAAAAAACCAGCTCTTTAGTGCTCTTGTGAGTTTGCTGTGGGCCTCAGGGTACCTCATCACACAGTTTGAGAAGTGTGGGTTTAAACATAGTAGATCCAGAATGAGGGACTATTTAATGTGCCAAAGTGATAGTTTCCTAACACATACCAAACTTCCTAACAAGGTTATTCAGATTTCACATGTCTAGGATATATTGAACTTGGATAATTCAGAGTCGAGGGCAGTGAAGGTGATTTGTCCAAATTGATGAATTTTTAGGAACTGCCTTGGCTTTCATATATAACAGGTAAGAGACAACAATCTCCTCCCCTTATCTCAGGGAAGGTGAGCTATGAGTTATATACTGTCTTTAAGAAATTGACAATTGCCCTGAAAAATGTCACACATAGAGACTGAGGGAAAGATAGGAGGGGAAATGCGATGCATATATAGGTTGAGAAAATTGCCCAAGCCATGTAACATGGGTAGAAAAAAACAGAGCAATGTTTCATTCCCAGCTTACCTCAAGAACCTTCCCACTATCGCTGGGCATGGTGGCTCACGCCTGTAATCCCAACACATAGGGAGGTAGACGCAGGTGGATCACCTGAGGTCAAGAGTTCGAGACCAGCCTGGCCAACATGGTGAAACCCCGTCTCTACTAAAAATACAAAAATTAGCTGGGCATGGTGGCGCATACCTGTGATCCCAGCTACTTGGGAGGCTAAGGCAGGAGAATCACTTGAACCCGGGAGGTGGAGGTTGCAGTGAGCCGAGATTGCACCATTGCACTCCAGCCCGGGTGACAGAGTAAGACTCTGTCTCAAAAAAAAAAAAAACAAAAACCTTCCTAGTATCCTAGAGTGCTACCCAATATAAGATGAAATTTTACATGAACTGGAAACAATTAGGATAAACCCACCCAACCTCCACAGCAAAGTAGTTTCTGCAACTCCCAAAGTTAAATGAACCTAGAACATTGACATATTTTCCAAAGCAATTTCTTATTTAGCTCAGAACTTTATATGTGACCTCAATAAGGTCATTTTATGGCTCTTAGTTTCTTTAAATAGAACACCAAAGTTGTAAAAAGGCGCATTTTTTCTCTAAGGTTACTTAGCAAATTGCAAATGAAAGAGGAAATATACATGCGACTAGAGAGTTCATCACCTTACTGCACTAGAAAATATGGCCCAATTTCTCTCTCTCTTTCTTGTTCATAATTCTCAGACAAGACAATAGGAGTCATGTGATGTGACTGAGAAATTGGGCCAGTTAAAAATAGAAGGTGCACTTCACCAAGTTTGTTAGAAAGTGGAAGTTTCATTGCTGATTGCTGTTCATTTATCTCTGCCTGCCACATCTGTGAGGGAGTGGGGCAAGAGACAATTGCAGATTCTGAGGGCTGGAGCCCCCACACCCCCCTCTTTCTATTTCCTGGCCCGGCTAAACAGCAATGCCCAGGAGCTCAACTGAGCCCCGTGCACTCTCTCTCTTGGTCCTCAGGGAACTCTCTTCTCTGGTTGGCAGCAGTTTTAGTTGGGAGAAAGCTCTAGCTGGCTCCTCGTTCCTCCCAATGGGAGTGCTCAACGTCAGCTTTTCTAAATGGGAAATGAAGGTCTCCAGCCTCACGTATGCAACATAGTGTCTGTACTTTTGCCCTTGCAGAGTTCTGAAAGTCTTCACAAGCCTTGCCTGCATAGCAGCTGGCAGGTGGGAGAGGAGAGAGGCCACACTGAGACCTGCCAGTTTCATAAATGGAACTGAGTCCTCCCCTCACCAGCTCAGAGTGAGCACCCACCATGGGTCCAGCAATGCCTGGGGCCCCAGATCTAGAAAGCACGATGATATACACTTGCAGGCCTTGCAGGGTTCCCAGGACAGAGGGTCCGAGGAAGGCCAGGCCAGGCCCAGAACTCCCAGACCTGATTCCCTCTGATGGTGGTCAATATTCTTCACATTAGGGTTTGCAAATTGTTTCATTTAACCAGGTATTCTCGCCTCCTCCCCACTTTTTTTTTTCCACTTTCAATTTTTATTTTAGAATCAGGTGGTACATGTGCAGATTTGTTGCAAAGGTATATTGTGTGAGGCTGAAGTTTGGAGTACAAATGAATCCGTCACTCTGGTAGTTTTTTTGTTTTTTTGAGATGGAGTCTTGCTCTGTCACCCAGGCTGGAGTGCAGTGGCGCGATCTCGGCTCACTGCAAGCTCCGCCTCCCGGGTTCACGCCATTCTCCTGCCTCAGCCTCCCGAGTAGCTGGGACTACAGGGGCCCGCCACCATACCCGGCTAATTTTTTGTATTTTTAGTAGAGATGGGGTTTCACCACTTTAGCCAGGATGGTCTCGATCTCCTGACCTCGTGATCCGCCCGCCTCGGCCTCCCAAAGTGCTGGGATTGCAGGCGTGAGCCGCCGCGCCCGGCCTCTAGTAGTTTTTTTTTCAACCCTTGCCGTCCTCCCTCCCTCTCACCCCTTGTATCCTCCAGTGTCTATTGTTCCTATTTTTACGTCCATGTGTACTCAATGTTTAGCTCCCACTTATAAGTGAGAATATGGGGTACTTGGTTTTCTGTTCCTGTATTAATTCTCTTAGGATAATGGCCTCCAGCTGTATCCATATTGCTGCAAAGGACATGATTTCATTCCTTTTTACAGATGCATACTATTCCATGGTGTATGTGTATCACATTTTCTTTATCCAATTTGCCATTGATGGGCACCTGGGTTGATGCCATGTCTTTGCTGTTGTCTCATCCTTGTTTTACAGATAAACAAGGCCCTGAGAGGAGAAGTGGTCAGACTGCACTAGGACCCTTTCCTGTCAGGGTGGGTGATCTGTCCTTTGTACCAGATGCCTTCCTTCGATGGTATAGGAAGAGGGTGTGTGTCCTAAGCCTGGGCTCCCCCTGCAGAGAGTGCTGAGTTTGGGATGGGCAGGCACATTTGGGCCAGGCTTTTCTCCCTGACGTTATCACAGAAGCCATGGTTCTGCTTATACCCTATGATTCCCTCTGAGTTGAGGCCAGCTGAACAGCAGACACAGAAGCCAGCAGACGGAGGTTCGGTCTCAGCTTTGCTGCTGATGACGGTGGCGTTGCTGGAGCCTGGCTTCCTCATCCCCCACCTTCCAAGTTTATACTTTGAGACAACCTGCCCGAGGAAGTGCCGGGGGTCACCGAGCTGTACTGTTTTCCCTTGGTTTCTGCCTCACCCTGTCTAGCCCATTTGTTGGAAGCATGAGGGATGAAGCTCCCGTTCTATGTGCAGCAGGTGGGCCAGGCCCTGACCTTTGAATGCTCATCCTACAGGTGCGTGGGTAGATAGACCACCCCAGCTGGCCAGGCAGGCCCCCGGAGGGCCAAGCCACTCAGCCTGCCTCACAGTCAGGTAAGCCTGGCTCCTTCCTTAGCATGAGTGGCGAGTGGCAGAGGGCCCCAGTGTCTCACCTCCTCATTTTTCCCTTTTGGGAGAGAATGCACAGGTTCCCCCAATGGCCACCAAGTAGGGGGCAGCCTCTCATTTTGCCTCTAGTTTACCCTAAGCTGAGGGGCCTCATGCCATGTGACCTGTGCACACGGGGTGCCCCAGCAGTGTAGACTGCATGGCCCATGGTGCTGACTTGAGCTGTGGTGGAAGAAGCCCAAACCACAAATCAACTCACAAAGAGCTGATTCTTCACTGCTGTCCAGGGCTGTGGCATTGGGGAGCCCGCCCAGCAGGTGCAGCAGTTTGTCCCGAGAGCAGCTGGCCCCACTTGCTCTCCAGGTGGACTTTCAAGCCTCAACTCTTGCAAAATGGCTTGTCAATGGGACACGCCCACTGGGTCCCCACCTGGTGTTCTTTTGGACAATTAATCTTAGGGCAGCTGGCGAAGGAGCCTTGGAGAGCAGGAGCATGGGGTGGGGTGAGGTGAGGGTGGGAGGAGAGTGTTAGAATCGCTCATTTGAGAGGTTTTTTTGTTTTGTTCTGTTTTGTTTGACATGGAGTTTCGCTCTTGTTGCCCAGGCTGGAGTGCAATGGTGCGATCTTGGCTCACTACAACCTCTGCCTCCTGGGTTCAAGCGATTCTCCTGCCTCAGTCTCCCTAGTAGCTGGGATTACAGGCAGATGCCAAGATGCCTGGCTAATTTTTGTATTTTTAGTAGAAACAGGGTTTCACCGTGTTGGTCAGGCTGGTTTCAAACTCCTCACCTCAGGCAATCTGCCTGCCTTGGCCTTCCAAAATGCTGGGATTACAGGCATGAGCCATGGCGCCCAGCCCATTTGAGGGATTTTAAGATATGTATGTCTGCACCAGCCCCTTCCACTGCCTGAAAATGAAGCTAGGCCAGGTTACTATTAGAATATCTAAGAAGGGTGATGTTCTACAGAGTATTTTTTACCTTCTAAGTTAGAAACAGAAAACAGAGTCTTGAGGACATCACTAGGAGACTGGTAGCTTTCTCTTGGTTTTGCTTTTGCTGCTCTTTCTAGGTTCTCCTCATTTGGCCCATTTCTAAAATACAGGATCCTGCTGCTGAATGACTCCCCTGGGAAGTGATGATCTCCATCCTCTTCCTCCTCTTGCTCCCCCTCTTCCCTCCTCCTCTTCCCTAGACCTCAGCTAAAAATTCAACGCTATGCCAGGGTAAGAGAGGATCTTTGTGTTTTATAGTTGAGGAAACTGAGGCCCAGAGTGGGGAAAGAGGCAAGAGACCTCTTGGGCATTCTAGGTGTGTACTGATAGATCCAAAATGAATTTGTAGAAATTGAGTTTTGGCATAGAAAGAAATAAGCATTTTCTGAGTCACAGCATCCTTATTCAGGAGGCAATGTCCTTGGTGCTATCCTGGTCCAGTTATGGTACATGGAGCCTGTACCATGTGAGGGATGTGGTGTGTGACTTATCTCCCAGGTTGGTCTTCCGTAAAATGGGGGTATTCGCTTGTCTACGTCACAGGACTCTCCCCAGTGGTAAGTGAGCTGGTGTATGGAAAAGGGCTATGATTGGACCTGGTGCATTAAGACACACCATTCATTCATTTCCAAAGGGTAGCAGACATGGTAGTTAGGATGTGGGTTCTGGAGCTACACCATCTGGGTTCTGATCCTAGCTCTGCACTTTATTAGCTGTGTGACCTTAGGTGAGTTATTTTACCTCTCTGGTCCTCAAATGTCTTGTCTATAAAATGAGGATAATAATCGCATCACCTCAGAGGGTCAATATGAGGATCAAATAAGTAAACCACCAAGAACAGTGCCTGGCACATAAGTTCTCAATAAATGTTAGCTGCTATGATAAACATTATTATGGACAAACCATGAGTGTTATTATTATAATTGTTGTTCCATCTTCCAGAGTCTCAGGGGCTGTAAGTGATGATGAAGGCAGATTCCTAAAGAAAGTTAGGATTGATGAAAAATCCCCCCAGCTCACCATTAATGGGGATGTCCAGGGAGATACTGAACAATTATTTTTTCTGAGATGTTAACAAGAGGACTCTTGCATGAAAGGATAACTTAGACCTAATTTCCCCTTCAAAGACTCTGTGTTTCAAAAATAACACTGAATTTTTCGGGTACTTAAACAAATGGGTAAGGGGCTGGGCACAGTGGCTCATGCCTATAATCCCAATGCTTGGGGCCAGGAGTTTGAGACCAGCTTGGGCAACATAGCAAGACCCTCATCTCTACAAAAAGTTAAAAAAAGAATTAACTGGGCATGGTGTTATGTGCCTGTAGTCCTAGCTACTCAGGAGGCTGGGGTGTGAGGATCACTTGAGCCTAGGAATTTGAGGTTACTGTGAGCTATGATTGTATCACTGCACTCCAGCCTAGGCTATAGCGTGAGACCCTAGCTCTAATATATATATATAATAAAAAGGGCAAGAAGGCATTGCATCTTCTTTTAAAGAAGTTGATCTTTATCTTCTCCCACTTGGTCATTCAATGCTTTCAGAATACCTTCTATGTGACAGACACTATATAGGCACTTGGGACCAGAGTTAGATGAGATGCAACTTTTGCCCTCAAGAGAGACAGACATACAAGCCTATGTTTTTAGGATATGATATTGGGTACAACGAACCTATCAGGTGCAGTGTGGGCAAAGGGGGTTCTGTGACTACTTCTGGGGAATTCTGACTGAGAAGTCTTCCAAGAAAGAAAACCACTAGTCCTGGGTTCCAAAAGAGAAGTGGGAGTGCCTCAGGCAGGTAAGAGGAGAAGGACATTCCCAGAGGAGGAAACACCATCTTCTCTCTTCCTCCCTGATGGCATTGTAAGACTGAGACCATGATGGCAGTTTAAGTGCTTTGCAAAATAGCAGATGAGAAGGGTTATCGACAAGCCAACAAGTGTGCCTCTGACTTTGCAAGAAGCTGCTGGCCCTGGTTTTGGGAGCAACCAGCATGTCTGAGGTCTGCTGTTAATGATCTCAAAGCTGAGGGTTTATGCCTAATATCAGACATCCCCTCCCTGAGGGGATACCAGTCAAGATGATCCCTGTGTTTCTGAAATGTAGAGGAAATAAGCCTCATTTCCATCTTTACCTCGTTTTTTATAAATGTCAAGAAAGGCCCAACATTGCTCACATCCCCACCGCCAACTCAGGTCCATTCAAATCAAAAGAGGAGATCAAATCCCCCACCTTGAAAACCTTCTGGAATCCAATAGCCTCTGCCCTCCTTGCATCATTGCATCCATCCCCACATCACAGTCAAGTCAGGTGTGAGTTTCAGTTAACCTGGGACAAGGTATTGAAGGCTGAGTGCCTGCCAATTACCTCCATAGAGGCAGAGCCCAGGACCAGAGAAAAGAAACAGCCATCATGTCAGGCATGTGTGATTATAGGAGAAAGGAGGAATTCAGGTGGGAGAATTATGGGGAGGGGAGGAGAAAGCAGAGCCTTAGGGATTATGTGTCCCAATGGCCTTTGTAGGAGGCTGGCTGATCCTGCTTCCTCTGATCTGGTGACCACAGGAGCTGTGCCAGCAAGGCTCAGGACCACAGATGGCTCCAGCCTGGTGCAGTAGAAAAAGCAGAGTATTTGAAATCACCAAGACCTGAGCTACAGTCACAGCAGGGGCTCTAGTCAGCTGCATGACTGTTCACAGATGACTTATATAAATCTTAATTTCTTTACTGGTAAAATGAGGCTAATAAAATTTACCTCCAAAGGTAGTGGGGATTAAACAATATAATGAAAGTAAAGATGCAGGCACAGTATTGGCTACAGAGACATAGCAGGTGGTAATCAGTAGTTGTTCAGGCATCAAGGGACAGACATTTATTGAACACCTAGCAAGAGTCTTACCTGTTGAACTGACTGCCCCTGATCATCATTGTCCAAACTTATGTCATTCACTCACTTGATAAACATTTATTGAGATAAACTATATGTCAAGCACTGAAATATGCTCTGAGGCTGCAGACTTGTAGATAATAGGTGTCTTTGTGGAGCTCACACACTATATCCATGAAGATTCTTTTTGCAGCCTCGTCTATAAAATTGAAACGTTGGAAATAACCTGGAGGCCCAACAATAAGGGAATAGTAAAGTAGACGATGGCTTGTCCACTCAAAGGAGTATTCATGTATGGCAACAATGACAATTGCTTATCATATATTAACTGAAATAAGCAGGAAAAGAAATTCTAAGTACAATTAAGCTTTGTTATTCACAATAGTTATGTTTTATAAGTTTATTAGTCTGTTCTTACATTACTAACAAAGACATACCTGAGACTAAGTAACTTATAAAGGAAAGAGGTTTAATTGACTCACAGTTCTGCAGGGCTGGGAATGCCTCAGGAAACTTACAATCATGGCAGAGGGAGAAGCAAACACATCCTTCTTCACATGGCAGCAGGAAGGAGAAGAATGAGTGCCCAGCAAAGGGGGAAGCCCCTTATAAAAACATCAGCTCTTGTGAGAACTAACTCACTATCACAAGAACAAGATGGGGGAAACTGCCCCTATGATTTAATTATCTCCACCTGGTCCCTCCCAGGACATGTGGGGATTATGGGAACTATAATTAAGGTGAGATTGGGTGGGGAAACAGCCAAACCCTATCATTTTGCCCCTGGTCCCTCCCAAATATCTTGTCCTCATGATTCAAAACACAATTATCCCCTTCCAACCATCCCCCAAAGCTTACCTCATTCCAGCATTAACTCAAAAGTCCAAGCCCAAAGTCTCATCTGGGCCCTTCTTCCTGTGAGCCTGTAAAATCAAAAGCAAGTTAGTTACTTACTAGATACAACGGGAGTACAGGCATTGGATAAATACACCCATTTCAAGTGGGAGAAATTGGCCCAAACAAAGGAGTTACAGGCCCCTTGCAAGTATGAAATCCAATAGTGCAGTCATTAAACCTAAAGTTCCAAAATGATCTCCTGGATGTCTCACATCCAGGTTATGCTGATGCAAGGGGTGAGCTCCCATGGCTTTGGGCAGCTCTGCCCCTGTGGCTTTGCAGGGTACATCCCCCCTCCCAGCTGCTTTCATGGGCTGGTGTTCAGTGCCTGTGGCTTTTTCAGGAGCATAGTGAAAGTTGTTGGTGGATCTACCATTCTGGGGTCTGGAGGACTGTAGCTGTCTTCTCACAGCTCCACTAGGCAGTTGCTCTAATGGGGACTCTGTGGGGGCTATGACCCCACATTTTCCTTCTGCACTGCCCTACTAGCAGACGTTCTACATGAGGGCTCCGCCCCTGCAACAAACTTCTGCCCAGACATGAAAGGCAGTTCCATGCATCTTCTGAAATCTAGGTGGAGGTTCTGAAACCTCCATTCTTGACTTCTGTGTACCCACAGGCTCTACACCACATGTAAGCTACCAATGCTTGGGGCCTGCACCCTCTGAGTCAATGGCCTGTGCTGTATGTTGGCTCTTTTAGCCATGGCTGGAGCTGAAGCAGCTGGGACTTAGGGCATCATGTCCCGAGGCTGCATAGAGCAATGGGGCCCTGGGCCTAGCCCAGAAAACCATTTTTTCCTCCTAGGCCTCCAGGCTTGTGATGGGAGGGGCTGCAGTGAAGATCTCTGACATGCCCTGGAGACATTTTCCGCATTGTCTTAGTGATTAACATTTGGCTTCTCATTACTTATGCAAATTTCTGCAGCCAGCTTGAATTTCTCCCCAGAAAATGGATTTTTCTTTTCTGTCACATCATCAGGCTGCAAATTTTCCAAACTTCTATGCTCTGCTTCTTGAACACTTTTCCACTTAGAAATTTCTTCTGCCACATAGTCTAAATTCAAGTTCAAAGTTCCACAGATCTCTAGGGCAGGGGCAAAATGCAGCCAGTCCCTTTGCATAGCAAAAGTGACCTTTACTCCAGTTCCCAACAAGTTCCTCATCTCCGTCTGAGACCACCTCAGCCTGGACGTCATTGTTCATATCACTATCAGCATTTTGGTCAAAGCCATTCAAGTCTCTAGGAAGTTCTAAACTTTCCTGCATCTTCCTGTCTTCTGAGCCCTCCAAGTCTCTAGAGAGTTCCAGACTTTCCCACATTTTCCTGTCTTCTGAGCCCTCCAAATTGTTCCAACTTCAGCCCGTTATCCACATTTTTAGGTATCTTTACAGCAGTGCCCCATTCTGAGTACCAATTTACTGTATTAGTCTGTTTTCATTCTGCTAATAAAGGCATACCCTAGACTGGGTAATTTATAAAGAAAAGAGGTTTAATTGACTTACAGTTCTGCAGGGCTGGGGAGGCCTCAAGAAATGTACAATTATGGCAGAAGGGGAAGCAAACATGTTCTTCTTCACATGTCAGCAGGAAGGAGAAGAATGAGTGCCCAGTGAAGGAGGAAGCCCCTTATTAAACCATCAGATCTCATGAGAACTAACACACTATCACGAGAACAGGATGGGATAAACTGCACCCATGATTCAATTATCTCCACCTTGTCCCTCCCACAACACATGGGGATTATGGGACCTACAATTCAAGATGAGATTCAGTGGGGACACAGCCAAACCATATCGCCATGAACACTGAATTAGTGAATGCTGAACCATTGCCTCCAGGAGGAACACAGAGTCCTGAGAGCCTCTGGTTATAATGTTTTGTTAGTTGATTAATTCATGACTTTATTTTATGCAGGCTTCTATCCAAAGACAGAATCTTGTTGATTCACTAAAATGAAACTCATGGCCAATAGCCCTTGAAGTCATGTTGAAATGAAGCTCATCTAACACATATTCTCTCTGTAAGGCACATCCCAGCCTCCTTGCACTCAGAAACACTAGACAACACTTCAGCACTATGCTTAGGAGCCATTTAAAACAGACAGATTTCCAAAAGAAAGCACAAAAATGCAAAAAACGTGGGCACTAAATAGTCTGTGAAAGGGATGCTCATTTACAGTATGTGAGCTGAAACAAGGAGGCAGAACTTGTCCTGTTCAAACTCTGCTGGGAACATATGTGTGGAACTACTCAAAATTTCCGCCACTTTGTGCATGTCTGTGGACGACCAAGAAGTGCCACAAGTATTGATTTTGGAGTTACAAATACATTTTAGCAAGTAGGTGAATTCACAAGTATGGAATCCACAGATAGTGAGGGTGTACATGTGGATAAAGCTTGGAAACGTTGTAGAAGAAAATTAAAACGTTGGTCACAGGATTACTATTGATGCTTCTCTGTTTTAAAATTTTCATTAATGTCAAATTTTTTCCTTTGTTTAACAATAAATAACACTTTAGGGAAAACAAACAAAGCCTCCATCTGGCTCTTACACCCTCCTTCTCTGCCACCTTGTTCTCATGACATGGGCTTAGAAATGGAGGCGATGAAGCTTCAGGGTTAGGGGTTCCCAGCCTGGGCTCCTCCATGCCAAGGCTTCTGGAATGATCATTGACAGTTAAACATTTTGCCCCAAGGTAGCTAAAATCATGCCTTAGGCTGGGCGCAGTGGCTCACACCTATAATCCTAGCACTTTGGGAGGCTGAGACAGGCAGATTGCCTGAGCTCAGGAGTTTGAGACCAGCCTGGGCAACATGTTGAAACCCTGTCTCTACTAAAATACAAAAAATTAGCTGGATGTGGTGGTGTGCACCTGTAGTCCCAGCTACTCAGAAGGCTGAGGCAGGAGAATTGCTTGAACTTAAGAGGCAGAAGTTGCAGTCAGCCAAGATTGTGCCACTGCACTCCAGCCTGGGAAACAGAGAGAGACTTCATCTAAAAAAAAAAAAAAAAAAGCCTTTACTCAGCCTCACCGGGGCACAAAGCACTGACCAGTTTTTCTCTGGTTGTAATCATGTCCTCACCATGTGGCAGCTCCAGTGACCTCAACTCCATCAGAAGCTTTCATGCAATTTCCTGTGTTTTGATGACAGAAAATTTGGAAAACAAGTTAGTGTAGTTTGTTTAATAGAGTCTCCCCAAAACTGGGCTCTTTGGAGAAAAGATTTTTTTTTTAAAGGAGTGCTTGTGATGGAAATATTAAGAGCTGTTGCTCTAAATTATGTGAAAGGCACCCCTTTGGGTTCCTTTTCAAAGGTATTTGGCAGGAAAGCAGCTCAGCCATTGACGGGACCTAGATGCCCTATTGGATCATTCTATGGGGCTATTTGAAGAAGATATAGAAACTTCTTCATCAATACTTGCCGAAGCTAGGAGTATTGTCCTAATTTCTAACTATGGGGACAGGAAATTCCAGGCCACAAAGGTTGCTCACATTTTTACCTGATTTGCCTCCAGATTTGAAGTTATGTGAATGGCTTGTTTGTCTAACTCAGCTCTGCTCAAATCAATCTTTCACGGGTCCCCCCAGTAAAGATCACCTTGGGTCAAAGGTTATAGGTCATCATGGTTCTTAAATACCTACCCACTTTGTAGGAGTTCCAAAGTGGACAATTACTCAGAAATTAGGAATAAAAGCATATATTTCAAAAGACTAATTGGGAAAAATGGGTATGGCATGTGCAGTAATGTTTCAAATGTTGTCTTTATGGCTATCCCAATTAATTTCCAGTGTTTCTCCAACCTGACTTTTAAAAAGATAGAATACAATAGAAAGCAACCTGCTATTGATGTGCAGAGTTGCCTGTGTCACATCTGCTGTACAATGACTTGACCATTAGGATATTCATCCTTTTTATGTGCCTGGGTGCGCTCATGCCAGCACATTCTTAAATGTATGTGAGTCCAGACACATACATGCAAAGTTGTGATCAAAAGATTTCCCTAAAGTAATTAATTCAGGGCTACTGCTGAGAAACAAGGCAAAACTTGGAGGGGCTTTCCAAAAATATCATAGTTTTGCCGTTCAGTAGTGCTGACTTCTTGTGGTGCAAATCTATTAATTTTGATGTAATAAAAAAAGTGTTCATAGAAACAAGCAAGAAATAAATAGGGACATTAAGATTATATGGAAAGGTGGAAACTGGAAGGTGAGCTAAGAATTGTCCAGATGACAGGCAAAGGCAGTGGAGGCAACGTGGATGACGCAGGTTGGTTAAATTCATGTGTATTTTAAAAGGGTGACTGTCCATTATGCACACAACTCACAGGCTCTGCTTCCTGGAGAGCCAGGCCGTTGCTTTTTTGATGAAAGAAAATCATTTCAACATGCGGAAGGAGAGGGCTTTTTGACTATAGCTTCTTCGAAGTGTGACCTCCAAATGGTCACATATCAAGGTGCCTCGTATTTACCTTCATGCCGGGCTTTCAAATCAACAGTTGGAGACTTTCAACATTTCTATTGTGCGGTTTTAGCGCACGGATTAAAAAGAAATCCATCTGTTAATATTTGTTTTTCTTGTCCTTCGTTAACCAAAGATTCTTAGGAACTTTCCAATTTGAAGGAACAACTTTTATTCATCATCTTGGTTAGAAGCAGCTTCTGCAGCTTGGGCCTTCCTCTTAGAGGGGAGCACATCTTAAATAAGGAAGGACTTGGTGAGTGATACTAGCCCTTCTCTAGCAGAGCGAGATGCCAAAAGGTACAGGCCTGGTTCTAAGGTGCTGAATGAACTAACTGCAAATGGTTGTTGATTCTGTTTGCTTGTTGGAGCGCCTACTGTGCGCTGGACAGGGAGCTGGACACCTGGTAAATCTTCTATAGTCTTTATAACAATGTTGCAAAGTGAGCATTATCAATATCCCTGCTTAAATGAGACAGCGTGGAGAGGTTAAGGAATTTACCTAGAGCCACTCAGCTAAGTAGTTGAGCTGGGATTCAAGCCACATGTGTCTGTCTTTGTGGCCTCTATTGGGTCACACTTCCCAGAAGCCCTGAAATCACCAGGGAAAAGATGGCGTCTCCGAGAGCCCACCGAGGGGGATGGGGGACTTAGGCTCATCTCGCCAGGGTGGGGGAGGTAGAGGGAGCAGCCAGATGCTCCAGCCATCTCAGGTCAAATGAAGCCTGATCCTTTCTCAGCTTGATTTGACCTAGAACTGGGAAACAGATGGGTCCAAGCAGCCCCAGGGTCTGAGGACGGCTGGGCAGACACATGCGTCCTGGCTGCAATCGCTCTCGTTCTGAGGGCCCAGGGCTGGGGGCTGCCCTGGGACCCAAGCTCCAGTGTGGGTCTTTTGACTTATAAAACCTTAGCTAGGAATTCCTCTGTCAGGCTAGAGGGCTCGTCCTTTCTGAGGGCAGTAGACCCAGGGAGGCCCAGAGCAAATCCAGGGAGATAAGGCAGATGTCAACAGATGCATTGTAAACAACGTGGTGTGGATACTGGAAGAGATAGCGGAGGAGATAAACAGGAATCTAGGAAAGGTGCCCCATGGACTTGAGGCTAACTCAACCCCAAAGAGCTGTCCTTTTGCAATGCTGGGCCATGAAGCTGTTTAGAAACACCCTCTAACTGTATGAGCATGGGACCTGGCTCACAGATTTTTACTACATGTGTGTTAAGTGAATGAACTAATGAATAGAGACCTAGGCATTATTCATTCACTACTCATTTACTGATGTGAGGACAAACAGTTCCAGTTTGTCTAGGACTAAGGGGTGTCCCGGGATGTGGGACTTTCAGTGCTAAGACAAGGAATGTCCTGGGCAAACCAGGACTAGTTGGTCTCTGTAGTTACTGAGGATCTATGATGGACTGGACCCTGGGCCCCCACTGGGCATATGGAGGTAAGTCAGACTCAGTTCTCACTCTCAAGAAGTGCACAGCATGGTTGCAACAGGAAGATAGAAGGAAGAGTGGCAAGTGTCATGATAGGGCCATGAACAAGAGTGAGGCTATGGAGCCTGACACTTTGGCGATGGCTTTTTTTTTTTTTTTTGAGATGGAGTCTCGCTCTGTCCCCCAGGCTGGAGTGCAGTGGCTCGATCTCAGCTCACTGCAAGCTCCGCCTCCCGGGTTCACGCCATTCTCCTGCCTCAGCCTCCTGAGTAGCTGAGACTACAGGCGCTCCCCACCACGCCCGGCTAATTTTTTATATTTAGCGATGGCTTTTAAGAGGAGGAGTAAACACTGGCTTGAGTCTCATGGGAGAGGAACTCACCAGATCCCTACAAGAAGCTTGGAAAGGGCCTTGAGGTTAAGAGACAGCTGGGACTAAGGCCTAGAGGCTCACACAACAATGGTTTGGTTCAAGAAACAGTAGGCAGCATATGTGCGTGTTGGAGGGGTGGGATTGGGAGCATGTGGAGGTTGTAGGGTTGGAGAGGTATTTGAGGGTCCAGTTACAAGTGGTAAGCTATGCTAAGAAAGATTAAATTGATAATATAGGCAATAGGGAGCTGTTGAAGGTTTTCTGAGCATGGAGAGATAGAATCAGATATTACAAAACATTTCATTCATTCAACACATGTTTACTAAGCATCTATTATGTGCCATACATTGTGCTGGAGGAATGAATGAATAAATGCATGCATGCATGGCTATCACTTAATTTTCCAATCACAGTGAGGATCCTTGAAATCCAGGGACCAGCTGATGTGACTTGTGGGCCTATGATCTCTGTCAGAAAATCATTCTGCAATGAGCAAATCTAAGACAGCCAGCATTGGCTCCCGCCACCGCCCCCTTATCTGTTTTTCTTTTTGCAAAAGACCTTGAGGCCTGTAGTCGGTTCCACTACAAAACGGTTACACAATTTCCCTGGGAGAAGGCGAGTTTCCACCTTTGGGGATGAATGAGCCCTTTCTTTTCTGGAGAGCCGGCCAATGAGGCACAGGCTGGGTACTGCAGGAGGCGCGGCTGAGGGAACAGCAGGCCTCGGTCTAATTTGGGGGTAACTATTTGTTTTTTCATTAAACAAAGTCTGCATGGTAGGAATTGTGGTTGCAGGAGCCTCGGGAGGCCGATAAAGCAGGCAGGGCGAGTCTGCCGGGAGCAGCGGGCGAGGGAGCTGCTCTCTGATTCTGCTGCTGCCCAAAGCTTCCACTTTTCTGGGGCTGCAGGTCCTATAAATGGTGCCTTTGAGGAGGCTGCCCTGGTGACAGCAGGACCCTCCCTGCAGCACCCACTCGGCCACTGACTTCTGAAAGCGGGATTGTCCCTCCCCAAGCCCTGCCCTCCTGCGACATTCCTCATGCTGACCATTGTCTGCAGAAAGAGGCCATTGTCTGGGGCTGACATATCTGCTGACCAGGCACATGAAACAAGCAGAGCTTTGGGGAGGAAGAAATCCACCCAAACCAACAAAAAACCTGAGCCTAGCCTGAGGGCAGGGCTTAGACCCAGCTTGCTGAATTTCCTGATTCACTGGTGTTCTTCCCGAGACGAAGTGCCCACCATTGTGGGAGGATCCGAGTTTTATCTCTGGGCTGGAATGACACCGTCTCTGCCTTTGTGTCAACAGCACTGAGAGGCCTTGTTTAGGATGATGTGGCCAGTGCTGAGAAGGGCTTGTTTGAAGAGAAAAAAGAAAAAAACAGAACAATGTTTATCCAGCAGGCAGCTCCTGCCAAGGCGGCCTCCTCGCTGTCCTCTCCGTAGGATGCTGCTCGCCAGGCCTTCTTGGCTGTTCCTCGGCCTTGGGTGCAGGCCGTGGGTGGGGGGACAGCCAGCTGGTAGACACCGGTATTCGATGTCAGCTCTTACAACAGGGAGGTGGGTAAACAGGCTGCTGTCCCCACCTCTCCCAGGCACCCCCTGTGGCCTTGACTGCCCAGCCCTCCCCCTAACATCTTCCCCACCCACAACTAAGTTAACTCACACCAGGGGCAGCAGAGCCTTCAGACCTGTGGCCGCTACATCCATTCTGGGCACTTGGTGCCCCCACATGTACCCTTCCCTTCGGATTTGGAATATCACCGCTGCATGCAGGCACATTGCTGAGGCCAGCTGAATTGCCTTTGGGCATTAAGCCTCAGAGAGCCTCGCTACTCAAATGGTGGTCCCAGGACCAGCAGCAGCGGTGTTACCAGGGGCTAGTTAGAAATGAAGATTCTCAGGCCCATCTTGCTGTGTCAGAATCTGCATTTTAACAAGATTGCCTGCATCTATTTGCACATTAAGTTTGAGAAGCACTGGTCTACATCAGTGGTTCTCAAACAAGGCAGCCTATTGGAATCACCTGGGGAGCTTTTAAGAGTCTCAAAGACCAGGCAGCCTCTCCGGCCAATTATATGAGGATCTCTGGGGTGGGGGCGGTGGGGAGTGACACTGGAACATCAGTGTTTTCTCACACTTTCCAAATGACTTCAATGTGTCTCCAGGTTTGAGGCAGAGGAGCTAGGATGGGGCCCTCTTTCCCCAGTCCTTGGACTGGGTTTCCGTCAGTCACGATATTCTCACTTAGTACAACTCAGCAACTTTTCCTGAGAATTTTCTATGTGCCAGGAACCACAACAATTGCTGAGGTTTTATCAATGATGTTGGTACGTGTTCACTTCTGCAATGTCTTTCTGGCCCAAAGAACTCCTAGTCATCCTTCAAAGCCCAGTTTAGAAACCTCCTTCTCTGTGATGTGTTTTTTGACCTCTTGAAATGGGGAAAATGCTTCTTCCTTTTAACTCACATTGTCCTCTGCATTTTTCTATTATTGAATTTGTCATGCTGAGTCATAAACATCTATTTACCAATCACTGGACTGGGAGCCTCAAGGACAGGGACAGTATATTATTTATCTGTCGCCACGCTGGAGTGTGGTGGCGCGATCTTGGTTCACTGCAACCTCCGCCTCCTGGCTTCAAGTGATTCTCCTGCCTCAGCCGCCCGAGTAGCTGGGACTACAGGTGCGCACCACCACGCCCAGCTAATTTTTGTATTGTTAGTAGAGACGGGTTTCACCATATTGTCCAGGATGGTCTCGATCTCTTGACCTTTCGATCCACCCGCCTCAGCCTCCCAAAGTGCTGGGATGACAGGCATGAGCCTGGGCTATATCTTATTTATCTTTGCATCCCGGGGTCTAGGGCAGGGCCTGGGCATAAAGCAGGTGCTCAGTAAATGCTGTTGACTGATAACATGAATGCCTGAAGGAATACAAGAATGGGTGAAGATACATTCCCTACCCTTAAAAAACTTAAATTCTAGAAGGAGAGACCATCATGTGCAAAATTAATGTGACATTAACGTCTGATGGGTGTTTGACAGAGGTTTACCCAACTTCTGTGGGAGTGCAGGGCTGGGAGAGGGCCATCGACAGTGAGATCCGGAGTGGTCCACGCTCTGCTTATTATCGCTTTTCCAGTGTATACACCAGGGATGTCACTCGAGTGGTCCTCTTTGGCTCCTTTCCTTGTTGTAGTTGGAGACAAGAAAATAGTCCAATAAATGGAAGGTAAAGATATTTTTACATTTCTAGAAGGTGGTTGTTCTGCTACATGCAGAACAGATGACTGTGGTTAGACTGTCAGGCCCTGGACCCAAGTCTGGAGAGCCTCAGATAGAGGGAGGAGTCTAATGGGCCCAGACAACTGCTAAGCAGCTGCTGCAGTCCACGCTGGCCACTATGTGTCTACAATGGTGTAGGTTGTGGGGTGGCTGGTCACAGCTAAGATCAGGGCCCTGGCAGAGTGAAGGCCTGGCCCATCAGAGGCAGGACGCACTGCCCAGGCAGGTGTGCATCTGGCTCATGTGGGCTCCTTCCCCGCAGAGGCTTCGCAAAGCTAAGCCATCCTGTCCTGGAGGAAGGGCAGAGGCCAGTCAATCAGCTAAATGGGTACAAAAAAGCAATAGAGACAGAGCAAGTGTAAGGCAGGTGCTGGAAGCTGATGAGCACAGCAGAGGTCAGTGGGCACAAAGGTTTGAGCCAAAGGACAGCAGGCTGGAACAGGCAATGGGGAGGGGCTCTGAGACACGCAGAAGGGGGTTCTGACTCTTATGGCAGAGATTTTAAGCCCCTAGGGTGGCATGATAAGGAAGAAAAGGGTTCAGTGAAGGGTAGTAGAGATGACGGGTGATTCCTTTACCTGCACAAAAGAGGAGAAAGCTGGGAGGGCTGACACTAATGCTACTATTGGCAGCTTGGCTGGAATCTCTCCCCTAGAGCAGCCCTGAGGGTCTCTCCTAGAGCTCAGTGGAGACACAGGCCGCATGGCTGCTTGGCTGCTAGCAGATACTCGGGGGTCCTGGGATATTTGGGAGGAAGGTTTCCATTTCCCTGTCTTTTCTCATTTTCCTGCACAGGCCAGGGATTCATTTTCTGCGTCAAAGATATCTGTTCTACTCTTTAGCAATGCATCTCTCTCTTCCCTTTGCACCACACACAGCCAGCTCCTGTGTAAGGAAGTCAAGATTTTCTCAAGGGAAAAATCACCCTAGAAACCATCAACTCATGACAAACGTGATCTCCAACGTTCATTGTGGAAAATAGCCTCAAGGATGAGATGATGAGGATTTTGAAGATGGGTGAGTAGGTCGTCTACTTCCCGGAGGAGAAGGAAGGCCAGGACTCTCTGGGGCATGTCCTAAATGTCCTTCTCTTCAGTTCTGACTTTTCAAATCTGTCTCTTGCTGGGGCCAGCGAGGAGGGCTGGGCAGGATGGGCACCCGAAGAGGCTGGGAGGGAAGATGCTGAATTCCAGGGGGCCCTACATCATCCTGAAGGTCAAATTGAGTGAGCCTAGTTCAGAAAGGTCCAAGGCAGATCACAGGGCTGGAAAAGGGATGGAGCTGCTGGGTAGACACTCTGTGTAGACTCTGGGATGAACTGGGAATGGGAGCCAACGTCAAGCCCAAGCCAGGGAGCCTGGTGAATGGCCTCCTTCGATAGCTGAGGAAGCCTAAACCATTCTTTTGTTGGCCACTGGGTGAGGGACACACATGGGACTGTCAGACTTGGTTCAGGAAGTTGGCAGGTACATTACCCTCCAGGAAGTCTCTCTGATAACCCCAGAGGGTGATGATCTTGCCCTCCTGGGATTCACTCTGCACTTGTACTTTCCCCTATGAGGACAGGCATGTGTCTCTCTGCCCCACCACACACAGGCCTAGTACGTTCCGCAAGGCTGGCCTGGTCTTGTCCCTTCTGTGGTCCTCTGGGTGTCCAGCTGAGGACCTGACCTGCCCTGGAGCACAGTGGGCATTTCCTAAATCAAATGGACAAATGGATTGACTTGTCTCTTGCTAAGAGCGCCTACCTTCGGGGTGTGGAGGTAGAGACAGGAGAGAAGCTCAGGATGCTGCTCAGAACAACCCATGGCTCAGACTTCCCACCTGCAAGATGAGCAGACGGGCAGAAGGGTCCTCTCCTTGTCTGCCACCCGCATGGCGTGCTGTGAGGAGCCTGTGAGAACCTGCCCATCACCATGAGAAGTGCAACACCAACCTCAGGTGGAAGGTAGGGTCGAGGGATGGTCGGGGCTTTACCCTGTCACCAGACTGCCAGGAGTGAGGCTGGCTCTGCTGCCGATTGTTGTCCAATCTGGGGCCAGTGACTGAGTCCTCATGCCCCAGACTCCTTATCCGCCACGGGGGCTCTTGTGAGGATTAAACGAATAAACTTACTTACATAAAACCACTCAGGCAGGGAAGTGTGCTGTGCTCCAAAGTTTGGGACCCTTACCCTGATTCCAGATTTCTCACGTTACCAGTCTTTAAAACATAATATTGACGGCCGGGCGCGGTGGCTCACGCCTGTAATCCCAGCACTTTGGGAGGCCGAGGCGGGCGGATCACGAGGTCAGGAGATCGAGACCATCCTGGCTAACATGGTGAAACCCTGTCTCTACTAAAAATACAAAAAATTAGCCGGGCGAGGTGGCGGGCGCCTGTAGTCCCAGCTACTCAGGAGGTTGAGGCAGGAGAGTGGAGTGAACCCCGGGGGGCGGAGCCTGCAGTGAGCGGAGAGCACACCACCGCACTCCAGCCTGGGCCACAGCGAGACTCCGTCTCAAAAAACAAAACAAAACAAAGCAAAACGTAATACTGACTTCTTAAAAAAAAATTAACTTTTATTTTATATCCAGAGGTTACATATGCAGGTTCGTTACATGGGTATATTGTATGATGCTGAGGTTGGGGGTACAAATGGCCCCAGCACCCAGGTAGTGAGCACAGTGCCCAATAGGTAATTTTTCAGCCTTTGCCCCCTCCCTTCTCTAGTAGTGCCCAGTGTTGATTGTTGCCATCTTTATGTCCATGAGTACCCAATGTTTAGCTCCCACTTATAAGTGAGAACGTACGGTATATGGTTTTTTTTCCTGTGTTAATTCTCTCAGGATTATGACTTTCAGCTGCATCCGTGTTGCTACAAAGGACATGATTTTATTCTTTTTTTGTGACTGTGTAGTATTCCATGGTGTATATAGACCACATTTTCTGCATCCAATCCATTGTTGATGGGTACCTAGGTTGATTCCATGTCTTTGCTATTGGAACTTGTGCTGTGATGAACATATGAAAGCATATGTCTTTTTGGTAGAATGATCTATATTCCTTTGAGAATATATCCAGTAATGGGATTGCTGGGTTAAATGGTAGCTGTTTTAAGTTATTTGAGAAATCGTCAGACTGCTTTCCACAGTGGCTACACTAATTTACATTCCCACAAAGAATGCGTGGCCTTTTCTCCGCAGCCTCTCCAGCATCTGCTATTTTTTGATTCTTCAATTATAGCCATTCTGACTGGTGTGAGATGGTTTTGATTTTCATTTCTCTGATGATTAATGATGTTGAATATTTTTTCATATAAAACGTAATACTGACTTTGAAGGGCAGTCCTGCCCCATCCCACCAACGGCATTCCTTGTGGGACACAGGAATGGGACATGCTGTGGTCTATTTGCAGAAACTTTACAAATAAGTCTGGTTAGTTAGTAGGATTTGCCCATCATCAGAGTAAAGTCACTCAGGAGCTTAAGGCAAAACAAAACAAACAAAGACAAAACAACACACACAAAAAATCCCAAGCTCTAATTTATTTTTTATTTGTTTGTTTTGTTTTTTTTTCTTTTGAGACGGAGTCTCCCTCTGTCACCCAGGCTGGAGTGCAGTGGTGTGATCTCGGCCCACTGCAAGCTCTGCCACTCGGGTTCACACCATTCTCCTGCCTCAGCCTCCCAAGTAGCTGGGACTACAGGTGCCCACCACCATGCCTGGCTAATTTTTTTGTATTTTTAGTAGACACAGGTTTTCACCGTGTTAGCCAGGATGGTCTTGATCTCCTGACCTCGTGATCCACCCGCCTCGGCCTCCCAGAGTGCTGGGATTACAGGCGTAAGCCACCGTGCCAGGCCTAATTTATTTTTTAAAACATTTTATTTACGTCAAAAATTCCATTTCAGGGCTGGGCACAGTGGCTCATGCCTGTAATCCCAGCACTTTGGGAGGCCAAGGCAGGCAGATCACCTGAGGTCAGGAGTCCGAGACCAGCGTGGCCAACATAGTGAAACCCCATCTCTACTAAAAATACAAAAATTAGCCAGGCATAAAAGTAGGTGCCTGTAATCCCAGCTACTCAGGAGGCTGAGGCAGGATAATTGCTTGAACCTGGGAGGCAGAGGTTTCAGTGAGCCGAGATCGCACCACTGTACTCCAGCCTGGACAACAAGAGTGAAACCCCATCTCAAAAAAAAAAAAAAAAAAATGTGCGTTTCAGAATAATGGCACTTTCCCCTCAACATCTTTGCAGATTTCAGACTATGGTACAGTCCTCCAGGTAGGTGGGTTGTTGCTGAGTTGTCGTCATGTAGTTTTATCAGTCAGTCCACAACTGTTTGCTTCCCAAGAACCTACTGTGTACTTAGCATTGTGTTCAGGCTGTGGAACACCAGGGGGTGGACACGTGCTCACACCCTTCAGAGACACATAGTGTGACTCTCACTCCTGAAATGAAACCGGGCGTGCTTGGTGCCAAGTGTATGACACAGTTGGGCATTTAGGCCAAATGAGAACTGAGGGGGCCCAGAGTTCATCAGGCACCTCTGTAGTAGGAATGCTGCTCACAGAGGGGTCTTGCAGGCTTTGTCAATAGACAGAGCAGGAGGACGTTCCACAACCGTGAAACATCGTAATCGTGGCTAACAGACATGTAGTGCTTACTTTGTGCTTTGCCCTGTTGGAAGAGCTTCTCATATCTAAGCTCAGTTAAATGTCACTACAGCCCCATGAGAGAGCTACTTTTATGATTCTCACGTTACAGAGGAGGACACTGAGTGTTTCAATGATTTGCCTAGGTTCACACAGCATGTAAGTAGCAGAGCCAGGATCAAACCAAGACTTTGATAAACTCTTTCTTCTCTTTTGTTCAATTTTTTCCCCCTATTCCTTTTATACTTGCTCTGGACTAGAGAATTTGATAAACTCTTAACCATCCCACCAGACAGTCCCTCCTTGGATGGGGTCATCTGACTATATTCATGATTAATAAATGTAGATGATTTTAGCAAGAAAAATGTCCAAAACAATGTGAGCTGAGATGCTAAAGTGAGATGTTTGGGTGAATTGGGAAAGAACAAATGTAACACATGATATGACCCTTTGACATGTAGCTGTGGTTCGTACAGATGGAGTTAATGGAGAATGACCAGGAGCTGGAATATGTGAGAGCCAGAGTCCAGGAACAGTGTTCATAATAAACGCCATTTACCAGGTACCCAGGACTGCACTGGGTGCAGGCATGTGTCTTATCTCACTCCATCCTCAGAGGTGCCCCCAAGGGAGAAATAATCCCCTCATTTTGTTGATGAGGAAACTGAGGCTCAGTGAGGTGAGGGGCTAGGATTTGAGCTCCTTTCCATCTGGCCTCCATGCCAAGCCCTTTCCAGCTGTCACGGGCTGATTTGTATCTCCTCTCCCCAGCTCATGTGTTGCAGTCCTAACCACCCCTGGTGCCTCAGAATGTAACTGTATTTGGAGATAGGGTTTTAAAAGAGGTAATTAAGTTAAAGTGAGGTTATTAGAGTGGACCCTAATCCAATAGACTGATATTCTTATAAGAAGAAGAGATTAGGACACAGACACGCACAGAGCAAAGAACAGGTGAAGGCAGGGAGAAGACGGCCATCTATGGGCCAAGAAGAGAGGCCTCAAAAGAAACTGATTCTGCAGATACCTTGATCTTGGACTTGTTGCTGGCAGAACTGCAAAGAAATAAAGTTTTGCTATTTCAGTCATTCTGTCCATGGGTCTTTGTGATAGAAGCCCTGGAAAGCCAACATGCCACCCTATTACGTTGCCTCCCAGCAATTCCAGGTCTTAGATAGTAAGTGGCACGCTGCACTGGTACTTCAAGGCCTGGATCTACCATCTCAGATTTAAGATGACACAGGGCTCCCCTGCATTGGAAGCTTAGCACATCTGGGCCACGCACCACCTTCTGTCTTGCTTTGGGAATGAACTTCTAGTACACACAGAATGGGTGAGTGTGTGAGAAAGTCCCATAGAAAGCCTTCCCAGGTGGGCACAGGGACCGAGGGGACTGGAGGCAGTGAGAGGAGCTGCAATGTGAGGGTCAGTGCTCTGTGGGGGTCTTCAGGACTCTGTGATGCCATCTACTCTTACAGCCCACAGCAAAGGGGAAAGGTGCTTGGTTTATTATATGCTCACAAGCCAGAAGGCCATGGGCTCAGAGGACTGCAGAGAATAGAGCCTAAAGACTCCATCTGACACTCCTGTCTTCCAGGACCAGGGAGAAGCTGAACATGCTCTGTCGTGGCAAAGCCAGGGCAGACCCCAGTATGGGGCTCCATTCTGAGCCCTCACTGTGTGTGGAATAGGTCATGCCTGCATCCACCAGAGGATGAATAGAGGCTGGAAGCAAGCAGGTCAGCTGAGGAACCAGGCTGGAAATGGGGCTGCACCATCTCCATGGGGGAATGGGGGATGACCTGGATTCTGACTCCTTCCAGCTCCAAGTCAATTATTCATGCAGTAGACAGTCTTTGTGTTGGGAAGTCAGGTTTCAGCACATGCCCTTTGGAAGAAAGCATCTACTTCTTGGCGTTTCAGGCCTTTTATCATTTCCCCCAATCTTTCCTAATCTTACTCTTTCCCCTTTCCCTGCATGTCCTCTGCTCCTGCCACGTTGTCCTGCTTACCATCCCTGCATCACACCTTTTCATTTACTCATTCTTGAATTCATTGATTTATTTTTAAAAAAATTTTTATTGAGCACCTACTATGTGCTGTGCTAGAGGAGCTGGGAACTCAGAGTCGAGCAGGACTTGGTCCATGCCCTTGATAGGTTTTGGTCTAGAAAGGAAGGCAGACCTGTGTGTTCACCCTGTTGAGCACACAATACCAGGGTGCTGTGTTTTATCAGAAAGTGCTGAGGCTATGAAAGGGTCTAAATGACTTCCCAGGCTAGGGGCAGGGCACCAGAGAAGGCTCCTAGAAGACATATGGTAGAGTTGGTCAGACGAAGAAGTAGAGAGAGAACATTCCACAGAGAAGATCAGCACACACAAAGGCCTAGGGTCAGAGGGCCCTTGGTGCAGTTGAAGAACTGAGTGGCCACCACTTGCAGTCTGAGTCATACCCTAGAGCTGTGGGAAGCCCGTGGGCTTGTTTTGTGTTTGGCCAGTGTTGATACATCACTATTCATGGAGCTCTCTCTTTTCTCTTTACCTATAGCCCTTACCATCATGGAGCTTTTAGTCTGGAGCAGGGGTTGGCAAACCTTTTTTGTAAAGGGCCAGGTCATAACTGTCTTAAGCTTCGCAGACCATATAGTCTCTGTTGCAACTCCTCAACTCTCCTATTGTCCTGTAAAAACAGCCACAGGCAATATGTAAATGAATGAGTGTGGCTGTGTGCCAGTAAAACTTTATTTACAGAACCTGGTGGTGGGTTGGATTTGGCTCCTGGGCTATGACTTCTGATCTAGAAGAAAAGATAGACCTTGAACAAATCTTGATAACCTGGTGGCAGCTCTCAGTAATGATTTTTCTTCCACTTTCTGGACCACAGTGCGGAGGGTTGAGTTACTCTGCAGTTCATGAAACATTACCTCATTGCTTCATGCCAGGCTCCTCTTCTCATTTATCCACTTAGTTTAAATTCCCATCCCATGCCCCTCTTCTCATAGGCAACTGCTCCAACGCATCTGCTTTGTATCCTTGAAATTACAAGCATCTCTCTAAAGCACGTTGCCTTGTGTGATGTATTCTAAACTTATATAAATGATATTGTGCTATCAACTGTTCTGTTTCTTACTTTTTCCCCGTTCAGCATTGTGTTTTTAAAATCTAAGCTGTGTGTACATCTAGTTAATTGTTTCCAAATGCTGCAAAAAATTTCACATCGTACATCACTAAGTTTTCCTTACTCATTCCTCTGGTGATGGCCACTGAGTTTGCTGCTAGTTGCCCCCAACTCCTGAGTTTGGGCCAGGCATCCTCCTGAGTTTCCTGTGTGGATGCTGCACACCCCTGGCTTTCCCCCTTGGCATGCCCCCTTGTTGTACCATTTGTCCACTGGATGGGATCTGGTAAGCCTGGTGCTCAGTAGAGCCAATAGTATCGGGTGAATGAATTAGTTTTCCTGGAAAGGACTCTGCCAGCTTCCTTTTTGTCTGTCAAACAGTCTAGTAGAACACTTGGTATGTCCTGGTTGTCCCCAAACAGCAGATTTAGCCCCCACCCTGGCAGCACCTGTTCTGTGGGGCATCTTTTCCCTGGCAAAGCGCTTTCCCATTATTGCTTCTTATGTAGTGACTGACTGTTAGGTAGGCTGATTCTTTTTCATATTGCAAACTTGGGGAGCATGATGGCTAATTTTGTATGTCAGTGTGGCTAGGCTAAGGTGCCCATTTGTTTGGTCAAATGCCAGTCTAGATGTCACTGTAAAGGCTTTTTTTTTTTTTTTTTTTTTTTAGATTAACATTGAAGTCAGTAGATTCTGAATAAACATATTATCCTCCAGGTCTTAAGAGAAAACACTGAGGTCCCTCGAAGATGAAGAAATCCTCATGAAGATGAATCCAAAGGTGGATTCAATTTCAGCTGTCTTTGGACTGAAGACTGCAACATCAACACTTCCCAGGGTCTCCAGCCTGCCCGCCTCTCCCGCAAATTTCAGATTTGCAAGTATCCACAGTCATGAGCAATTCCTTAAAGTAAATATTTCTCTGTTTCTTTCTGGATATGTATAGGTTGTTTCTCTGGAGAATCCTGATTAATACATGAAGGGTCAAGATAAGTCTACTCCAGGGTAAGATCTTTCACATGATATTTAAGACTTGAAAGGGACTTCAGGAGACTGTCTGTGACAGCGTCTAGGAGTGACTCCCAGCAGGTGCCACCCTACACAGACGTGGGAAGTGCCAGCTGATGTTCCTCAAATCTGAGTTGAATCAGTGGGCTTTAAACTCAATGAAGACCCACATCATTTCTTTCCTCCATCTGACTTTAGAATGTAAAATCCCTCCAATGGATTCAGGGACCAAGCCTCACTTAAGCCTTGATCATTATGAACCGCTTGTCAGACTAAGCTTAGCCAGCCTACAAGGATCACAGCAGCAAGCCACATAGTGCTTTATTACATGGCCTCTCAGAGCACACAGCACCATACAATGGTTCCAAGGGGAAAGGCAGTCTGCCATCTGATCCCTGTTATTTTTTCAACTTATGCAACACCTATTACTGGGTCCCAGGCACTCAGTAAACTGCTTTTAATTTTCACAACGACCTTGCAAAGGCAGCCCCCTTAGTTCCATTTTATAGATGAGGAGATGGAGCTGGTGTTGTTAAGTCACTTGTTTGGAGCATTCAGAGGTGGGTAGTGAAGGCGGATTCAAGCCCAGGTTTGGGTTGTGAGGCCTGTGATCAGCCCATTGTGCCTCGACTTTTATTCATTCATCTATCCATCTATCCACCCACCCACCCCACCCACCCCTCCATCCATCCATCCATCCATCCAGCCAGCCATCCTCTCTTCAGTGCCAGGGTATGTTCTAGGAGTGGGAGGATCTGGAATAAGATATTTCCTTTTTCTTCAAGGGGCTCACAGGCACATTGAACAATAATGGGATGGTGAGACAGTCCTGACTTGGGGGTGTGGGCAAATTGAGCGTAGAAGTGAAGACACTATTCTTTCCTGGGGTTGTTGCGGGAGGCTGGTAGTTTCAGCGGGAGAGTGTGGCAGAGCTCCCAGCCCTATATGTATACAGGGGGCCATTGGTGGCATTGGAGGAGGGGCTGCCCAGGTGGAGTGGGGACCCCAGAGGCAGCAAGGACATTGCAAGAAGAAGGAAGAGTATGTGCAGAGGCTGTTTGGAGAGCTGGTCACTGGGCTGGGGTGGGTGTGCAGAGCCTGTGCTCAGGGATGAGGTGGATGAGGCTGGAAATGCAGGCAAAGGAAAGAGCTGGAAGGCTGTGCTGAGTGTCCTGGACTCAGCCATCATCCTGGGGATCACCTGGGGCTTTTGTTGTGGGCCAAGACAAGGGTGAGGCAAGTGAGACACTCATTTTAGGTGCAAATTTTAAGGAGAAGCCAAAAAAAACTCAGTTATCAAGATAAATGATAACAAAAATCAGTGCAAAAATGTCCATGATGAGCAATGGAGCGAAGAAACTTTGAAATGAGGACAGGAGTTGACCCTGCACTTGGATGGCTCACCTTGCTCATCTCAACCAAAACCTGGCCCTGCTTTTGTTAAAGACCCAGATTCCTGGTTCTCCCCATGGACCTGCTAGCTCAGGCTCTGCAGAGGAGAGGCCCTGTTATTTCCTAGTGCCCCGGGTGATCCTCACAGTGGTGTTTCTTCTTTCTAAACTGGTTCGTGGTTAACAACACCTATGGACACTCAGTAAAAACAGAGATTCTTGAGTCACTCCCAGACCTTTTGCATCCGAATCTGCCATAAAGCAGCCCAGAAGGCTGGAGATTGAGCACGGGCCTAGGGAGCTTCACACTGTCTGGGCAAGAGGGCAGGCAGTGGGGAATGAAGAGGAGGCTTTTAGGCCAATGGGTCTTGCTTTGATTGGCCCATATATGGGTGCCATTCTGGCTGAGTTTTCCCACTTTTCAATTTCCAAATGGGAAAATGTCCTTGTTGTTAAAGACTGCACACTACACCCCTACAGTAGGTATTCTAAGAGACTGCTTACACAGAAAGCCCCAACTCCTGGCTCAACTTTCAAGGCCTTGCACGTGTGGCCCTCCCTCTCTCTCCAACAGGCTGTCGGCCCAGGACCTCAACATTGTCTCCATCAGGGCTTCCTGCTTGAAGCCTCTTCCCAGGCAGGTCCCCCTGCTAAAGCACCTCGCCATCTCCCCTCTACTACTCTCAATGCTGCTCCATCCTTAAGGCTCAGCTGGGCCCTTCCTCCCCAGGAAGCCCCTCCACCCCCCAGAATGCCACTGCCATGGCGACTGTTCTGTCTTCTGAAGTCTCCACCTCTCCCTCTGGCAAGAACAGTTCTGTCTCTGCTTTCATATGTTCTTGTGTTTTTGTCCTACCCTGGAAGCTTCCTCTGGTTCTTCTGCCTTCCAGGGGTGCTCCTCTAGAAGCAGCGGGGCACTCCCCAAGTTTCATGGCTGCAGAGTCCGAAAACTTAGCTCGAAGTCTTGGCTCCACCTCTTCTGGTGACCTTGGACACATCCTCTGCCCTTTGGTTTCTTGGCACAAGATCTAGCTACCTCAGTGGGGGTGTGAGAGCCAGAGGAGATGGTGTCACTTGCAGGGGGAAGTGCATGATGCTAATGAGGTCATTACCATTCCTAAGTTAGAAGCCCGCAAGCATTTGCCGAGGGTAGTGCGGGCATCTCAGGACTCCATCCTCCCCTCCTCGTGGACAGCGGTTCCGGGAGCCCCAACTCACTGGCTGGGGACTTGCCTCCCACACCAGCACCTTGTCCTCTTCAGCAGGAGGTCGAGGGGGTGATTCTAGCCATCCATTCTTTCCACGCATAGGGCAAACTTAGGGTGGAAATGTTTAGAAAGGGCTTGTTGATAGCTTACTTTATTCTACAATAAGAGATTTTACAAAGATTCAAAGGGAGGTAGAGAAAGTTCATTTTAAAATGTCTTTGATTCAGTTTTTAGGATTCCAGGAGCTTCTGGAAAGCAGGCTTTTATGGAAGGGCACTTGGAAGGAGGTGTGTGTTTTAAATTGCTCTGCAACATGAACATTTTTCAAAGAGACACAGTTCTCTCTTCAAGTGCCACACTAGGAGAAACAAATGCTGTCTGAGTCAGGTGCTCTGTCCTAGCGGCATGGGAGGTGCTGGGAGGCCCAGGATGGAATCGGGGAGCCGGGACCCAGATCCGATCCTCTTGTGTGTTCCGGTACCGGATGCTGGTGTTGGCTGAACAGACTCCGCTCGTGGTTTCATCTCGGTAAAGACAGAGTAAGGGGGGCTTGTTTCTTTGTGTAGAGAGCCTGCTGGTGAGTACGAATGGAAAACTCAATTATCAGTGAGGTTAGGGGCAGGGTGAGAGGTCAGAGCCGAATGCCCGCGCTTCCTCTGGGTGCTGAGAGAGCTGCTCCTGTCTGCACTGCTTGGGAGGAGGATGCATTGATCAGGGTCAAAGGTTGTGTGTCATCAAAGGCGGTCCAGGAATAAAGGGAGCCCTTCCCAGGGATTCTAGGATGGCCTGTGGAAACCCAAGGCAATTCATGCTCAGATGTGCCTCATACCCAACAAGTCTAGAATTCTTATTACAAAATTCACAAGAGAATGTTGCTTTATCTTAGGATAGCTTTCAAAGACTTAGGACTTGAAGGTGGAGAGTTTGGAAACCCTCTCCACCTATCCTCCTCAGCCAAGAATTCTCCCCCCTCTGGGGCAGAGGCTACACATGGCTTCCTTTTTTGAGAAAAAAAACAAAAAACAAAAAACAAAAACAAAACAGTTCATTAAAAAGTTCTTTGTGTAAGTCTGGACACCCCAAAGACAGGACCCTAGCTGCCCTTGTTTCACACTTATCTTTTCCCAGGGGAATATTTCCTTTGTAGACAAGAAAAAACCACACACACAGTAACTTGAGAATTGGAAGTTAAATTTGAACAATAACATGGCTAAAGGATTGTGTAGAGAAACCATAAAGATGGGAAGAAAAAAAGAAAGACGATCTACCAAAAGACAGAGAGGTAAAAAGAAAGACAGAAATTTAGAGGGAAGGAAAGGAAGTTTATGTGTGAACCCAGAAGAAAAAAAAAAAATGCCACACGGGCAGATGCAGCCAACTATCATCTGCTGATTTAAAATACGACAAACATTCCCAATTGCAAGATTCTGAACTAGAGGGGAGAAAGGAGTTTTCCAGCAGATATATACATTTTTCTATAATCATTTCTTGTTTTTTACAGTGAAGTGCAAAAAATGAACAAGGAGGCCCAATGATGCATCTGCTTAACTTTTCAGTTGTCAATGCAAATTAAGCACAAAGAGGACAGAGTTGATGACATATCAGGAACATTTTTTACTTCCGGAGCAGGTCTGAGTCCCAGCGGAAGACTGAGGCCGACTGAGCCAGAGGCACCACTTCAATAGGTCACTGGTCTCTGCAGGGAAAGGAAAAGGTGTAAGAGTTCTCCCTGCATAGATGCTATTTGTGACTTGGATGTTTTCTTTCTAATACAAATGCATCAAAGTGTTCACAGGAATCTAGCTATATGCAAGAAGTCTGGATTATCTGCCTGAGAGAACTGGCCAGTATCTCACCCATGAGCACCAGAACCCATTTCTAGATTACTAAGAAAGGAGCACAAGAACACTGTGTATAAGGCTCTGTGTTCCTAGAACTTTCTAAATTTTACTTAATGCAGGTTAACTTCATCAACCCTGGTGAAAATGCCACCTCCTCATGAGGAAGCCTTCCCCATTTGCTCTGTCTCAGAGACACTTGACTCCATGGACTTCTCTGCAATTCTGTTCTGTGTAGGACTGCCTAGTGCCTAGCCTTCTTGTGATGTTCCTTGCTTATGTCTTGTCTCCCCATTTGATTTGGAGGGTCCTGGGCAGGGACCACTGGGCTGGGCTCTAGTAGGCCCCCTGTAAAGACCTGTTGAGTAATTAGAAGAGACAGTGGCCCCATCTGGGTGAATCCTGAATTTAATCAATTTCCTGGATCCTTGTTTATTTTGCAAGTAGGATAAGAATGTCATTGAAATCCTATCATGTAGTCATGGAAGGGCTAATACAGTCAGTGTACTGCTACTCACTAAGCATGCTGTTTAGCTCAGCGGTTTTTTGTTTTGTTTTGATAACAAGACTGTCTCGATGAAAGAAGCAGGGCGTTGTTTAATATTCTAATGCAGGCTCCTTATTTCACGACATACTGGTAGTTACACTTGGAGTCGCAGTGAAATAAAACATCTAGGCCAGCGCCGTGGCTCACGTCTGTAATCCCAGCACTTTCGGAGGCTGAGGCAGGTGGATCACTTGAGGTCAGGAGTTTGAACCAGTTTGGCCAACATGGTGAAACCCTGTCTTTACTAAAAATACAAAAATTAGCCTGGCGTGGTGATGCATGCCTGTAGTCCCAGGTACCTGCGAGGCTGAGGCAGGAGAATCGCTTGAACCTGGAAGGTGGAGATTGCAGTGAGCCAAGATGGCACCACTGCACTCCAGCCTGGGTGACAGAGCAAGACTCTGTCTCAAAAAAATTAAAGAAAATAGAAATAAAACATATAGCCTCACCCTCTTCATTTGACAGATGTGGGCTTTGAGGCTGATAGAGAGGTAACTTGTCCATGATTAGACAGCAAGAAATAGAGCTGCAGTTGGTACCAGGGCCTCATAACACTGGGTCTATAATCACAATGAAGCACCACCAGTGTCAATGCATGTAAATTTCACACCCCTTATCACACTGCATCTACAAAGTAGTGCTGAGAACTGGGCATGGCAGGCATTAGTCTCTCCACGAGGAAACAGGCTCAGAGACTCTGAAGATCCGTCCAAATGCATAGAGTGGGGAAGCAGTGAAAAGACGACGTTAGGACATCCCAGCCCTGCCCACGTTCAGAGTTTGTTCCAACACATTAGTCTTCAGATGAGCTCACTATTTTAGTCCTGCGTGCTCCAGCAATGGCCTGAGAGGTGTGGGTACGTGCTGAATGTCCAGGCCTTGTTAAAGATAACTGCAGTACGGGCCAGGCGTGGTGGCTCGCGCCTGTAATCCCAGCACTTTGGGAGGCCGAGGAGGATGGATCACGAGGTCAGGAGTTTGAGATCAGCCTGACGAACATGGTGAAACCCCGTCTCTACTAAAAATACAAAAATTAGCCAGGTGTGGTGGTGGGCGCCTGTAATCCCAGCTACTCAGGAGGCTGAGGCAGGAGAATCACTTGAACCCGTGAGGTGGAGGTTTCAGCGAGCCAAGATCGCGCCATCGCACTCCAGCCCGGGCAACAGAGCGGGACTCCATCTCAAAAAATAAAATAAAAAATGAAAGATAACTGCAGGATGGATACACAAGTGCTATTTTAGAAATTGAAATGCTCCAAGTTTTTAGCAGTTTTATCTGTAATAGAACTCAGTTTCTAAGAGGCTCTATTCCTGTGTCTTCTGGTAACATACCTACTAGTTATCTTAAATCTGTTTTTGAACAAAGTATGGAAAAGATAATACCTCAAAATGAGCCTTGATTTACACAGCAGCAGGCAAGGTCTCTGATAGAAAATACTTTGTAAATCATGAACCTCATGCAAATGCTAGGTATTACTTATATTTTGAAGCCCAGAACAATGAGATGTTTGACATTTTTCAATTAGAAGTATGGAGCTGAGATACTTGTCCATTGAAAACATAACACAACCCATAAAATTGTATTTTTTTTAAAATTTTCTTTTCTTTTCTTTTTTTTTTTTTTTTTGAGACAGAGTCTCACTCTGTCACCCAGGCTGGAGTGTAGTGGCACGATCTCGGCTCACTGCAACCTCTGACTCCCAGGTTCAAGTGATTTTCCCACCTCAGTCCCCTGAGTAGCTGGGATTACAGGTGCCCGCCACCATGCCTGGCTAATTTCTGTACTTTTAGTAGAAACGGGGTTTCACCATGTTGCCCAGGCTGGCCTCAAACTCTTGAACTCAAGTGATCTGCCTGCCTCAGCCTCCCAAAGTGGTGGTATTACACGTGTGAGCCACCGCATCTGGCCTAAGTTTCATTTTTAACAACACAGATTAGTTCAATCAAATATCTTAAATCTTAAAATGAAATCTTTTTGAACAGAAAACCAAATACCACATGTTCTCACTCATAAGTGGGAGCTGAACATTGGATACTCGTGGACATAAAGATGGGAACAATAGACATTGGGGACTGCTACAGCAGCGAGAAAAGGAGGGGTGGAGGGAGCAAGGACTGAAAAACTATTGGAGACTATGCTTAGTACCCGGGTGGCAGGATCAATTGTATCCCAAACCTCAGCATCACACAATATACCCAGGTAAGAAACCTGCACATATACCCTAAGAATCTACAATGAAAGCAGAAATTAGTAAAAATAAAATAAATGTAAAAAAATAAAAAAATACTTTAAGCAAAGCAAGCCACATACAGGAACCAAGAGGATCCTTACAAAGATTGCTTCTTCCTCTGGAGCAGACACCCACCAAGCCGACAACCACAAGTAAGTTTCCTTGCAATTTTAAAAGCCAAGGATTTGCCACACTTTTGTAGACCTCACATAAGCTCTTCATTGCACGTGGGAAACCTATGAACACTTTATTTCCGCTCACAACTTCCTGTCTGGATGTTGGCATTCAGGGGGCCTGGGAAGGGGTTGGTGGGTGCAGGGCCCCCCATGCTCTGTGGCTGCCAGATAAGGCCTCGTTTGTTATAATGAAGTGAATCAAGCTGGCCGATAAGCCTAAGTTCCCTTTTCTTTTTTTCCCCAGGAGAAGTTAGACTCCTCAAGTGTGGGGTCTAGATTTGCTGGAAGGATGCTTAGCTGAACATAGTCCACAGAGAAGGATGGGGAAGATATTTGTTTTCTAGACCTGTGACTTTTCTAATTTAAGTGGCTAACATATGATCTTTTTAAGGAAAGAGGTCTTTACACCAGCTTGGACTGCAGCGGAAAACTGGGAATTCCTTGGCAGAAAATCTCTATTCGATTTATTTTTATTTTTTATTTAGAGACAAGTTCCCAGCCTGACCAACACAGTGAAACCCCGTCTCTACTAAAAATACAAAAATTAGCTGGGCGTGTTGGCGCGCGCCTGTAATCTCAGCTACTCAGGAGGCTGAGGCAGGGGAATCGCTTGAACCCAGGAGGCAGAGGTTGCAGTGAGCTGAGATCTTGCCACTACACTCCAGCCTGGGCTACAGAGCAAGACTCCGTCTCAAAAAAAAAAAAAAAAAAAAAAAAAGAGAAAAAGTCTTGCCCTGTCGCCCAGGCTGGAGTGCTGTGGTGCAATCTCAGCTGACTGCAGCCTCCACCTTGCGGGACCAGGTGATCCTCTTACCTCAGCCTGCAGAGTAGGTGTGCACCACCAGGTCTGGCTATTTTTTTTTTGTATTTTTTGTAGAAATGGGGTTTTGCCATGTTGCCCAGGCTGGTCTTGAACTCCTGACCTCAAGCAATCCACCTGCCTTAGCCTCCCAAAGTGCTGGGATTATAGGTGTTAGTCACTGCACCCGGCTTCTATTTTAATTTTTTTTTTTTTTTTGAGACGGAGTTTCACTTTTGTTGCCCAGGCTGGAGTGCAATGGCGTGATCTTGGCTCACCACAACCTCCGCCTCCCAGGTTCAGTTGATTCTCCTGCCTCAGGCTCCTGAGTAGCTGAGATTACAGGCATGCACCACCAAACCTGGCTAATTTTGTGTTTTTAGTAGAGATGGAGTTTCTCCATGTTGGTCAGGCGGGTCTTGAACTACCGACCTCAGGTGATCTGCCCCCCTTGGCCTCCCAAAGTGCTGGTATTACAGGCATGAGCCACCATGCCCGGCCTTCTATTTTAATTTTAACACACTTTGCAAACTCAACTCACACGTTTTCAGAAAGATTTCAAGGTCTGCTGCCTCTAGGATGAAATGGAAACTCCTAGGCTGGTCTGAATGACAGCAGTGTAGCGTGGCCATAGGCAGAAGAGCCAGGCTGTGGAGGTGGCTGGAATTTGGTCCCAACCTTGACCAGGTACACCCTGGGTCTGAGTGACAGCAGCGTAGCGTGGCCATAGGCAGAAGAGCCAGGCTGTGGAGGTGGCTGGAATTTGGTCCCAACCTTGACCAGGTACACCCTGGGTCTGAGTGACAGCAGCGTAGCGTGGCCATAGGCAGAAGAGCCAGGCTGTGGAGGTGGCTGGAATTTGGTCCCAACCTTGACCAGGTACACCCTGGGTCTGAGTGACAGCAGCGTAGCGTGGCCATAGGCAGAAGAGCCAGGCTGTGGAGGTGGCTGGAATTTGGTCCCAACCTTGACCAGGTACACCCTGGGTCTGAGTGACAGTGGCATAGCGTGGCCATAGGCAGAAGAGCCAGGCTGTGGAGGTGGCTGGAATTTGGTCCCAACCTTGACCAGGTACACCTTAACAGTGAGCCAGGAAGGCTGCCCTACTTCCTGGAGGCTCAAGGTCTTGATATCTGAGATGGGGCCAATGCTAACATCTAAACTCTTAAAGTTATTGTGAAGATTAAAAGAGATAATGAATAAAATGTCTTTTACCCCCAAACACTGATGACCTCCTCCCTCACCCCCTTTTCCTCTTTTTAATTATCTTTCCAGCCTTTTTCTTGCTTCTTAATTCATTGAGGTTATCCTTAGAGGAAGGCCCTAGACACGAGGGGACCGTGTTGAATTCCATGAGGTTCCAGTCCTCAAGGAGAACATCTCCTGGGGCAAACGCACAAGTGAATGGAAGGATGGGGTACACAGGCTGTCCACGGGCTCAGAGGAGGACCAACTAACCTGGCAGTTCCCACTGTCCTTCTGGGCCTGGGTGACTCCTTTCCTAGCTTTGTGTCTACAGTTTTATTCATACCTATTGTCTGTCTTGCAAGGAATATCCTTCAGGCATTTGGGGGAAATGGGTGTGTGTACAAAGAGAGGGAGAAAGAGAGAGAGAGAGAGAGAGAGAGAGAGAGACACTAATCCTCTGTTCCCTGACCACCCAGGGCTCCAAGGAGAAATGGAACAGGACATGGCAGCCACTGTCCTTCCACTCCTGGAAGCACATGACAGTTGTCCAGAGAGCGGGTCAAGAGCCATTCGTGGGTGACAACAAAGGACTCCAGTGCAGGGAAGAAAGGCAGGCAGGATAGTTCTTATGATGTGTGGGTCACTTCACGGTCAAGGCATCCGAAGGGAAGAGGATTCAGCTGGGTTTGTATACAGAAAGGAGGTTCCAACAGGCTAATGCTGGTGAACCCTCAACCCCTCCTTTGGGTCTTTAGAGGGACCCGGAAGTGGCTACCTAGGTATTGGGCAGACTGGGTCCTCAGCCAGTCCTGGCCCCACCAAGGTGAGCCGCAGGGGCTGTGGCCAGGATTCGGGGGCCTTCTCTCCACCCAGCCTTTTGGGCCTTCAAGGGCTGAAGCAGCAGCGGGGCAGGCCACGCCCAGTGGATACGGCTTATCAAGTGCCTGGCCCCCATCTCTCTCCTGAGCACAAAAGCCTCTTGTGTGGCTGAGTGCAGAGAGCGGACACAGGCCATCCTCTCTTCTCCTTGTCATTAATGTAATCAATTTGATCTTGAGGGTGGTTTTGTTTCAGTCTTTCAAGGGGTGAGGGGGACAGAGGGTGGCATTTCTTCTGACTTTGAAGAGCAGAATGAAAGGGTTAAGCAGGAAAATTAAGCCCCGGAAAAAGATGCATCTGGGATCCTCTCTACCTTGTCAGAAAAGAATTTATGCTCAGACCTACAGGAAATTCACCTATTCTTTGGAAAGAAAGTGATTTTGTTATCATTATTGCTACTACTAATATGATTATACTTGTTTACATTTATTTATGTACATCTTACCTCTTTTTCAAAAGGATTTTAACATACCAGTAAAACAGGTTTACAATGATTAAATAAAGGAATGATGGTCAAGAGAAAATAAGGATAGAAGAACTAAGGTGATAACAGGTAAAAAGTTAGAAGTTAACATTTCCCCTCTGAGGGCCTGGGGAATGACTAGATGTGGACAAGGACTCAGTTCTGAGCTTCCTAGCAGCCACATTAATGAGGGAAACACTCACATGGTTCACAGCATCAGCAAGAAGCAAGCTGTGTCAGTAAAAGACAGCACTGTGTGATGTATCAAAAATATGTATTATCAATAAAATCCCTCTATAGATTTGAATATTAGAAGATATGGCCCTTTGGGAACTCCCAGCTACCTCTAGAACAGCATTTTCTGTTTGTTTGGTGTGTTTTTTTTTTTTTTTTTTTTTTTTTGAGACAGAGTCTTGCTCTGTCTCTGTGGCCCAGGCTGGAGTGCAGTGGTGGGATCTCGGCTTACTGCAACCTCCACCTCCTGGGTTCAAATTATTCTCCTGAGTAGCTGGGATTACAGGTGCCTGCCTCCATGCCTGGCCAATTTTTTGTATTTTTAGTAGCGACGGGGTTTCACCATGCTGGCCAGGCTGGTCTCGAACTCCTGACTTCAAGCAATTGCCCACCTTGGCCTCCCAAAGTTCAGGGATTACAGGTGTGAGCCACCATGCCAGGCCTAGAACAACATTTTCTTTTTCTTTTTTTTTTTTTAAGATGGAGTTTCACTCTTGTTGCCCAGGCTGGAGTGCAATGGCATGATCTTGGCTCAGCGTAACCTCTGCCTCCCAAGTTCAAGCGATTCTCCTGCCTCAGCCTCCTGAGTAGCTGGAATTACAGGCATATACCACCATGCCTGGCTAATTTTTTGTATTTTTAGTAAAGATGGGTTTTCTCCATGTTGGTCAGGCAGATCTCAAACTCCTGACCTCAGGTGATCCGCCCGTGTTGGCCTCCCAAAGTGCTGGGATTACAGGCGTGAGCCACCACACCCGACCAAACAACATTTTCTAAATTGTGTCTTCTGAAAAATTGATTCTGTGAGACACTAAGAGGTATTTCTTAAAAGCAGACATTGTTGCCAGATACGCATGGCAAGTCTGACACTCTAGTCCCCTCTCCGAGATTTGCAATGTAGACCACTGAGGACTCTGAGAAGTCTGCAGAAAAAAATACCTGTTTACTTTTGTTCAAACAATCATTTTCCAAACTCTTTTGATCACAGAGCCAGAATTTGGAGAAATCTCTAAATTCATGTGGCAAAAACTAGTTTTCTCAGGGTGCTTCTGGGAAATGCGGCACGTTCTTTCTGGTTCCAATTTCCACACACACATACCAAACAGGTTCTATCTCTTTGGGAGAGTTATGGTGCGCCTATGAGTCCCTTGCCATTTTCCACCTCTGCCTCCCTCAGGGGCTGGACTCCACTCAGCCAGAATGCTAGAAGCCAGCTGGGCTCTGATCTGAGGCACCTGCACCCTGGAGAGACAGAGCAAGACCTCGGGGCCTTTGCACAGCCTTCCAAACCGAGCACCCACAAGATGAATGGATCTTTCATTTCTAATATTTATCCCCTCTCATTGCATAATACCTATGCCAACGAATTTTTGTTCTATTTTACCGAAGACTTCCCAGTGAACCCAAGGGCTCTGGGGTAGGGGTGGGTAGTCCCACGGCACGGGTACCAGGCAATTACATTACAGCATGATAAATACAGATATCTCTGGGCTCTTGGGAGAAACAGAGCCCTGTGTTTCCAGGTAGGTAGGCTTCCTGGAGGAGTTGACACTTTAACAGAGATTTAAAGGATTGGCACAAGCTATATGGAAGAGGAGGTGTGGGGTTGCATTTGAGGCCTGGATGGAACAAATGGTCAGAATTGGCTCTGGGTAGAACAAATGGTGGGGCAGAGGGTGAGGCTGGGGAGCAGGAGGAAGCCAGCCCCGCAGGAGGCAGCATGAGCTTCCTGGCCAGGGTCCTGAGGAAAGGCATCAAGGGACCTCCGGGGAGCATGGCAGGGCTTTCCTGTTAGAGCCTCCTGATGATGATGGACTGTGGTGTAGAAGGATGCATGCCAGCCGTGGGCTGAGGCTGTGATCCACAGAGACGAGAACCCACCCAGGGCAGCAGCTTTGGGGCTCATGGCAGAGCCTCCGCCCTCGGCTCCAGTGGGATAATAGGGCGACATGACAAGCTCTTCGTGCTCCCTGGAGGCTTGGTGCTCCCCCTGGCTGGATGTCAGAACAAATTAAGGGCACTTGTCTCACAAGCCCCACCTGGCCGGCAGCGTCGTGGGGCCGGCTGGCAGGGGAAATGTGTCACCAGCAGCATCTTGGACCTTGGCCATTGGCCTCAGAGCAAGAAAAGCTCTCTCTGCCCTGCCTGTTTAGTGAACAATGTACAGGAGTACAAGAGACTCTATGGCAACCAAAGACCTGTGTCAGGGTCATGGTTCGAGGTTTTCTGTGCTCACTAATGTGGAAAACAGAAGCCTCATGCTACATCAGCATCGCGGCTGGTTTACATAAGCAGTCGGAGGCTGCACAGAGCCAGAGCTGGAGCTGGGGCCGGGGCAGCTCCACATCTTGCATTTGCATGTTGCTAAGTGTGCATGTGTACATGATCTCCTTTGACTTCACAATACCCTGTAACTCTGGGATTCCTTGTTATCCCCATTTTACAGACAAGGAAACCCTGTAGGTTCCAGGGAGGGGCAAGGACTTACCCAAAGTCTGATTCTAACTTCAGTGCTCTCTTGAATTGACTAGATGTGGAGGCGTCTCAGAGCTTGGTGTAACGTGAGCTGGTGGGCAGAGTCCCCTTCCCCACCAGTGTCTCCCTGAGTCCTGATGCCAGGAGGGCAGGGCCCCCTAAGGTAGGGCACCTTGAATGCATCCTGGGCTGATTCTGGGGTCTGAGGACCAAATGGCTGGGAATGAAACAGGGACAATGAGTTGGATGTTTTCATCCAGTGCTTGGAAGCCGTCCTGGAGTTACCACTAACAGTGCTGAAGAGTGGAGAGCCTCTGGGTTCTGGAGAAACACCTGGGCCCATGCTGTCCCTTCTTCCTGAAAGCTCCTCTTCTCCTGTCCCTGCATGAGGCTTCGCCCCTTCACGCTTGAGCTAGCATATCCTGTTATCTGCAAAGTGTCTTGAATCTCTCATCTGGGCTGGGTGCCTCCACTCTGTCTGCTCACTGCTCTTGGGACACCCCTCCCACAGCGCTTATGCCACTCTCAGGTCACGGCTTCATTTGTGCTTTTCATTGCACGAAGACAGAGACCTCCCATGGGCCCTCAGATGTGTCCCTAGCACCTAGTATTGTGCCTGGCACACAGAAGGCTCAACGAATATTTGATGAATGAGCAAAGGAAGAAATGAACAAATGAAAGATTTCCAATGGTAGAAAAACAGACATTAGGGCTCAGGAAAGCTTGCTCCATGGCTGGGGCAGCTGGGCTGGTGGTTCTAATTATGGGTAAATCTGAGCACTGGATCCCCTGAGCTCAACTGAGGTGTGCAGTGGCTCCTGGCATCTGCCTGCCAGTAGAAGCTTGTCAGGGTTCTAAGGCAAACAGTTATTTTGTTGAATTATGCAAAGAGTCAGATTGTTGGAATTCCATGTAGATCTCAGCCAAAGCCTGGTGATGCTTTGAGAAGATGGAAATACAAATGGAATTCAGAAACAACTATTTTTTTAAAGTAATATGTGTTTGCTATAGAAATTTTAGAAATGCGGGTATACACAAAGGATCAAATAAATAGGCTGGGCACAGTGGCTCACACCTGTAGTCCCAGCACTTTGGGAGGCTGAGGCAGGCAGATTACTTGAGGCCAAGGAGGTTGAGACCAGCCTGGCTAACATGGTGAAACCCCATCTCTACTAAAAATACAAAAAATTAGCAGGGCATGGTGGCTCCCACCTGTAATCCCAGCTACTCAGGAGGCTGAGGCAGGAGAATCTCTTGAACCTGGGAGGCGGAGGTTGCAGTGAGCTGAGATCACACCTCTGCATTCCAGCCTGGGCAACAGACAAAGACTCCATCTCAAAAAAAAAAAAAAAAAAAAAAAAGAATCAGTTAAATAAATAAAATGATTATCTCACCACCTGGTGGTATTGCGCATTAGTAGCTGGGGCCACCTGTGCACTTTTCTTTGATTCCATGTGGCCCCTCCACATGGTCTCTCCAGCACCGTGGCTTTAGGGTAGCCAGACTCCTTCAGTGGCAGCTCAGGGCTCCAAATATCCAGGTCCCAGTAAACAGACCCAGGTGGAAACGGAAGTCACTCACTCATTTTTGCCAGATTTCATTGCTGGAGGGAGTTAGATAGTTCCACCCAGGTTCAAGGAGAGGGAGCATGAATCCCATGTCTCAATGGAGGCCTACTATCCACCCCAGTATAAGGAGAGTTTACCAGATGGGATATGAAATACATTGATGTGCTCATCTTTGGAAAAGATTACTTGCTACAATTAAATCTCAGTATTTACTATTACATTGTTAATTGAAGCCAATGTTATTTCAATCAGGATTCCTTTATTTATTTATTTATTTATTTTTTGAGACCGTGTCTCGTTCTGTTGCCCAGGCTAGAGTGCAGTGGTGCGATCTCGGCTCACTGCAACCTGTGCTTCCCAGGTTCAAGTGATTCTCCTGCCTTAGCCTCTTGAGTAGCTGGGATTACAGGTACACACCACTGTGCCTGGCTCATTTTTGTATTTTTAGTAGAAACGGGGTTTCACCATGTTGGCCACGCTGGTCTTGAACTCTTGACCTCATGGTCTGCCTGCCTTGGCCTCCCAAAGTGCTGGGATTACAGGTGTGAGCCACCACGCCTGGCTGGAGTCCTTTATTGTTGCACTAAAGTCAAAAAAGAATTCTTGGCCAGACGATGTATAAGCATCTTACATTGTATGGTGTTTCTCAGGTTCCAAAAATCTTAGCAGAACTCGTTTCATTCAGGGCTTACAGTTTCCTGGTGGGGATCATCAACCCCATCTTACAGTGATGGAAACAAGTCTAGAAGGGAATTAACAAAGATTTCTTCAGTGTCAGCAACTGATGGAGCTGGAAGTAGATCTAAATAGCCTGTTTCAAACCCAGAATTCTCTCCTGTACTCCAGGTAACGCCACTGGTTGTGGGCAAAATCCACCTGTGAGCCACAGTCTAGTCTTACGAAATTGTAAAACGGATGCAGGGGGTGAAATTTCCTTTTTAATGTTTTAACTTTAGATTGGCCTTCTGCCTCTGACTCTAGAATGGTTTGTACTGAGTAAATATTAACCCAGGGCTCCATGGCCAGTGTTTTATGAGCTGGTGGAATGCCCTGCAGCAGGGGCTGGGGAGAGGGGAATTGGCTGGCCCCACATTTGAAGATGGCACCTGATGCTTGGGTCGGCAAATGTCTGAAAGGCTTTGCAGCTTGCTGGGCAGCCCAGGTGGGAACTTACCTCTTGGTGAAAGCATCAGGAATCTCCCAATCCCTCAGGTAACCCCGATCCCTCAGAATAGATCAGATGATGGCCGGGACTTGTATTGGTTCATTTTCACACTGCTGATAGAGACATACCGGAGACTGGGTAATTTATAAAGAAAAAGATGTTTAATGAACTCACAGTTCCACGTGGCTGGGGAGGCCTCACAATCATGATGGAAGGCGATAGGCACGTCTTACATGGCAGCAGCAAGAGAGAATGAGAGAACCAAGTGAAAGGGATTTCCTCTTAGAAAACCATCAGATCTTGTGAGACTTATTCAGTACCATGAGAACAGCAGGGAGGAGCCTGCCCCCATGATTCAATTATCTCCCAACCCAGTCCCTCCCAATTATGAGAGCTACAATTCAAGATGAGATTTGGGTGGGGAAACAGCAAAACCATATCAGGACTCTTTAAAGACCTCTGTAGGCCTTCAGCATTCTTTTATTCTTTTTTTTTTTTTTTTTGAGATGGAGTTTTGCTCTTGTTGCCCGGGCAACAAGCATGCACACACGTGCAATGGCATGATCTTGGCACACCACAACTTCCACCTCCAGGGTTCAAGTGATTCACCTGCCTCAGCCTTCCAAGTAGCTGGGATTACCTGCATGTGCTACCACACTGGATAATTTTGTATTTTTATTAGAGACGGGGTTTCTCCATGTTGGTCAAGCTGGCCTCGAACTCCCAACCTCAGGTGATCCACCTGCCTCGGCCTCCCAAAGTGCTGGGATTACAGGCTTGAGCCACTGTGCCTGGCCTAGCATTCTTATTTTTGGAGACCCTGCCCAACATCACATCAAATATGTTATGATATACTTACATCGCACATCATGTTATTTATTTATTTTTGCTTTAGTAAAAGCTTAAGCCTGGTGTGTTGGCACATACTGTTAGTCCCAGCTACTCAAGAGGCTAAAGTGGGAGGATCGCTTGAGCCCAGAAGTTGGAGGCTGCAGTGAGCTATGATTGTGCCACTGTGCTCCATCCTGGGTGACAAGAGAGAGACATCATCTCTATTTTTTTTTTTTTAAGTTTAAAAGAACTTTTGTAACTTTGCCTTTGAAATTATTTGGCTATAGATACTTTACTTTCACAGAAAGTTTTAAAAATTTTCTCAGCCTATTTGGGTACTCATGCAAAGTAATGAAATATAATCAACAAACTGTTTTTGAATGTAATGAAATTTTCATGAATGATAAATTCATCAATTCAGGAAGTGGCATATGAAAGAACTTTACATTTCTCAGACATTTGACTTACCATCCATCTGCTTTGACCTTGCAGTTTTCATTTTGTGTTGCAGGGCCAATCTTTTTTTTTTTTTTTTTTTTGGTAGAGTCTTTCTTTGTCACCCAGGCTGGAGTGCAGTGGTGCCATCTCGGCTCACTACAACCTCCACCTCCCAGGCTCAAATAATTATCCTGCTTCAGCCTCCTGAGTAGCTGGGACTACAGGCACCCGCCACCACGTCCAGCTAATTTTTATATTTTTAGTAGAGACGGGGTTTCACCATGTTGGCCAGGCTGGTCTCAAACTCCTGACCTCAAGTGATCCGCCTGCCTAGGCCTCCCAAAGTGCTAGGATTACAAGCGTGAGCCACCGCGCCCAGCCCAGGGCCAATTATTTTTTGTTTTCAGATCTCAAATAATTTTGCAGGACTCTAAAGAGCTGATAGCCCGGTCCTGTAGCTCTAGGGCCTAACAGATAAGATGACTCTGATTGTAATGATGCTGGTATTTCCTTGATATGAAGAGCCCCAAAGTCTCTATAGTTGTGTCTCCAAAGTGGCAAAGTGGAAGCCACATAAAGAAATCACTCCCCATTACCAATTATCTTTTCAAGTGTGTCACGTACACTGCTCTGCTGCTGCTCTGTACATGGAACATATTGGGCAGGGATGATTACCAAATAATTCTGGAGGCTCATGGCTTTGAAACACCAATGAGACAGAGAACTTGATGGTGGAAAAACTCTTCCCGAGAAGAAAATAGGCCATAGATGGGACTTGCCCAAGTCTTCCTTAGGGAGTGGGAAAGATAAGGGAGCTCACATTGCCAAAAACCCAACCCAACCCATGGTGTACTGGGGATTTTAGGAATTTCATTTGTCCCTCTGATATCTTTTCAAAGTGAAGATTCACCCCATTCTACAGAATAGACCACTGAGGCTCAGAAAGGCCAATACTTGACCCCAGTGATACAGGGACAAGATCTCGGATCTGCCTAATTCTAAGGCTCTGCTTTCTCTTCCTGCCATTGTGGATGGACAGAAGTGTGTGACATTTTTAGAGGAAATGAGCACTATGCTGTGTAGTTTGTGCTTGGAATACCAGCAGGATTAAGAAAATTGCAGGACTGATACCTTTTAGAATTTTCCATTTGCAAAAGCCACAATCCTGTAACAAACATCCCTACAACAAAAACTCAAGATGAAAGAGCCAGAGAGAAGCAAATTAAAGGCTTGGAAAGATGCAAATCAAGTCTTTGTCTAGAGTAGTGGAGCCAAGAACCTGGTGGCTTTACTCAACAGGTATTCACTGAGCACCTACTCTGTGTAGGAGACCCTGAGAGATGATAACCTCTCAGTCTTTTTTCTTTTTTCCTTTAAATAGGGATGGGTTCTCGCTATGTTAACCAGGCTGGACTTGAACTCCTGGACTCAAGTGATTCTTGCCAGAACTCCTGGCCTCCCAGAGTGCTGGGATTACAGGTATGAGCCACCATACTTGGCCAACCTCTCAGTCTTAAGTCCTCTGTTACATGTAGACACCAAGGTGCAGTGGAGAGAGAGGCTGCAGAAGAGTTGGCCTATGACACAGAAGATTGGAATTCACAAACTTTCCACTCCCTGGCAGTGTGGCCTTAGACAAATGAGTGCATCTCTGAGCCTTAGCTAACTATTTGGTAAGATACAGGTGACCATTCTTGCTCAGTCTACCTCATGGGCCTGTGATATTCTCAAAGGTCCCTGGTAAACAGGTGTGTGGAGAGTCCTCATTATGACTCCCCCTAGAGTAGGCCCTTTTAGAGGGCAGGAGTGTCTGTGTCTCTGTCTTCAGCACAGGCCTGGCAGACAGCACATGGGCCCTTGTGAGTGTGGGAGGCAATCTCCTAAATCTTAGCTGAAATACAACATTCGTCAGGATCTTCCTGCTCTGTTCACACCTTACACATGAATCCAACCTCATGGTGCACGGACCAGGGCTCTCTTCTTTGAACCTGCAGAAGATGCTTCATTAAAGGTCAACTTTGTTTGCAAAATAACTTTATGGCTCTTTCTGTAAAAGCTGAAGGACTCCAGTGGTCATCTCACTGAAAAGGAAGTTTCTTCCCTAGCAGCTGAGTCTTCACAAATAATATTCTCTTTCAATTCACACCGCAGATTAGGCAAGGATCCTTTGTAACTCCCAGTACCACAGGTCTGAAAGGGCCCTTGGAGGTCACATATTCTTATTCCTTTATTTTGCAGATGAGTTTGCTGCAGAGTGCAGAGGAACTTGCTGCAGGTCATAGATCAGGGCTGGTCTTAGAGTTATGTGTCCTTCCTTCAACTTGATGAAAACAACTCTCCTGGCACTTCTCTGGAGCAAAGCCGGCGGTCCTCCTTGGATACGGTGAGCCACCAAGCTGGGCTCTAAAGCAGGTGGACAAGTTCAGGGCCCCCTGTTAGGATGGGTTCACAGTCATTCCGAGGCTTTTGCAAGTGTTTTTCTGGTGCAGGGCTCTGCACTGGCTCTCCAAAGAGAGACACAAAATGGCTATTTTTGCAGATACACTCATGGTGGGAATGGCCGTCAGCCAAAATGCCCCGATGTGCTTCTCAGAGTGTGTGGATAGACCTCCCTTCCTCCTCCAGCCATGAACTCGCAGGGCCATGGGAGAAGATGGGTGTCCTGCAGGTCAGGGCTGAGAACAGTGGCTGACTGATGGCGACAAGGGCAGTCCTGAGTGGCCTGCACAGCACCTAGATCTGGAACCCAGAGGAGTTGTTGGCTGCAACAGCAGATTAGTCAAACTCCCAGATGGCATCTCTGAGCAGGGAGTTTGAGGTAAAAAGGCCTGGACTTCCTTCCTTCTTCACTAAAACAGGACTGGAGAATGAGGTCCTTGCACTGTAATTATACTCTGGCAGGAAACAAATAACTAAGGCATTTCTCTAAGTGAGGAAGGAAGGAAAACATCCAAGGCTCTGGGGATCCTTCAGCTTCTGCTCTTGTGGCATTGGAATAATAAGAACAACCATCTACTCTTCAATCTTTGCCAAGCCCCATGAAGTAGGTATTTTCCACCTTAGTCTACAGATGCAGGAATGGTGGGTTGCCCACAGCTGCAATGCTGGTCAGTGGTGTCACAGAGCTGGGACTGAATTGTACTTGTGCCCAACTCAGAAGCCCCGCAGGTCTCTCTGCCTCACCTGCTGTTATGTGGAGGGGGCACTTTCTCTTATGAGCTCAGCGTAGTCACAGGTGCACAGCGATGCCCAACCAGGAGGCAGAAGTCCACCCTTCACTTTCCCTGACAATTTGAGTGCCTGGGTGCACTCAAGGAAAGGGCTCCTGTTCCTTTATACAAAAGTGCTGTCTGTTCACAAGCCATGCCTCCTGGGGCTGCACCCACCCCACAGGGGCGCCTTTTTTCTAATTCACATGGAGGGACCAAGTAGACTAGTGGTGGCCTTATATTAGCTGTTGTCAATTGAACTTCTTTGGGCCTGAGTTTTTTTCTCATAAGAAGTGAGGCTCTTAGGATGCCTTCTTACTTACAAAGTAAGTGTTGGGGCTTACTTACAAACACCTGCAGGTTGGCAGATGTTTGTAGGCCGGCGTGTGTGTGTACGAATGAGAAGCATCCCTTCTTAGACTCCTGTCTCCCTGGGCTCACGGTACTTCTACTGGTCATCCCAGTTCCTGGGTTGGGGTTCACCCAACACAGGCTGCCTCAGCCTGAACTTTGCGGTGATGGATTGGTGACCAGGCCCTCACCACAGGGCTTCCAGGGACCACCAGTCTCTGGTGTAGGCATGTACTAGGAGGAAGGGATTGAGCAACCAGCTGCCCTGTGCTCTGTAAGGACCCATGGTGCACCCCCACTGCAGCCACTCTGGGGATGGACCCTAACCCGTCTCTTTCTCACTGTCTGGCTTTTGTAAATATCCCTGGCCTCTTCTTTGCCCAGCAGATTCCTGTTCTGCTTCCTCTGTCCCATGCTGAGCACACAGCATGGAGCGCAGCCCTGGGCGCACAGTAGGCGCTCTGCCCTGCTCCCTGAACTAGTGGTCAGGTGAACGAGCCCTGACTTTGCTCTGCCATTGCTGGGCTGTGTCCCTCGGATTGCGCCCCCCGTTCCCACACGCCTGGGCCCATTAAGCTTCCATCTCTCACCTCGTTATCGCCTGGGCTTGGGGGTTCTTGGCTGGGAGGTCCGAGGTGTCCCAGCTTCCCCCTAGGCAGAGCCCCTGCAGGTCTTATTTAGGGAAACCCCCACACGCAGAGGGGCATTGTCTCAGTGGGTTGAAAAGGCTACTTTCCTCCAGCTCATTGATCAGATCCCAGAGAACAGTGGGGAGCCTGAGCCCAGGGGCCGAGGCATCTTGAGGGGCTGGGGCTTTCTGAGAGCCTTTATCTCAGCACAGGAGATAAGACTCCAGTGGCTGCAGGAGCCATAAAGCAAGGAGGGGCTGGCAGTTGAGGATCCCGGGGAGCCGGGCTTTGAACTCTGCCCTCATGGGGGTGGGAAGCCTTTATGGCTGGGCTGCTCTGGGGCCGAGGTGGGAGCAGAGCCATCACGGGAGAAAAGAGTCCCCAGAGCCGGCCCCCTGGCACCCAGACTGCACGGTGAGACAACGGAGCCCGGAGTGGTGGGACCAGCGGCGGAAACAGCGCTCCATCCGGGCTTTATTGACTTGTAAACGGTACCATTAAAGAGGAAGGCCTCACCTTGGCTGGAAGCAGCTGTGTGCGCTGCCGTAAATCTAGGGCGAGCTCTGAGGCTGCAGCCGGGCCTGGCAAATGCCAAGCATGCCCTGGGCAGAAGGGGGTGCAGGCCAGGGATCCCCACCACACCCAGCTCCTAGCTCCACTGAGGGGCTGAGTATGGGAATTTATAAGAAGGATGTTTACCAGGGGAAATATCAGCGGCTAATTAGACTTTGCAAATAAAAAAACTTTTCAAACTTTGTTTTCCACTTTTTTTTTTTTTTTTTTTTTTTAAGAGAAGGGATCTCGCTTTATTGCTCAGGCTTGTCTCGAACTCCTAAACTCAAGCAATCCTCCCGTTTTGGCCTCTTGAACGCTAGGATTACAGACGTGAGGCACAGCACCCAGCCATCCAAAAAAAAATTGTTAAAAAAGAGAAAAATGTCTAGACATCTTTGAGTCTCCATTTGCAAATTTAGCCCAGAAAGAAGGACATTGAGAAGCCGAGGCTTAGAGTGGCCTGCAGAGGAGTGAGCGAAAGTCCATCACGGTTTCTTGTTCACTGTGTATCCGCGGACTAGCTCCGGAGAAGCCCAGGTCTCAAGTTTTTCTTTCTTGTTTTTTTTTTTTAACATAAAGAATAAACATAATACCAGCTCTCAAAGGTTGGCTATGATGATGGAATGGGATGAACGTAGAACACCTCACCAGTGGGAGGGGCTCAACAAGTGAATTTTCTCTCTTCTCCGATTGACAATAAAACAAAACAGAAATTGGAGATATTGGCCCTCTTTTTGTTTTGTTCCCCTGGAATTAGCTAACCTTGCACAACAAAAGGCTAGACTGCTAGCTGCCTGGGGGCAGGGACAGCCCTGCCTGGTTCAGTTTTGTAGGTTAGTTGTTAGGAAGGAAGCTGGTGTAGAATTCTGAGAATGTTTTCTACAAATGTTGGGTGAATAAAAAAAAAACAGGGGACTAAGAAAAAAGAAGGAAAGAAAGAGTGGAAGGAAAGGAGGGTGGAAGGAAGAACACAAGGTCACTTTTCCTCTGGACAAAGTCCAGAGTTTTTGGAAGAGAAGGAAAGGAGAAGCAACATTTGCCACCTCCTGCTGTGAGCCCAAATGTTATAAAACTTAGTTCTCACAACCACCAGGAGGGCCCTGAGGATAATTGCCCAAGCTCTGCTATTTACTTATTAACCAATAAGTAAATCTGTCTTCTGGGCAAGTTATTTGCTGAGTGGGTGAGTAAGTTCTTTGTGCCCCTGACTTCTCCTCTAAAATGGTGAGAATTAAATGAGATAATAGGTGTAAACCCATTATACAGTTATTGGCAAATACTAAGTGCTCGATACATGTTGGATATGGTTATGCTTCACGATGAAGAAACAGAGGTTAAGTAACTTGGCCGATTCACAAACCTGAGAAGCACGTGGCTGGATTCCCACTTTGCTTCTAGAGCTCACACCAGTTCTCCGGGGTCTGCAGCTCTTGAGGCATCACAAGGAGTGGTTTGTGGAATCCCCACGCCACATGGTCTCAGAATGTATTACCAGACAGAACTACTAAAAGGAACTCTTTAGGGGACATAACTTTTAGGCTGAGCTGCTGGAAAGGGTTAATTGGGCCACTGGGATTCTTATCTTTGTCTGAGGGATTCCTTCATTCATTAAATAACAAACAGATAAATAAACAAACAAAGCCAAAAGGAGGTAAGATCCTTAATGCTTACAGAGCCCTTACCCAGCCCAGCCTGAGCCAGGAGCTGCAGGAAGCTCAAAGCTCTAGGACAGGGCCCCTCACCTCCCTGTCTCCAGGGACTTAGTATTTGCTAATCACTGCTTGTCACAAGTAGGACATCCTCAGTGCTGTGTGTTGATGGGAATCAGTTTCTTATCGTATAACAAGGAGGCTGGATGGCAAGTGGCGTTTACCACCATCTAGAATTCTCTAACGATTCACAGTGAGAGAGATCTCAATCCAGGAACTACCATGGTCCCTCTGCGTCTGGGATTTCAGCCTAGCCTTTGTAGGTGCTGGAATATGCTTAGATAGCTCTCAGGGCAAGGCACTGTTCTGTATGTCCACACATACTAACTTATTTAATACTCACCTCAATTCCACTCCTTTACTGTCAAGGAACTGAGACACGAAGAGTTTAAGCCCACACAGCCAGCATGTGGTGAAGAATTCGACTCCGCACAGCCTGGCGGCAACGTCAGCGCCATGCAATGCTGTCTCCCTGCAAAACAGATCCCAGTAAAATGGAATTCAGTTTACAAAGTGGCTATTCATCTTCCAAGGAGGGATAGAATGAAGGAGCTAAAGACAGAGGGAGAGAAGAAAGAAATGCAGAACAGGGAGCGGAAACGGGGGCTCCTCCCTTGCAGCACCTGAGACACGTGATCTCTCTGCCTGTTCCTTCCTCCAGCACCCAACCCCCTCTGCCAGCAACTTCCAGATAATCCCACTAAGAATTCCAAGCAGGTCTCATTGCTTCTTGGAAAGTAGCCGGCAGAGGCCCACACCCTGAGCGTGCGAGTCCGGTTCCGAGTCCTGAGACTGGCAGAGAACGCTCCTGGGAGGGGTTGGCCTTCCCATTCCCCTGAGTCTGGGCCCAGGCCTGCCACATTCCATTCTTCAGGTCTTAAAAGCCTCCTATTCTTTTACAAATCACTGGTTCAGACCTAAATTATCCAGATAATTGAGCCGCCTGGCCCGTCATTTTGTTGGCATAGACACCATTTATGTGTAATCTGAGAATATTCTATCTGCCGCGGAGTTTCTTCCAAAGGCATTATTTCTAACCTTCTTTAAGAAACAAATTTCCTGTTGCCATGGAGATCATCTTTTGGCTAATTTTATCAGGCTCAGGAGCCAGGCTGGAAGCAGCTCTCTCCTGTCTCCCAGGTTCTCTACTTTGCTGAGTCCCAGGTTGTCTGTCAAACGAGGCTCTCGGATCTCAGCAGCCTGCGCATGAGACAATTCAGATGATGGCTACATTTTGGTTTTGAATTTTAAAAGCCTTGACATCATCTGCACAGGCATTTTTGATTTGTTTTAATGAGAAAACACATACAATAAAGATTCAGAGCTGATAAGTTTCATAAATGCATGCTTTCTGGAACCTGACTGTGAGGAAACTGTTAAAATGAGAAGTTTCTGAGCTAGCAAAGACTGTAGAAAATTCAGAAAGAGGAAAAGGCATTGCTTGGGCGCCAGGCCTTGTGCTGCCCTGAGGTGTACTAGGGGAAGCGGGGAATGGAGCGTGCAATTTGCCTCTTTCCAGCTATCTGGGGATAATTAAATTGCGTCAGTGCTTGGAGGGACTGCAAGGGTCATCTCTTTTAAAACTCTCATTTTATAAATTGGGAAATTAATCCAAATTCTCTGGAGTTAGATTTGGTTCTTGGGAGGGTTTGTACCCAATGTCTCTGGACTTGCAGTCACTTGGGATAAAATCCAAACGAAATCCTCCCAGGCTGGACCAGGCACATCTCCCTCCAGACTCTGAGGCACTCACAGCTCCCGTGCAGCCTGCTTTTCTCACCTCCGTGTCTTTGCACAGTCTACCTTCTGCTCTTTGGAATGCACTTCCACTTTCGTACCCTCTTGGACAGTTTTCGCTATCCTTCAAAGCTCACCTCAAGTGTCACCTTTTCAGGAATTCTCTAGGCTGGGTCAAGTTGTCTTACGAAGCCTTCACACTGTGCAATTATTTGCACATGTGCCATTTTGTCTACTGGACAGGGATCTCTTTGGGGAACGTGTTCTAGTCACCTCAGAGTTCTGGCTTGGAGGAGACACTCACTGAATGAAGAAATCAATAATCCCAACAGTTAACATAGGAGAACCTACTAAGCACAGGTATTGTATTAATGTATTGGTTCACTTAATATGAAGTGATATTAATATTAGAAGGTTGATACCTCCTAGGATTAGTGGGAATGTTAGGTGAGCTAATACATTAATAGCTAATACATTGTTTGACTGTTGAGGAAACTGAGGCATAGCAAAGGAACTTGCCAAAGGCCACGCGGCTAGACAGTATTGGAACCAGGATTCAAACTTTGGCGATTTGCGTCCAGATTTTTCACTTTTAACAGTTATGGGTTCAGGATATGCTACCCCAAAATATGGCACCTTGGCATTTTAGAAAACACCAGAAGCAGGGAAGTTTTTCTGACCCTGTCCTGCCATTCTCCCCTGAGGCAGGCCAGAAAGAATTCTCTGACCTTTCTCTAAAGTGGGTCCAGAGGGTTCCTCTTTATACCCAGACGAAAGGAATGAAGACACAGAGGCACAGATAATAATCTGGATAAATGTGTCTTACTAAGATCCCCGCCACCGTAGTTTATTCACATTCTTTTTTATTTTTATTTTTATTTTTATTTTTATTTTTATTTTTTCGAGACAGAGTTTTTGCCCTTGTCGCCCAGGCTGGAGTGCAGTGGTGCGATCTCAGCTCACTACAACCTCCACCTCCCAGATTCAAGCAATTCTCCTGCCTCAGCCTACCGAGAAGCTGGGATTACAGGCATGTACCATCATACCTGGCCAATATTTTTGTATTTTCAGTAGAGACAGGGTTTTACCATGTTGGCCAGGCTGGTCTCAAACTCCTGACCTCAGGTGATCTGCCTGCCTCAGCCTTGCAATGTGTTGGGATTACAGGCGCGCACCACCACAACGGCTACTTTTTATATTTTCAGTAGAGACAGGGTTTCATCTTCTTGACCAGGCTGGTCTCAGGCACCTGACCTTAGGTGATCTGCCCACCTCTGCCTCCCAAAGTGCTGGGATTACAGGCATGAGCCACCCTGCCTGGCCAGGTTGTTCACGTTAGATCAGACCATTTTGTCCTTCAGTCACACTTCTGAATGACTGTCCATAAAAATACCGTTCTCCAGCCAGGCACGGTGGCTCACGCCTGTAATCCCAGCACTTTGGGAGGCCGAGGCGGGCGGGTCACGAGGTCAGGAGATCGAGACCACAGTGAAACCCCGTCTCTACTAAAAATACAAAAAATTAGCCGGGCGCGGTGGTGGGTACCTGTAGTCCCAGCTACTCGGGAGGCTGAGGCAGGAGAATGGCGTGAACCCAGGAGGTGGAGCTTGCAGTGAGCTGATATCGCGCCACTGCACTCCAGCCTGGGTGAAGAGCAAGATTCCGTCTCAAAAAAAAAAAAAAAAGAAAAAAAAATACAATTCTCCTGATTTCTTTGGGTCTTCATTTCTTTCTTTTGTTTTGTTTTTTGTTTTTGTTTTTTTTTTTGAGACAGAGTCTCTTTCTGTTGCCCAGGCTGGAGTGCAGTGGCTCGGTTTCGGCTCACTGCAAGCTCCGCCTCCCAGGTTCACGCCATTCTCCTGCCTCAGCCTCCTGAGTAGCTGGGACTACAGGGTCTTCATTTCTGAAGGCTTTGTGTCACATAAAACTTACATAAATTTGTACGTTTTTCTCTTGTCAATCAGTCTTTTGCTATAGATGCCTCAGCTGTGAATCTTGTGATGGGTGAGGAAAGGTATCTTTTTTCCCTCCTATAACAGGTATTCTAGATGCCTCTTGGATCAATGAGCAGGCCTAGCGTGCAGGTATAAACCACACTTTATAGCTGAGGAAATGAGCATGATGATAAGATGCCTCTTCCCAGGTCACATGGGCAGTGAGTGATGAAGCCGGATTCAAAGCTGGAATGTCTGACTTCAAAGTTGATTCTCTTGCTGCTTCACTGTACTATTTCCAAAATTAAGTATGAAATTATGCGGCACTGACCACAAATGTTGTGGAGACCACTTCTCTTGTGAGACTTTCTAATTTTCTCTTATGATTTCCATATAAAATACTTCAATTCTGGGATCACCCCTACTCTCTAGCACAGAAAACCCCAAGGCTTATCTCTTCTTCGTACCTCTGAGACGCGTAACAAGTGCCAGTGTGACAGGGGGCAGTTCTCTCCATCACAGGGAACCTTCCCTAGTACCAAGATTGTGAGCAGATGGTTTTTATCTTAGTTCTGTTTCTTCAATTTCGATAATACATGAACGGGTCCTTTAGCCTGAAGTTTTCAATCAAAGGAATAAATGGAAAGGAATCAAACTCTCTTCACTCAAGAGACAAAGATGCTGATGCCTACTTGTATAGATGGTACCTGTAGCAGTAAAATACTTGCAATATGTCCTTGGGATGTGATCTTCTTCCTCAGTAGGAGGTTGGGAAATTCCTCTAAACTAGAAGCAGAAGGCTGGCCAGAGGCACTGTCAGTCTTGGCCTTGCCATTGGTGCCACCATCTCGTGAGGGCTCTGTGTGTTCAGATCAGGCTCGTTACTGTGTGCAGCAGAGTGGTACCTTTCATGCTGCCACCCTTACTTGTACATGTACAGTTTACTAAGACAAGATTGACATGCTGATGGCCTTGGCCACAAGGTCTTGGAGCTACACTGACCAGAGCATCTTTTTGTAAACCCTTAATTTATCCCAGTGGTCACATTCCTGCCATCTGCTCTAGCCTCTAGTTCTCACTGTTTCCTTGAGTCTTTAATTTCAGCCTAAGAAAGGGGTCCCTGTCAGACTGACTGGCAAGGGGGCAGATTTCAATACATATGACCCTATGGCTGCCTTTGATTCTCCTGCATCAGACTTCCTCTTTGTTGCATCACTGATGCAGAGGTGCAGCTCTGCATCAGGTGCAAATGCTGAAACCAGCCTTCAATGGCATGCCCCAGCTGCAAAGCCCGATGGGGCTTTTACATCCTTAAAGGTGCAGTGGTCTTGAGTGCGTGGGCACCTACCCGGCCAGTCTTTTATTTTTCTTGCTCTGAATTCCGAGAGCATGTATTCAGGCTCTACTCCACTTGGTATGTTCTGATTTGTCTGCCATTTCTCCAGGTAAGGGTCATGTTCCTCCTGGGCTATGAGACACTCCAGGCAGTGACTTTGTGTTATCCTCTCTGAGTCCTCCGTGCCTAGCAGGGAATCCGGTACAGGATGAGTGCTCAGAATGTATTTGGTGAATGAATGAATAAATGGATGGTAAAATAAGGGAAGATAATGGCAGGTTCTCTTTTTCATTTTAAAGCTAAACTTGGTCTTTATTCAATAACTTTTAATTTGAAGCCTTTAAAAATTTGGAATGAAGCCCCAAGGTCATGGGTTTGCCTGTTTTGTTTTGCTTATTATTGTTTTTTTTTGGTGGGGGAGAATTATTTATTTTGGCTTTCTTGTATGCATTGGGTGCCTTTCTGCTTGCTTTAATTCTGCTTCCATTTGAGATGTGAGTCCTTTAGAAACAGCTAACTTCTGAGATACTGGAAGAACTCCACACCAAAAGCCTTGATGTCTGGGTTCGAATTTCACTCTGCTGACATCAAGGTGGCCTTTGAGACAATCACTTCTCCCCTCGGCATGTTATTGATTTATCTATTCATAAATCTCTAAAATGTGGAGGTAAACTAGATGATCTCTAAGTCAGCCTTCCTCTCTCTCAAATGTTCTCTAACTATACTGCTTATGGTAAAGTTTCATTTTTGATGCCTGATTAGGTAGAGAGGAAACAGATCTTCATTGTCAATGCCACAGTTATTCAAGCACAGCGGTGGTTAAAAGGTCTGAGGAGGAATTCACCCGGCCAAGCTAGAGGAGTGGGAGGAAGAGCCATTCTCTGGGAGGGTTTTCTCCATCCTCCAGATTTTTCACTTTTTTTTTTTTTTTTTTTTTTTTTTTTTGAGACGGAGTCTCGCTCTGTCGCCCAGGCTGGAGTGCAGTGGCGGGATCTCGGCTCACTGCAAGCTCCGCCTCCCGGGTTCACGCCATTCTCCTGCCTCAGCCTCCCAAGTAGCTGGGACTACAGGCGCCCGCCACTACGCCCGGCTAATTTTTTTTTGTATTTTTAGTAGAGACGGGGTTTCACCGTTTTAGCCGGGATGGTCTCGATCTCCTGACCTCGTGATCCGCCCGCCTCGGCCTCCCAAAGTGCTGGGATTACAGGCGTGAGCCACCGCGCCCGGCCCAGATTTTTCACTTTTAACGAATGATGGGTTCAGGATATGCTACCCCCAAATATGACACCTTGGTATTTGAGAAAACAGCAGAAGCAGGAAAGTGTCTCTGTCTGACCTTCTGCCATTGTGACTTGAAACAAGTTAGAAGAGAATTCTCTCACTTTCTTCTAAAGTAGGTCCAGACGGTAACATATTCCAAGGTGTGGTGTCCTGAAGCAGCTCAGTGTTGCTGGAGCATGAAGTGTGAGGAAGGGGAGGAGGCCACAAGGTGTGGCTGAAGCTCCAGGCCGGGAAGGTCATGGAGGTCCTTCACACAGCGGCTGGGAGGTTGGGCTTTGTTTCAGAGGCAATGTGGAGCCTCTGAAAGATATTGGGGGTAGGGGGGCGGGGGGCCTGAGGCGAGGAGTAGCCTATTGTAGGGAATGAACTGTCATGGAAGACCCGGAAGTAGGGTGGCCAGCCTGGAGGGTGTTGCGGAGAGTGCAGGTAAGAGGTGAGAAAGGCTTGAATGGCGCAGTGATGGAAGGAGAGGAGAGGTTGACAAGCCTCCTAGAAATAAGCAGAAAGTGAAACGGCAGGAGTCAGCTCTGGTTTGGAGGTAGGGATTGGAGGCAATTTGCAGGGGCCTCTTTTGGCTGCTCCACCTCACGCAAAGTACACAGGGGCACAGGAGCCACCATGAGTTCATTGTTGGGCGTGTGGAGGTGGATGGCGGGTCAGCGGCCTATCCTGCTGGAGCTGTCTTGCAGGCAGCTGGCCATCCAAGTTGGAATTAGGGCCGATCGCAGCTGGGAATGGAGGCCTTGTGGCCTCCTCCCCTTCCTCACACTTCACACTCCAGCAACACTGAGTTGCTTCAGGACACCACACCTTTGAATATGTTACTGTCTGGACCTACTTTAGAGGAAAGTGAGAGAATTCTCTTCTAGCCTGCTTCAAGTCACAATGGCAGAAGAAGGTCAGACAGAGTCACCCATCTAAATTGTTAATGGAATAACCAAGAGTGAGCTTTTAGGGCAAGAAGACATTGGTCCAGAACAGGGCTGAGGAGACAGTTCTGTTTGAGGGATGGACAGAGGGACTGCTCACTGAGAAGGAAGCAATCCCAGGGGGTTTGACTTCAAGAACTCTAAGAAAAGAGCTTCAAGATAATGTGGTCAACAGAGCCAGACACGGTGGAGGGGTGCCGTGAGATGAGGACTGAAACCATCTCACTGGGTCTGATGAGTGAGTGTAAGTTCGTTGGAACACTAAGAACATCATCAACTTGGGATCTGTGGAACCCAAGTTAGAATGTAGACTACTCTTTTTTGCCTGTTGAAAAATGAGAGAGATACATTAGACAATAGAGATGTGGTCAAGGAAAGAATCTTTCAGGATGGAGGAGATCTGAGCCCACTGCATCCTGGAGGAGCAGGGCTGGAAGAGAGGAAGCAGTTAAAGGTACGGTGTGTGCGCATGTGTCTCCGTGTGGATGTGTCTGTCTCTCTCTCTGTGTTGGTATGTGTATATGCCTGTGTGTCTCTCTCCATGTCTCCGTGTGTGTGTCTGTGTCTGTGAGTGTGTTTGTGTGTCTCTGTGTGTGTGTATATGTGTCTGTGTTTTGTGTGTCTAAGAGTGTGTCTGTCTCTGTGTTTGTGTCTGTGTTTGTGTGTCTGAATCTGTGTCTGTGTGTATGCCTGTGACTACGTATGTGTTTTTGAGTGTATGTGTGTGTCTATGTGTCTGTGTGTGTCTATGTGTCTGTGAGGATATTGTGTGTGTGTCTGAGTGTGTGTGTCTATGTATCTCTCTGTGAGTGTGTCTGTGTGTCTCTGTGTCTGTGAATGTATATCTATGTGTCTGTGTGTCTGACTCTCTGTGTGTGTCTATATATGTTTCTGCCTCTATGTGTATGTGTCTGTGTGTCTGTATCTGAGTGTGTGTGTGTCTGCGTGTATGTCTGTGTGTGTCTGTGTCTGTGTGTATGTCTATGACTGTGTGCCTCTGTGCCTGTGTGTGTGTCTCTGTATGTCTTTGTGTGCGTCTGTGTGTATGTGTGCATCTGTGTGTATATCTGTGTGTATATCTGTGTGTATGTGTATCTGTGTCTGTGGGTGTCACTGTGTGTGTCTGAGTCTATGTGTGTGCCTGTGTGTATCTATGTGTGTGTGTCTGTGTGTGTATCTGTGTCTATATGTGTTCCTGTCTGTGTGTGTCTGTGTGTTTGTGTCTGTAGATGTGTCTTTGTGTGTGTCTGTATGTATCTGTGTCTCTGTGTGTGTCTGTGTGTGTGTCTGTCTGTGTATGTCTATGAGAGTGTGTATCTGTGTCTGTGTGTGTGTCTCTGTGTGTGTCTGTGTGTGTATGTCTATGTGTGTTCCTGTCTGTGTGTGTCTATATGTTTGTGTCTGTGTGTGTCTCTGTGTGTGTGTGTCTGTATCTGTGTGTGTATGTGTGTCTGTGTGTCTATGAGTGTGTGTGTGTGTTTGTGTGTCTCTATGTGTCTTATGTGAGTGTCTGTGTGTCTATGTGTGTCTGTGTCTATGTGTGTCCCTGTCTGTGTGTGTGTGTGTGTGTGTGTGATGGTGAATATTCCAGGGGCGGCAGGAAGAGAGGAAGACCAGGGCACAGGTAGAAGAGTTAGGCAGCACACAGGGACCCTCAGGAGGGAGTTGAAGAAGGGCCTCGTCTGGTTACCCATTCTTCCTGATGTCATAGGAGGCAAGGACATCTGTGAGAGTGGGGTGAGAGTTGAGCTGTGAGGGCTTGGGGTACAGGCTTAGACTTATCTTTGAGGAATGGGAGGGAGCTGTCCAGAGACAGGTGGAGAAGCTGCTCAGGGATCCCCGAAGTTGGCAACCACAGGTCGGTATTGCAGCAGTTTGCACAGTTGTGAAATTAAATGTTCCCCTGTAGCTTTCGGCCTGCAGCTGTGGGAGTAAAGAGGGTGGGCAGTGACGCTGGCACAGGACAAGGCTTTGCTGGGCCCATTCAGGGGACGTGGGAAAATGCTGGCATTCATCGTTCGGAGGCTCCTCTGCAGTGCTGGTGACAGCTGGAGACATTTGCTCAGGACCCATTGGTTGCCAGGCCTTGTGTGGGGTGTCGCGGTAGTGAGATAGACAGGACTGAAATTGGACTCTGGGGCGATGTGGCCCGGGCACCTGTGGAGACAACACCATCATTAAAGTCACTGGACCGGGTTCCAACGCTGCCACAAGCACGCTCAGTGGTCTCTCCTCTGCCCCAGGGTCCTCCTCTGTGATTGATGTTAATAATATTTGCTTCATAGTAATAGTCATTATTGTCAGGCAGGAATCGATGGAGCTTTCTTTGACCCTGTTGGAAACAAGAGTGAGGGGTGAGTTGAAACTCAGCTCTATCCTTGCTGGACTCCTTGAGGGGTCTGCGTGTGCTGTTTCTCATCATCCTGGTCATCATCAGACCTGCCCGTGGTGGGCTCAGGTCCCAAGTCCTTTCTGAGCCATGTGGCCCTGGTGTATGCTATGACTTTGTGCTGTGCAGATGGGCTTGTGGCGCTGGTTGAGGCCCAGCTGAGCCATGAGATGCTACCGGCCTGGATGATGGGTTATCAGAGCCCTGTGCAGACCACACAGACGGCTGCCCAGAACCCCACTGCTGCCGGCTCTACCACCCAAGCAGTCGCTAGGCCCCCCTCCAGCTGCTCTGACATTCCCTTCCCAAGGCCTAAGAAATGCTCTGGCCAAGCTAGATGATCACAGAGTTCAGTGGACTCCTGGTGCACTAAAAGAAAACACACACAGTGTTAGGGCTACGGAGGGCATGGTTGGATGTTTGAGGCAAGACTGCTGTTAGTCAAGGAGGAGGGGAAGGGGCGGTGCCGGAGGAGGCAGGACGCCCTGAAGGATCCAAAGGTCAAAGGAAACAAATATTGCAAAGCAGCTACTTTAAGCCAGGAATTCTGTAATGGTTATTTCTTTGGTTCTCTCTGAAACCCTGTTAAGCAGGCATTCTCATTTCCAGTTCATAGATAAAGAAACTGAGGCCCAGGGAGATTGTGCCGAGTCTGACTCCAAAGCCTGTGCCCTTTCCACTACACAACCCTTGTCAGAACCAGCCCTTAAACAAGGTTCACATCCAAGTCATTTATTATACATGGAAAGAGCTTCTGAGGCCTGTTGAGGCTGATTTGCATAATTCATTTTTAGAACATTAATTAGCCGGGATGTGTAATAGTTCTTGTGCCAATTTGTGTTTCAATTTCAAATGCAAATACAAATTAGCAAATGTTATTCCTGTGGCACCTTAAGGATGAAACATTTGCTGCTCGTCGTATTAATCTTTACATTTCTGAAACTATCACTGATAGAAGCAATAATATCCTCTAATTTGCAGGATTGAGAAAAAAATGTAGTCTGATGGGGGCTGGGGTGGGTGAGAGGTTAATTCTCTTTCAGCAAAAGAAAACAGCATCCATCCATCGATTAAATAGTGCTGAGTACCTACTAAATGTCAGACGTTGTGGTAGCAGGCAGAGATAGGGCCAGGGAGCACCCACACTTAGAGTTCTATAAATACACAAGCATACTATGTTGTGATGTGTATTAGAATAGGCCTGCACTTTAAGCGGTGGAACAGAAAGATTGGAAGGCCTAGAAATGTTTTCCAAAGATGGAGACACGGGGCCAGCCAAGTCTTGGAGGGGAAGCTGGAGGAAGCCTGGTCAGTGTCCTTGGTGGTGAGGGGAGCAATGGTGGCAGTGGGGATAGGATGAGAGAAGACAGAGACAAGAAGAGACATGAGAGCTGGTGTATTTGGGGAACTCCAAGCCGTTCTGCACCACTGGAACTCAGGATTATTTGCAGGTGTGACAGCAGGGGCAGGATGATGGACAGATTGCATGCTGGCTGTTCTTTGGAATTCACTCTGCAAACCTGGGGGAGCCATTCACAGAAGCAGCTGGTTAGACTGACATTTTAGAAAGCTCACCCTGGAGGCTGTGTGGAGAAATTTTGCAAGGAGGGGATTCAGTTAAGGAGTAGACAAAGGGTTGGGATAACCCACCAGTGGAAGAGGAAGTAGAGATGGGGGGTGGGGGACACTGTCAAGGGATATTTTAGGAATATCACTATAAGGAGGCAATATGGGGCGGTGCTTAGAACTCATCCCACCCTCTTGCCATCTTAGCTCTAACCTCGGGCAAGTCTCTGACCTTGAGCGAGTCTCTGCTTTAGCCTGCTCCTCTGTAAAACAGGCATGATAATAAAAATGAGCCCCATCTCATACAGTTGTTTTTCACAAAGGAAACACTCAAGAATTGATAGAGATGATAGGGAAGATGATGGTGGGATGGTTTCTAACTGGATGTAGGGGCTGAAGGAGAAAAAGGTCTGGACAAATGTCCAGATTCCTGATTGGGAATGCTGAAATGGGTGTGGTTACTCTTCATTCAATAGAGAACCTGTGGAGGCAGAGGTTTGAAAACGAATAAGTCAGTGTAGACAGGGTAGGGGCAGGGATTTGGTAGACAATCTATTCAGGTTCTAGAAGCAGTCTTCTAAAGGCAGCCCTCTCGTAATCATCAGCCCCTGTGTCCTTCTCAGCAAGTCCAAGGTTATACTCTTTAGCATCTCTAAATAAATACAATACAATACAATATAATACAATACAATACAATACAATACAATACAATACAATACAATACAATACAATACAATACATTATTGTTGACTGTAGTCACCCTGTTGTGCTAGCAAATACTAGATCCTATTCATTCTAACTATATTTTTGTACCTATTAACCCTTCTCACCCACCTTCCCCTGCCCCTACTTTGGCACATTTTGTTGGCTGAAACAATTCACAGAGGCAATCCACATTGAATGTGGAAGGTCTACAGTGGGAGGTGACTACAGCAGGATGTGGTTCATGAAGAGCCATTTTTCGAGCCCCCCCCCCCCGTGACAGATGCGTACACACGTTGTCTGTCTTCGCAATAATAAAGTAATCATTATAATGGGCCATGCAGCTAATAAGTGGCAGCCACTCCAGCAGGCCCTTTGCATACAGTTTCGTCTTTGCAACACCCCTTCAAGGCTGTTGCTACTCTCACTTCACATGTAAGGAAATTGGAAATTGAGGTTCTATAACTAGACTTTGGTCACAAAGTTAGTAAATGGTCTAAACTGGATCTGAATATGGATTACGCTAACTCTAAAGCTCATGCTTCCTTCTCTCCTCCATGACAGATGCTGTAACAGATCTTTAGAATCCCAGGGATAGCATCTAACCTAGTCTCATGGTGACGAGGTACACTTCATGGCGGTTGTGATACTTGATTGCCAACCTTCCTCCCAGTCCTAATATTTCATGTAGGTCAGTTACAGTCTAGTGTAAATGGGGTTTCATTGGGTGTTAACTTTACATAGGATGAGGCCAAATCACTTTGGTACTCTGGGACTCTGGCTAGAACTACAGGCTTTTGTTACTGTCCAGCATCCAAGTAACTTTTTTTTTTTTTTTTTTTTTTTTTGAGACAAGAGTCTCACTCTGTCTTATAGGCTGGAGTGCAGTGGTACGATCTAGGCTCACTGCAACCTCTGACTCCTGGGTTCAAGCGATTCTCCTGGCTCAGCCTTCCAAGTAGCTGGGATTACAGACATACGCTACCACACCTGGCTAATTTGTATTTTTAGTAGACACAGAGTTTCACCATGCTGGCCAGGCTGGTCTCAAACTCCTGACCTCAAGTAATCTGCCTGCCTGGGCCTCCCAAAGTGCTGGGATTACAGGCGCAAGCCACCGCGCCTGGCCCAAGATAACTTTGTTATACTTAAGTAAATAATATATGTATATATAAATATACCCAGACATCATTACACAACACATGGTGGAAAATGTTCTGTACCAACCTCTATGCTTCTAAGATGGAGACATGAAGCACCAGCAATCATTTGGTAAAGGAGAGTGTTGATAAATTAGTGATATCAAGTTTAGCAGTGACTAAATTACCTCATATTGCCATGGAAAATATACCAAGTATTAGCAAATCTACAAAGAAGTGAAGTTGCAGTGTCATATTGAGGCTGGCATACCAGAAATTTAGTTGAAAGAACATTTGTTTTTAGCAGATGACAGCTACTCAATTACTGGAACATCGTGCTGGGCAAGGCCAACTTTCCCTGTGAAAGTTAAAGCTGAATTTTGTGTTTTTTCCGCAGAGAGTGATTGCCCACCTTCTACAGGTATGTATCAGGATTTATAACCTTCGAATAAGTGTTTAGAAACCCAAGCTAGAACATATGTTAAGAAAATAGAGCAGTTTAGTAGTGACAGTTGAAAAGCTACTGTCATACTACTGTGGGGTTTTTGGTAACAATTAAACTGAGAAATGAGCAACAGAGAATCTCCCTTGGGTGAGCCTGATGAAAGTGCCCTCAAGCCTGGGCAACATAGTGAGACCCCGTCTCTACAAAAAAATAAAAAAGTTAGTCAGGTATGGTGGTGTGCCTGTGGTCCCAGGTACTCAGGAGGCTGAGGCAGGAATGTCGCTTGAGCTCAGGATATTAAGGCTGCAGTGAGCTGTGTTCCCACCACTGAGTTCCAGCCTGAGTGACAGAGCAAGATTCTGTTTCAAAAACTAAAACAAAACAAAAAACAGTGACCTCAATTTGAACCTGCAAACTTTTAGTTCCCCTTCCATTTGAGGAGCACGATGGGAAGGAACTTGGGTTCTCTGGGACTCAGTTTACCTAACTGTGGACTAAGGAGGATAGATGAGATAATATTTTTTTAGACCTCTGTCTGTTCTTTCTACAATTTCTTTAGGAATCCTTTATTGTGAAAATTCTAAATCCATCAGTCTATAGTTATTTTATGTATTATATCATGATAGTGATTTTGGATTATAGGGATTCCTCAGATATGGAAGGACAGGCTGTTTCTACAAAAAACAAAAACAAAACAAAAAGTCTCAACAGTATTTCATAGGTCTAGATTTTCATATTTATTTAAAGCTATTTGATATAATTTGGCTCTGTGTTCCCACCCAAATCTCATTTGGAATTTTAATCCCCATGTGTCAGGGGAGGGACCTGGTGAGAGGTGATTGGATCATGGAGGTGGTTTCCCTCATGCTGTTGTCATGATAGTGAGTGAGTTCTCATGAGATCTGATGGTTTAAAAGTATGTGGCAGTTCCCTACTCACTCTCTCTCTCTCCTGCCACCATGTAAGACGTGCCTTTCTACCTTGTCTGCCCTTCGCCTTCTGCCATAATTGTAAGTTTCCTGGGGCCTCCCCAGCCATGTGGAATTGTGAGTCAATTAAACCTCTTTTCTTTATATATCACCCAGGCTCAGGTAGTTTTTTGTAGTAGTATGAAAATGGACTAATATACCATCTAAATGTATTTATTCTAATTTTCTGAATTCCACTCTTTCCCAGTCAATGTCATTTACTAAACTTGGCAAGGCTGTGAATTCAACTTCTATTGTAATAGGTGCAACCTGTAGGATTAAATTTTGGGTTTCACTTTCATCTGTATCAAACCTGAAGATATAAGAAAGTGGAGGTTCTTTTAGGGCTGACACAGAAGTTTTCTGGTTTTCAGATTGTTCTTTAAGCTAGGTGTTCAAAGTCAGATCTTTCAATTCTCTTCATGTAAGCTCCTCAGTGCAATCAGAAACAGCTCCTCTCTACCCATCCAAGTTATTGTAATTATTATTCTCTACATCATCGGTAACTTGATCTCTTAGAACTTTGCTTTCAGTGAGCACATTATCACAGACAACCACAGGTAATAACGTAAGCAACTGCTTTGTCCCTGCGCAATTATAGTTGTGGTCTACTAGTACTTGAAACTTGTCTGCTAGAATGCCATTTTATTTCTCTCTCTCTCATTTTTTTTTTTTTTTTTTTTTTTTTTTTTTGAGATGGAATTTTGCTCTTGTTGCCCAGGCTGGAGTGCAGTGGCACGATCTTGGCTCACTGCAACCTCTGCCTCCTGGGTTGAAGTGATTCTCCTGCCTCGGCCTCCCGAGTAGCTAGCTGGGATTACAGGCATGTGCCACCACGCCCAGCTAATTTTTTGTATTTTTAGTAGAGAATCACTGTGTTAGACAGGATGGTCTCGATCTCCCAACCTCAGATGATCCACCCACCTTGGCCTCCCAAAGTGCTGGGATTACAGGGGTGAGCCACTGCACCCGGCTAGTATGCCATTTTCACTATACATCTAGATAACTAACCTCAGGTTCGCAATTTTGAAGTTGGTTGCCAGGGTCCAAGACTGTTGATGCCATGGAGCTGTTGGAATGACTGCTGCTATTGCTGCAAACACATTGCTTTTCAGGAAATCAGATGCCTGCTGCTGTTAAGAGCACAGGCTCTTGGGAGGTCACAGTGGCTTGCTTCTGTTCTGTTCCTCCAGGGTCAGAACCCTCAGGTATCAGGCCCCTGAGATTGCTGACATGCTGCTGCCACTGCTAGAGTCAGAGTCTGTGAGTGCCATGCTGCTGGCACATCCCTTCTCATAATGTCATTACCAAAGGATCTGTGCTGCCTGAGTAGCAGAAACCCAGGATTCACACTTGCCTGCCACTTTTGTTGCTGCTGCTAGAAGCAAAAGTAGGAAAAACAAAATGGCTTCTCTCTTTCTCCTGCCTCTCAAGAGGAGTGTCTCCAGGCAGTGTCTCCCAATGGCAGAGCCCTATCTAAAGCCAGCTGGCAAGGGAATCTGGGCTGTGCATATATGTGGTTTTCAGGCTTCCAGGCTCCTGCAATTCAGAGCAGAGAGAGAGAAAGAGTGAGGGGGAAAAAACAAGGAACTGGGAATAGAGCTGTTAGCAATCTGTAAAATGGTTGGTGCCTATATTATACACCAGATAAGTTACTAGGCATAATATAGAATTGAAAAAAATTGAGCCTCATGGCTCAAGTATCCTACTTATTTTCCTTCCTTTATCCATGCAATCCAACTTTTCAGCTCCTCTCACTAAGAGGTGGGCCCTACTTCTTCATCACTTGAATCTTGGCTTGCCCTGCGACTTATTTTAGCTAATAAAATATAGCAGAACTGATAGTGCCAGTTCTGAGCCTAGGCCTCAACAGGACCTCTGTGTTTTCACTTACCTTCTTTGAGTCATGCCTCCACACAATAAAAAGCCCAGGTTAGAATGTTGGAAGTTAAGATACATGGAGCAAAGACGAGTTGTACCAACTGAGGCTTCACTGTAGACCAGTTAGCCCTTAGTCAATCTGCCAGCTAACCATGAACACATGAGTGAGTTCAGCCGAGAACGGCTAATTCCAGCTTCCCAGACAACTCAAAGATTGGTGATTTTAAGCCACTAACTTTTTGACTGATTTGTTATGCAGCAATAGCTAACTGATACATCTACTCTCAAGAGTGCAAAACCCAGCAATGAAGAGATAACACACACATAGAGAGAATGAAAAGACATGGTTATGTAATGTATATTTACTGCTCATTAGATTATACAGTATGTCACGCTCAAAAAATTTCCAAGGAGGGGAGGAAGTTCCTGTGGACTGAATTTTTGTGGAGTCTTTCAGTAAGAGATAAAACATGAGCAGGGCCTCGAAAAGTTAGCAGTATTTCAGTTGACCCAGATGCAGCAAAATATTTAGGAAATAGTACAACAACAACCAGTCTTTTTTTGTTTTGTTTTTTGTTTTGTTTTGAGACGGGATCTTCCTCTGTTGCCTAGGCTGGAGTGCAATGGTGCAATCACAGCTCACTGAAGCTTTGACTTCCCAGGCTTGAGCCATACTCCCACCCTCAGCTTTGCAAGTAGTTGGGACCACAGGTGCATGCCTCCGTATCTGGCTAATTTTTTTGATTTCTTTTAGAGACGATGTCTCGCTATATCACCTAGGCTGGTTTTGAATTCCTGAGCTCAAGTGATTTTCCTACCTTAGCCTCCCAAAGTCCTGGGATTACAGATGTGAGATACTGCATCCGACTGACAACCAACAATTTAACACAAAGATCAAATGTATTGAGTGAAAATTTTGAAGAAGTCATCACTATCTCTTTCACCTACATTAATATTCCTTGTTGGGCAATAGCTGAGTGCTGTCAGAGTAATGAAACATGTAAACAAACCCATATATTTTTAAAACAAGTTCAATTACTATAAACATTTTTCAAACTAGCGCAAAAGTCTATAGTTATTGAAGAATAGTTGGAAATTACAAAGAAGAAACATTTCTCATCTAATCTATAATCCCACTTACAGAAGCAGTCACTATTACTGTTTTAGTATATTTTTCCAATCTTTTAAAAACACATATTCACATGGTAAGTATCAAATGGTAAATATAATTTGTGTAATTCTTTTGCCCTTTTTGTTTTAGACAGGGTCTGGCTCTGTCACCCAGGCTGGAGTGCAATCTCGGCATACTGCAACCTCTGCCTCCCGGTTCAAATGATTCTCGTTCCTCAGCCTCCTAAGTAGCTGGGATTACAGAAATGTACCACCATGCCTGGCTAATTTTTGTATTTTTAGTAGAGACAGTTTTAGTAAAGACAGTTTTGCCTTATTGGCCAGGCTGGTCTTGAACTCCTGGCCCCAAGTAATCTACCCACTTCGGCCTCCCAAAATACTGGGATTACAGGCATGAGCCACAGAGCCCAGCCTACCTTTTCTATTTTAATAAACATTTTCACATTTATTAAATTGTCTAAAAAATGTAGTTTTTAATGACATCATAATATTTTACTTTATCGATGTACCATTATTTAATCTTTTCCCTGTTTTGGACAATTATGTTGTTTCCTGTTTTGTTTTATTGTAAGTAGCTCTAGGACAGCCACCTTTCTGTATAAAACATATTTAGATTATTTACTTAATATAGCTTAATAGAACAAATTTTGTGCATTTTTAGGGGGTGGTGGTATATATTGTCAAATTTCTTTTCCAGGCACCACTTATTTTATTGCATCTTTCCTGAGTTGAGCACAGGCAAGTATATACATGTATATAGAGTTACTTTAATAAACACAAATCGGAAAACCTGTTGTTGTTTTAATTTGCATTTCCTTAAGTATGAGATAGCCTGAACATTTTTTCATGCACTTATTGACTCTTTGCTTCCCTTTTTTTTTTTTTTTTTTTTTTTGCGTGTGAACTGACTGTTCATGGTCTAGAGAATTGATATCGACATCAAAGTTCTTTTGTGGATGACCAGCTGCTCCTTGCCTCCCGTGGGATGTGGGCTGTGCAGTAGGGAAGCTGTCATCTCCGATAAAAACGCCTATAGGATGGGCTGCCTCACATGGCCGTCCCCGCAGCTGTCACCAGGGTGGCATTGCCAGGGCTCTGCTATAGACAGCCCATCTACACGGGAGGACTTGGAATCTCAAACCTGAGGCTCCATTCATGCAGTTGCCTCCAGGGCCCTGAACGCTGCAGCACTTGTGCCCTGGGGGTTGTTTGCTATATATGATAGAAGCATTTTAAGGGCTTTCAATTTTCCAGTGGTATAAGGCCCTGCTGTGACCAAGAGGAAAGTAGGTACCATAAGGCCATGTTGCACTGGGATATTGTGGGCTGCTTGGCCTGCACTTGCCCGTTTCTTCTCTGGCTCCATAGTGTGCAGTGCTGAAGTCGCTAGTAGTGAGCTTTTGAGCCTCATTACCTATCTAGAGTACCGTGTGCTTCTGCAGCAAGCCACCTGTTAATGTCAAAAGAAACCCAGATTTGTGCATATTCGCTGGAGGCAATATATCCATTTTGGCTCAGATCGAGCTTGGTAATGTGAGTGATGACGATAACTCAGAGATCAGCTTGTTGCTGTTCTGTACTCTGTGGCATTCAGAACACCCTTTTATTGCAGCATTTATCTCTCAGTGGTTTAATTATCTACTCACTCAAATGCTTGTGCCTCTGGAGTCTGAGCTCCGAGTGGGAGTGGGAGCAGACAGCATTTTATCCATTGCTGTATGTCCAGTGCTCTGTATAGGAGCTAACACACAGCAATTGCTCAGGAAATATTTTCTGAACCAAAGGAATATCATCATTTGGATTCCGAGGAAAAGAAAACCTCATAAAACCTTGGATGAAAAGGTAATTTGCCAATGAAGTTTTCAAAAGCAGCTAGCAACAGGATGGCTCTGGTCCCATTGCTGCTGCAGACTCCCTGCCCAGTGCTCTCTCCTGTGCATGCTCTGCAGTCCTGAGCCAGAAGGCCCTGCAACAGACAGGCAGCCATAGTCCTTGCAGTGGGAGAAGAAGGCCAGGATTCATTGAATCTTGCCCAGCTCTCATAACCAAGATTTTTCCATTTGGTGTGTTGTCACAGATTGAATTACGTCCCCCAGGCCAGGAGTGGTGGCTCACACCTGTAATCCTAGAGCTTTGGGAGGCTGATGGGGGCAGATTACTTGAGTTCAGGAGTTTGAGACCAGCCTGGCCAACATGTTGAGACCCCGTCTCTGCTAAAAACACAAAAATTAGCCTGTGTGGTGGTGCACACCTGTAGTCCCAGCTACTGGGGAGGCTGAGGCAGGAGAATCTCTTGAACCTGGGAGGCAGAGGTTGCAGTGAGCTGAGATAGCCCTACTGCACTCCACCCTAGGCGACAGAGTGAGACTCTGTCTCAAAAAAACAAACAAAAAACTATGTCTCCCAGAATTATTGTCGACATCCTAACCCTCACTACTTCAGAATGTGGCTTTATTTGGAAATAGGGCCATAGAGTCATTGAAGATGTCATCAGCTAAGTTGGGGTTACATTGGAGCACGTGGACCCCTACTGCAATATGGCTGGTGTCTTTATTAGAGGAGGGAAATTTGTACATGGTAACAGAAAGGGAAGACAGAGGCAGAGATTGGAGTGGGGCTGTGACAAGCCAAGGAATCCCTGGGGCTGCCAGGAGCTGGCGGAGACCAGGAAGGATCCTCTCCCGGAGGCTTCAAGAGGGAGCATGGCCAGATGACACCTCAAGGACTTTTATCCTTTAGGACTGGGAGAACATTCAAACCCTCATTTATCCTTAGAATTGGGAGAACAGAATAAATCTCCGCTGTTCCAAGCCCCTGGGTTTGTGGTGCTTTGTTCCAGCGGCCCTGGGAAATAAGCACACATGGTTTGGTATTGCCTCCTCTCCTGTGCAGCCAGGGTTAATACGATAAAGAGGAAACCATGGTTTCTTAGTGAAATCCTTCTGCTTGAAAGACAAATTCAGCATCTGAGGACCTGGTTTGAGGTCTGGTTTGAATGTGGTCAAGAAGTGCAGCCTGTGGCAAATCCCTGAGCTTCTCTGAGCCTCGTTTTCTTCACCTGGAAAATAAAAATGACAATGTACACCCAGTGGGGCAGTTTTGACCTCAGATGAGAACGTGGGCGTGAGACTGCTTGGCTGGCCTGCAGCTGGGATGGGCCAGAAACGCTGCCCAGCCCAGCCCAGTCCAGAGTCTCCGTGTTTTCTCCCCTTCTATGTCTCCTTCCCCCATCTGTGGCCCTCTAATGGCTTTGGCATCTCTGTGGTCCATTTCCTGGAGGGTGTAAATTATTTATGGGACAGACATATCAGCCTGCAGGCGGAGGCCGCTGCATCAGACGCAGCATTGTGCCTGTAGGAGGAGGCTGGGGATCAGCCTGACCTGGCCCTGCTCCCCGCTTCCCACCCCCTAAAGGCTGCCTCCAGCCCTGTGCCTCCACCACAGGGACCTTGCACTGCTCCCCGGGGCTGTCCCTGGAGCCCTCCTCCCCTGGCCTCGGCCATGCACTCTGAGCCACTGGGTTTCTCTCTTGGAAGGAAGCTTGGCCTCTTACTGGCCATGAATAATAGATAAGCGCTTAGGGAAGGGGTCTGGTGAGGACACTCCCCTCGTTAGTGATCCTGATATCACCCCTGAGGAGCCCCCTCTCCACGCAGCTTCTGCCCCCAGCACACAGGCTTGGGCTGGGTTGGGTGTGGGAAGCAGGGTTTTTCGAACCATTGATAGAATGGCTGAGAAGAGGCTCTGAGCCCACTCAGGCTGCTGCCTCACTAGGGAGAGTCCAGAGTGACTCTGGTTACCCACCTGACGATGCACAGGATGGTTTCCCAGCAGGAAATGGTGTGTCAATATCCCTGTGCAGTTGTTCTTGGCCTGGGGGAGAGGAGGGAGGTAATGGATTCTTTTCAGTGTCCAAGGATGCTACAGATGCTCCCCAGAAACCGCACATGTGCACAAACACAAAGACTCGCAAGCAATCTCGGCAGGTCCCAGCAGGTCCCCTGACCTCCTTGCTAGTGGTCTCTTGTACTGAATTGAGCCCAGTTTCTGAATTCAGACAGACTCACATGTGAATCCAAACTTCACTAGCTCTCCACCCATCTGCCTGGGACACCTTCCCTGTAGCCTCTTCCTGCCTCAATCCTCAACCTTCAGGTCTCAGCAAAAGCCTTCTTGGGCTCCCAGGATGAGTTTAGGTTCTGGCACTCTTTATTTTTCTTTCCCTGACGTTTGTGACACTGGTTCTTATGGTTTTATTGTTGGTCTTCTCTACAAGGACAGCAGTCACTCTGTTTTCTTCACCACTGCATGCCAAGTGCTTAGCACAATGCTTCTTACCCAGCAGGCACTGAGCCAATATTAATCTTGGATTAGTCACTCAACTTTTCATACTACTCTGCCCACAGAAGGAATGGTCGGATCCACTTCCTAAAATAAAGCTAGGTTATATACCGGGAGAGGATTTCCGTTTATCTTATAATGACTTTGAGATGCATCCTTATTTTTATCTGGTCCCCTAAGCTTGGGGGTTTGTGGATCAGAGGTGATTTGCATGGTCCTACCCCATACAAACACTGGAGGCAGTATTTAGGACCCTCTGTCACTTACCATGGCTGACTAGTTCTGGCCTTTTTACTGGAGCAAGAGGAGTATACAGGTACTAGACATAGCTTTTCCTAATCAAGGAAAGGCATAATTAAACCCTGGATAAAGGAGATTGAAGAAGCTTTTCAGGTTGCTTTGTAGTTTACCAAGGGTCTGGGGCAGCAACGTAAGGGTTGAAACCACCTTGGGGGCAGAGTAGGGGACAGGAATGAGAGGGGAGAAATGAGATCACCACTTGTGAAGCTGCCATGGACCAGGGATGGTGCTGGGTACTTTCTTTATTAGGTTATTCATTTCATGTGGGCCCGGGGATTAAGTACTTTAATATCCATTTATAGAAGAGGACACTGAGGCTCAGAGTGGTCATATGCCTTGCCTGAGTTCACCTAGTTCATACACCGGGAAGGACGGGGCAGGGATAATATTTTAGCATGCCATGTGTGCTGAGCTTCTTTCTTTCAAATCACGTGTGCATTTTGTGAATGGTCTTGGCCACAAGTTCACATGCTGGGAGAAGTAGATATCACTGTGTCCATTAGATTGGTGAGGGGTGGTAATGCTTGAAGAAGTGAAGTGGCTTACTAAGGATTGCATGTCTCGGAGAGGCTGTGTGGCCAGGGAGGGAAAGACTGCTGGTTGAATGGAACCCGAATGAGTGTTCCGGGATATCGATTCATCCTGCCCTGCTCTCCTCTCCTTTGATGTGTCAGGCCTGAGAGCCCCTTAGCTGGGGAGCTCTACTGTCATCAAAGTATTGTCTTCTATAGGGACAACATTTTCCAATTTCCGAAGGACTTTTATATCTACTAGGCCCTGTAACCTCCAAACAGCCCTTCAGGGTAGGTACTATTGTTCACAGTTTAGAAGTGAGGAAACTGAGGCTCCACAATTTTGTGCAACCTGCACAGGGGCACACTGCTAGGAGGTTGCGGAGTTGGGATTCCCTCTGACCCATCTTCTGGTCTTCCACAGTCAAGGTCAACCCTGGACTGTGCAGGCCAACGACCTTGGTCTCCCTCTGATCTCCCGCTGCGCTGGGCTCGTTGTTCCTGGATGGAGGGTTGGCTCCCTCACTTTGTTAGCCCGACTGATAAGAGGAGAGCTGCTTTCCAACAAACCAGAGACTTGCTTGGGGTCGTGCAAAAGAAACATTGACTCCCTTATGTCACAAGGAGCCTGTGGGACCTTGGTTTGTGGCCACATCTCTGGATAGTGACTATCTGGAAATGTCTCGTTGGCTTCCTGCAGCATGCCAGGGCAGAGCGTCAGCCAGCCGTAGTAAGAAAACACACTCAAGTCACTTGTCCCTCACAGAGTACATAACCTTCACTCAAATGCAATTTAACAGCTGCCCAGAATGTATTTGTTTCTAACGTATCTTTTAAAATTTTCTTTGTGCTGCTAGATCTAACAGAAGTGATTTCTGCATGTGAGTGACTAATAGATCCTTTTACCTTGTGATTCATTTTTTCAAAAAAGATTTGCCAACAAAAATTGCATTTGGTATATAATAAAAGGAATGTCATAGAAGTTTGGAAACATAGAAAGATAATAGGTTGACTAATGAAGACCACAGAACACATCTAAGCTGTGGACCTCTGGGCAAAGATGTACCCCTTCTTAGTTTTCCTGTTTGTGAAAGTAGGGGGAAGGGAACTAGCTGACCTGGACACTATTCTGAGTGAGGTGCAAAATTTCATTTAATCCACACAGCAACCCCAGGGAGCAGGAGGTATTAGCATCTTTGGGGCTAATGGGGCTTCAACAGGAGGCTGGTAGGGTCAAACTGTCATTCCAGAGGAACCTTCTGAAGACTAGGTGGTGAGGGGGCTGGAGAGAGAGGAGACCAATATTAAATGGCGCCAGCAAAAGCTGATGAAGTCCTGAACCAAGGCAGGGAAGAGACGAGACCATAGATGTGGCTGACGCAAAAACGCAGCATCCATCAGGGAAGGTGTGAGGTCACCCAGGAAGACGTGACTTCTGAATAATGCGTGGACCAGGAGGACGTGGCTTCTGGGGGACCCCACACCTTCCCCGATGGATGCTGTGTTTTTGCATCAGTCAAGATGAGAAAATGAGGTTCAGAGTCTTCACCTAAAGTCTTATGAGTAGTAACAGAGGTGAGTGGGGGAGGAAGCACTTGTATTTGTCCGATTGCATAGACATGTGCTCCTGGGAAACCCTATACCTTCCCCGAGGGACACTGCATTTTTCATCAGCCACATCTATGGTCTTGTCTCTTCTCTGCCTTGGTTTAGGACTTCATCAGTTGTCCCTGGTGCCATTTAATATTGGTCTCATCTCTCCCCAGGCTCCTCACCACGTAGTCTCCAGAAGGTTCCTCTGGAGCCACCGTCTGACCCTACCTACCAGCCTCCTGTAGAAACCCCACGCTGGCTCCCAGTTGACCAGAAAAACAATTTTTAGTGTGGCATTCAAAACTTCTCACTTGTCCACAGTTTGCCTTTCCAACCTTTAAAATAAACACCTACATTTGCAAGAGTAATGCACTTTATGGAAGAAGATCTCATATATGTTAACCTCAGCAGCTTATTGTATCTCTTATTTTCAAGCCAATAGGTCCAGACACCATTTTCTAAACATTTGTATATATGTTTCTGCCTTGAGGCATTTCTTCATGAGCTTTCTTCTGCTTGAAATGTATTTTTCCTTAAATTCACATTTTCTTTTTCCTTCAATGACCCTTCTAATGGGCACCTTCTCCAGGAAGCATTCTATGGTCTCTGTGCCATGCCAGAATCCACTCTTTGATTTCCGCAGTACCACAGAATGCCAAGCTTTCGGAGGGGAAGATTTGTGTCTGAGCCACCGCCATCCCTCCCAAGACTCAGAAATGCCTCATGAAATGTTTGTTAAACCAAAACATTAGATAGCATTGAATTAATTTGTATCAATCAATACTATTGCTTTCTGAATGAATGCAAGTTGGGTTTAATAATTATTATTAACCAGGACTGTGAAATATAATAGAAATAAAGTGACCAGATCCTGGCAAGAGGAGGGCAGCGAAGATATGCCTCGTTGGGTGAGCTCTGGGGAAGGGTTTTCCATGTTCTCCATTGGAACTAAGGGTTTGAAGGGGCAGGTGTGGGGCCCCTCAGTCTCCAGGGCCATCCCTGCCTCTCCTTCAAGAACCTTCCAGAGCACTCATTAGCCCACATCCTGCCCCATTCAAATAGCACAGTGGTGCCCAAGTAATTTGACAGCAGAGGGATGGCAGAGGAATATTAAACATAATAGACATCCTGGTTGCTAAAAGGTAACCGTGTTTTACCATTGCTGCGCTGTCCCTGACTAGGTGCTCCTATGTGATCTGTTTTCTTTTTCACTTCCTTGTTAATTCTGAGGCGTTCCTTGACCTATCCTTGGCAACCTATGTGCCAAGGATTATAGTGTTGAAAAGATGGAGAAGGCAGTGAGGGAGAAGAAGAGGAGATGAAGAGTGGGAGAAGTGTTTATACTCAAACACACACACATGCATGTGCACACATACGTGTACACACATTGCATGTACACACATACACACACCTACGCACCTACACATACACACATACACACACACACACACACACATACACACACACACACACACCACGTCTATTGCCCTGCAGTTATTTGCAGTTGGTCTTGAGAGATCTGATGGGCAGGTGAAAAACTTAAGAACAGGATACCACAGTGAAGCACAAAATGCAAGGCCCCGCCTTAAGGGCTTTGCGAGTTCTGTGCACTCCTGAAGGGTGATGGAGCATAAGAGTGAGATTACCTGAAGGATTCATAGGATGCAGGCCCCTTTAAAGAGCTAGGGTCCTGGCAGGTTTCCATTCTTTGAACCGTTAAACTCTTAAGTCTCTCTCAGTTAATTGGCACAATGCAGCTTGCCCCTTTGGAAATGTGGAGCCCCCGTTGGGAGTGTGGAATGATGCCCCACTGGGGTCTAGAAGGCTGGGTTGGGCAGACCTGATGGTGGCTTCCTATGACAGGGGAGACCTGGGAGAAGACCCTGGGATCCGTCCTGCAGGAACGTGGAAAGCACAGCCTTTGGAAGTGCTCTTTGTCAATATCATCCCCTGCAGGGCTCGTCTGAACCTCTGCTCTGAACTGTGCATTTTTAGGTGTCTGTGTGTTGGGGGCGGTGACGCTGATGGTGTTGTGACTGTGGGAACTCTTTCCTCTCTCCTCTTCATGGCGTTACTTCATACAGCAATCTGCTCAGTTGTCACCTCCTCAGATTAGATCTTCCCTGGCACTCCATCTAGAATAGTCCCTCTCCCTGACTTTATTTTGAAGCATTTTAAGATGGCCTCGGTCGGGCGCGGTGGCTCACGCCTGTAATCCCAGCACTTTGGGAGGCCGAGGCGGGCGGATCACGAGGTCAGGAGATTGAGACCATCCTGGCTAACACGGTGAAACCCTGTCTCCACTAAAAATACAAAAAATTAGCCAGGCGTGGTGGTGGGCGCCTGTAGTCCCAGCTACTCGGGAGGCTGAGGCAGGAGAATGGCGTGAACCCGGGAGACGGGGGTTGCAGTGAGTAGAGATCGCGCCACTCCACTCCAGCCTGGGCGACAGAGCGAGACTCCGCCTCAAAAAAAAAAAAAAAAAAAAAAGATGGCCTCTTTTCCTGCAGCAGAATGTAAGTGTCATGAGGTCAGGGACTCTGTCTGTCCTGTTCACAGATGTGTCCTCAGCATAAGGAATAGTACCTGACACTTAGCAGATCCTGGATAATAACAAGAATAATTCCAAACTACCACTTGTACATAAATAATTACATGAAAGGCACAAGGCAGCTATCATTTTCTGACCATTTAAGTGTTCTATATATACTTTTTTGCATTGAATTCTCAAGACAAAGTAAGATATACAACACTAACCGCCTTTTTTTTTCATAGATAAGAGGCATTTAAGGCTTAGAGAAGTTAAGTGACTTGCCCAAAGCCACACAGCTGATACTTGGCTGAAGGAATAAAAGTGATTGGGTTACATATTTAAATTCCCCAGGGGGCAAAAATCAACTCAAAGTGGATCAAAAACTTAAATCAAAGACCTGAAATCATTAAAATCCTACAAGAAAACCTGGTAGAAACTCTTTCAGACACTGACCTAGGCAAAGAATTTACGACTAAGACCTCAAAAGCAAATGCAACAAAACAAAAAATAAATAAATGGGACCTAATTCAACTAAAAACCTTCTGCATAGCAAAAGAAATAATCATCAGAATAAACAGACAACCCACAGAATGTGAGAAAATATTTGCAAATTATGCATCTGACAAAGGTCTAATACCCAGAATCTATAAGGAACTCAAACAAATTAGCAAGAAAAAAAATCCCATGAAAAGGTAGACAAATGACATGAATAGACACTTCTCAAAATAAGATATATAAATAGCCACAAACATATGAAAAAATAATCAACATCACTAATCATCAGGTAAATGCAAATTAAAACCATAATGAGATACCACCTTATCCCAGCCAGAATGGCCATTATTAGAAAGTCCAAAAACAATAGATGTTGGCATGGATGTGGTGAAAAGGGAAGAGTTTACACTGCGGGCAGGAATGTAAATTAGTCCAACCTCTATGGAGAGCAGTATGCAGATTTCTTTTTTCTTTTTTTTTTTATTTCGAGATGGAGTCTTGATCTGTCACTCATGCTGGAGTGCAGTGGCGCGATCTCGGCTCACTGCAACTTCCACCTCCCAGGTTCAGGCAATTCACAGTGTGGAGATTTCTTAAAGAACTAAGAGTAGATTTACCATTTGACCTGGCAATCTCACTAATGGGTATTTACCCAAAGGAAAAAAAGTTATTATATCAAAAAGATACCTGCACACCTGTGTTTATAGCAGGACAATTTACAATTGTAAAGATGTGGGATCAACCTAAGTGCCCATGAACCAATGAGTGGATAAAGAAAATGTGGCATATATACACTATGGTATACTACTCAGCCATGAAAAAGAATGAAATGTCTTTTGCAGCAACTTGGATGGAGCTGAAGGCCATTATTCTAAGTGAAGTAACTCAGGAATAGAAAAGCAAATACAGTAAATTCTCACTTATGAGTGGGAGCTAAACTATGAGAATGCAAAGGCATTCAGAGTGGAATAATGGACATTGAAGATTCCGGAGTGTAGGAGGACCTGGGAGACAAAAAGTTATATATTGGGTACATGTACACCACTCAGGTGACAGGTACACTAAAATCTCAAACTTCAACACTAGCAAGATTGGTGCAGAGCAGCTGCGGGAGGCAGTGGTGTCGTCTGAGAGGGTCCTATGGACCAGCACCCCTGCCTGTAAATTCTTATTATTACCAGGTCTGCCTCATGGGCCTGTACAGGGTCTAAAGGGTAAACTTAGGAGCTATGATACACTGGCTGCACATGGGCAGGGCTGATGATGGCTGTGCAATGTCAGACGAACTTTGGATCTAATCTTGGTTCCGACACTTACCGGCTAGGTGACCGAAGCCTCAATGACCTCAGATGTAAAATGGTAAAATAATGATAAAGTTAAAAAAAAAAAAAGGCCGGGCGCGGTGGCTCACGCCTGTAATCCCAGCACTTTGGGAGGCCGAGACGGGCGGATCACGAGGTCAGGAGATCGAGACCATCCTGGCTAACACGGTGAAACCCCGTCTCTACTAAAAATACAAAAATTAGCCAGGCATGGTGGCGCGCGCCTGTGGTTCCAGCTACACGGGAGGCTGAGGCAGGAGAATGGCGTGAACCTGGGAGGCGGAGCTTGCAGTGAGTCGAGATCGCGCCACTGCACTCCAGCCTGGGCGACAGAGCGAAACTCCGTCTCAAAAAAAAAAAAAAAAAAAAAAAAAAAAAGCGAATGATTATATAATACACATTCTATAGGCAGGAACTGTTGGTATATGTGTATGTGTATTCATTTAATCCTCCCAACAACTTGATGAATTTAAAGCTGTTAAATTTTCATTTTACAAATAGAGGAACTGAGGCATAGAAAAGTTAAGTAACTTGACTTCTATCTGGGAATAGGTCTGGGATTCAAACTGGGCAGTCTGGCTGAGCATGGTAGTATATCACCTACTTCCCAGTGTTTGAGGTAGGTAAGAGGAGATAATGGGTGTAAGGCCCGAAGCACTGCTGGTGCTTTTGCAGCATACATTTAATTGCTTTTATGATGCTGCTGCTGGTTTTGCTGTAAAGATAGAGCTCATTTTAGAAAAACATGAGCCCCAAAGGCACGAATAACAACCTGACTTTCCAAATTATTCTCCTTCTTCTCCCCAACCATTTCCCACACTTACATCTTTCTTTATAGCTTTGGGAATATTTTAATGCTTTTAAAATGGACAAGTCACGAAGTTTAGTGTCTACTTTGACCCAACCTTCTCCAGTGGCATTTAAGGACCCAGAGAAGTAGAGAGAATGTGGCCAGGCATGGGAGCGTCCATATTGCCTGGGGCCGTGTATGCGTGCAGTTCTGTCAGTAATTCTACGTGTATGCAGACATGCCTTTCTTAATAAAAATGCAGTTGGATGGTGTGTTCTGTTTCTCTCTTCATTGCTTCCTCTATCTACCCTTGATGGAGAACGGTCTTTAGCATGCTTACTTACTAGTGTTATCCAATGAGGTCAATATTAGCAAGGGAAATGAATTATAGGTGCTTTACTCTGAAGGGTATGAAAGATTAGAGTGAACCTTTCAGCAGGATAGGGATGGGGGTGAGGTAAGTGAGGTGCGGAGGGTGCACCTAGGGACTGGTTGCACCTTGAGAGAGATGCACCTTAAATTTTGCGCCCTAGATGCTTCTGGCCTCACTGGAATCCCTAGCCCTGGGTTTCACGACCCACCAGGAATAGAAACTGTGGCTACTAACAAAGATCTGTGTAGCCTGGACCTCACAGGGAGCTCCAGGAAGAGGTGCTTTGCAGGCAGGGCAGAGGGGCCCAGAAACAAGAGATTGCCTGTCTATGGGCCACTGAGTGACTCCATGGGCAAGACACTGTTTGTATGTTAGGCCCTGGTCTTTGTGTGTTTGGGATCGGCCAATAATTCTTCCTGGTGGCATTGTACTTGTGTTCACTTTCACACTTTGAAGGGTGTCATGGAAGAGACACCAACACATAAATGAAATGAAATAAACTAAAACAAAATAAAATATCCAAGCCATCCCTGCCTGGCAGCTTCAGTCTCCTACTGCTGCAGTGGAAGGTGGCCTTGACTGTCCCCAGGAATCATCTCTGTGTGGTGGGGGGTCACCAAACAATGCTCCACAGAGCATGAGCATTTGAGGTCCTACCTCTGATTGAACCCTGGTGCCCACAGTTTTACCAAGTTGTATACATTGGGATTCTGGACATTTGCTTTAATTTTCCATGTGGCTAAGAAAACAGTTTGAATCACTGTCCTAAGAGATATCTTATTAATTGCCTTTGAGGACACCTCTTGGCCTCCAGATGGCCCAGCTCCCCTTTCTTGCTCTGATCTGTGCAGGACAAATGAGTATTGCCTTCAGCCATTACAGTTAAGACCAGGTTGTTGTAGTCAGACAGACCTTACTCATAATGTCTCAGGGATAACACCAGGGATGCAGACATGTAAAGACTTGTGTGGAGGTAGCCTGACTCACAAGGCCTACCCATTCACTAGGACTAGAAAATTCCAGGCCACCCCAGCTCCCTATCTCTTGGGCACTGTCTCAGTTTCTACCCAGGAGCTCTCCTCAGCTCAAAATATGGCCCTGAGACAGTGACACCTGGAGAACCCTGAAGTTCATGGAAAGCAATTCCCTCTGCTTTTTCCCCAAGGCTTGGATTCTGTGTCAGAGTGTCCTGTGTGAGCCCCACTTCTTCCTAGGATGACTAGCATGGGCATGTCTGTTAACTCCTTCCAGGGAAGACCCTTCCTATGCACTGGGGTGTAGCCATAGAGATCCCTATAGTGTAGTTCTCAGAATACAGCCCAGCTGTGTCCACTTTCAAACAAAACACCCACCCAGCCACGCCCACACACACCCTGGCAGGAGGTGCTCCCTCTTACTAGTTCATTATTACCAGGGTCACCATACATTCTAGCTTGCCTGGGACAATTCCATTTTGTGCCTATTGCCTGGGTGTAAATCAATAGCTCCCCTGTTACTCCCAAAGTGTCCTGATATGGTTTGGCTGTGCCTCCATCCAAATCTCATCTTGAATTGTAGCTCCCACAATTCCCATGTGTCATGGGAGGGACCCAGTGGGAGGTAGTTGAATCATGGGGGTGGGTCTTTCCCATGCTATTCTCATGGTGGTGAGCGAGTCTCATGAGACCTGATGGTTTTGTAAAGAAGAGTTTCTCTGCACAAGTTCTCTTTCTTTGCCTGCTACCGTGTAGGATGTGACTTTGCTCCTCTTTCACCTTCCACCATCATTGTGAGGCTTCCCCAGCCATATGGAACTGTGAGTCCATTAAACTTCTTTCCTTTATAAATTGCCCAGTCTTGGGTATGTCCTTATTAGCAGCATAAGAACAGACTAATACATGTCCCATTTGGGGTGATAAATTGTACGTTACCCTAATTATCATTGTTATGATGAGAGAGCTTCCTGACCCTCAGTGCTCAGCAGAAACCTTACTCTCTCCAGGAAGCCCTCCTACCAGATACCTTGAGCTGATCTGCTCTTCCAGGCAACTAACTACCAAAGTGTTTAGGCATTTTCTCCAACCCCACTCCTTTACCAGTCTTTCCCATACTTTATTCACTCAAGTATTTCATGCCCCTCTACAATGTACCAGGGAGTAGTGAAGGCACCAGGGAAAAACACGAGTACCAAAAGGAAGACTGACAGGAAGTCTCTAGCTATATCTACTTATTTATAGTATACACTGATAATAAAGACATGCACACATACATATGTATTTTTAATATATACTTTATCATATTTTATGTTATTAATATTTTTATATTGTTTATATTATATATTATAATAACATATTATATGTTTATAATATATATTTATATGATATATACACACACACACACACACACACACACATATATATGTATAAATGCTTCCTGATGATAAGGACTGTGAAAAAGGGAGAACCAGGCTGAGGTGAGGCAGGAGGGATGGGAATGTGTGTGCTGTCTTTTATGGAATGGGCAGAGCTGGTTTCTCTAAGAAGGTGATATTTGAACAGAGGCCTGATTAAGTGAGGGAGTGACTTTGATGTGGAGAAAGCATTCCAGGACAAAGAACTTCATGTGCAAAAGCCCTAAAAAGGGAGGAACAGCAAGGTCACTTGTAAGGGAGAGGCCACTGGTGTGCACATGGATTGGGAGTGTCTGAGGCTGTCTTCCTCAGGCCAGGCACTGATGCCCACATCCCGAGGACCTTGGTGAATGTTGATTGGTTGATGATTGATAGTTCACACATCCCTGTGGTTTTCTTGGTCACTGCGGCACTGGGTCAAAGCTTCGTGGGTCAGCCTGTTTCTAACCACACCAGTGTGGCTGGACTGTTGACCTCTTGTTATGGGCGATGGAGGTTCCCACATGATCTGAACCCCAGGGCAGAAAGGCCCATGCCACCTCTGTGCAGCTGAGCCCACTCCACAGAACTACCCGAGGCAGAGATCTCAGTGACACACCATCTTCACTCGACACCATTCTGTATAATTTTATAAAGCCATACAACAGGCTGTGTATTCAGAAGGCAGAGAGTGTGGCTGAGACCTTAAGAGAAGTCCCATAGTATATGTTTGCTTCAGGATGTTACATTTGTTAATATTGCATTCTTGTCTGATGGTGTATTTCAGTAGGTGTTCTCTGGACAATATAGACTTTAAAGTTGATTGTGTTTCTCCTCTGCACTGGCAGCCAGGAAGCTCCTTGTCAACCCAGAGGCTCATCGGTGATAACTGAGCAGGAACAACCAGCATGAACTCCTGTGAATGAACCCTTCCTTGGTTTCAACTTACCATTCTACTCTTTCTTTTCTCCTGTGTTAAGTTTTCATCTTAGTAAACCAGTTTAAGCCTCCTTGAAGTGGTCTAGATCTTAAATTTATCCCTAAGCAAATCACTTTTCTAGACACTTTTATTTGTAAATAAGTTTTTAGCACCTACTATGTCAAAAGAAGTATGTTAGGCTGAGTGGCTCATGACTATAATCCCAGCACTTCAGGAGGCTGAGGCAGGCAGATCACCTGAGGTCAGGAGTTTGAGACCAGCCTGACCAACATGGAGAAACCCCGTCTCTACTAAAAATACAAAATTAGCTCGGTGTGATGGCACATGCCTGTAATCCCAGCTACTCGGGAGGCTGAGGCAGGAGAATCGCTTGAACCCGGGAGGCAGATTGCGGTGAGCCAAGATCACACCACTGCACTCCAGCCTGGGCAACAAGAGCGAAACTCCGTCTTAAAAAAAAAAAAAAAAAAAAAAAGAAGTATGTTAGGCTCAGAAGGAAGGACTCTAAGTGTTTCAGAGTCCCTGCCCTCCAGCTGAAGTTCCTATTCTATTTGTCTGTCTATTTCTCATGGGTCAGATCTCAATGAATGCAGCATTCTACAGAACGAAGAAACTGACCTCTAAATTCCATCCCTCAAAAGGATTAACTATTAGCATAATTTACTTTGTTTTAATAATGGTTCTGAGCCTAGTACCTGCAGAGAGGAAATAGATTTTTTTAAAAAGAAGATGGTTGGGTCGTCATTACTTCAACATGTCTGCTTGTGTCTTTGTCTTGAAGGGAATTAAGAACCTTGGTGTGAGTTTTTAAATGTCTGACCAACCATCCCCCACACTTTCACCCAACATGGCCACAAAGGAAGGTTGAAACTAATTCAAACCAGCACTCAGCTGCCTCATACAGTCCTATGCATGAGGGGGGAGGGAAGGGGTTTGGGGAGAGAATATATTGAGATCTGCCCTTTGATCGTGTTCAATGCGACTTTGCATTTACCTGAGGGATTAAAAGTTCTCATTGACCAAGGCTCCTGGCTTCCTACTCAGCCTTTGACGGGACAAGTGTTAATTGGACAATATAATAGGGACAATGTTAATTCCCCTCTTAGAGTTCCTTTTCTTGTTCAGTCAAATAGAAAGGCCCTTTTAAATGGCAGAGAGAGGAAGAAAGGAGCTGGTTTATAAGGGTAATAGACTGCACATCTTCCCCCTTGTCTCAAAACAAGTGCAATGGAGTCAGCATAAAGGCAGGCCCCTGAACAGGGAAAGAAAGGGAAACGACGTGGTGGTTTGCCTGGAATGTCACCCTGGATTAGGGATCAGGGAAATACAGCCAGTAGGTTCTGTCTGTTTTTATAACAGCAGTGGTGGTGGGGAGGGATCGAGGGTAAGGAGGGGGCAAGAGTTGCAGAGGGCAGAAGCTCATGAGACTCAGGGGTAGGGGAAGGGCAGGATAGTGGGGGTGGTGGATATGTGGCAGGGGGTGACAATGATGATTGAATGTAAACAATCAGAAACCCGATGGGACCCCCTGAGCATTTGGGCTGATGCTGATGTTCCCAAACACCAGAGAGTTCACCACTGTGCATGGAAGATGGGCATGAGTCAGGGATTCTAGAAGTAACACTGCTTTTAGGAGTTTCTGTAATTAGAATCTTCCTCTTGCCAGATCTCAAAATAGATGGATGTTGAGTTCCCTCTGGGTTCTGGGAGCCACCTCCCTACTCCCTCACATGCACGGGAATCAGGATTTCCCTGCCAGCTTCCATCTCTGCCCTGTCCTTATGATTGGTTTCTCTCCTAACAAAGTCTTCTTCCCATTGAACTCCAACTCCGACGCTTCCCTCAGCTCTGGTTTTTATGAATGATGACTCTGGCCTATTCAGTTTTTTATTTGATCATTTACTCAATAAAAAGTTTCTAGGCATCTCTTATGTGGTAGGTACTTGACTGTGTGCCCTTGAACAAGTGACTTAAACTTGCTGTGCCCCATACACTTGGAGATGGGAATAACTGACTTGGCCTAGAGTTTACAGGATTCTCTTTGGGATCAATGGAGATAACGGATGGAAAAAATGTCTTATAAACTGTAAAACATGTAAAATGAATTATTCTCTTTCTTATGTTTATTCACTGGCAAGATAAAAGGAATGCAAAAGTGGTGAGGAAAAAAGACGATCTGTGTTAAAAGACAAGCTTGCTCTTGTTAGGCATGACGCAGTACAGGTAAGGCCGGAATGGTCAAAGTGGGCTGCGGCTGTCCAGGCTAAGTCACCTGAAGTCCTTTCCATGCTCTTCTTTTCTGGCACTAAGGTTTTCTGTCAGAAAATGGACGGGTTGAGCTGCCTCTCTGATGGAGCATTTATGATCCTACCTGGGTTGGCCTCTTTCCAAGTTTTTATGTGCAAGTCTTTCTTGATAACCACATCAATTTGAGATAATTTGAGACTTGCAAACAGAAATGAAATCTGCAGCTTTTAACCAAATTAATTATTCTTTTGGTTTCAGGGTTGATCAAGAAAAGAGAAGTAGCTGATCCCCCATATTGTAAGGTCAAATCCTGGAGAAACTCCTCAAACTTATGAAGGTCCTATTTTATAGTAAAAGAGCAGGAAAAGGTAGGGGAGGCCAAGCTTCACTTGATGAACCTGGAGTGATTTCCCTTCAGTAGCAAGGGGGCGGTACTTGGGATTTATCTGTTATATCTTAGTTCTACACACTTCTTTTTATATTTCTCTTGGAACTAGAAGTCTGCAGACTCCATTTTCTTAGGTTTCTTTGCCAGCAGGCTTCTGTCTGCTTCTGCCAGTAGGCGATGCAGATGGGAGATTGACCAGAGAGGGAAGGAAGAGAAAGATTCTGCTGTGACTCAGACAGGATGGTGTTGCTGGCCATGCTGCCGGCTGATGTCATGGCAGCAGGAGAGGGTGCCTGGCTAGAAAGAACCAGTGCCTTTTCAGCAGCTGCAGCTCTAGTTGAGAAGATGCATCTTTGGCAGATCCAGAAGCCACTGAGACACCATCCCAGAACTCAGCAGTGAGAGCGGGCTCTGACCTCTGAGTATGTCCACCTCTTCCTTTTGGTCTCATGAATGCCAGTTGATTCTCTTTTTTGCTCTTCCAATTCTTCCAAACCTTTTGTAACCAATTTCCTGTACTAAATTCCCTCCATTTAAAACTGAAGAGCAAATGATTTTTTACTAATACGAAGACTACACAAGAATTATTCACCTATGGTGCTCTTAGGGCTGAGAAGACAGAAATTCCTCCACACAGGTGAGTCCAGGAACTTAGTTAAGGCCCACTCCTTGCTGACACTAAAACTTGGGGTGATTCCCTCCACCTCCCTGAGCCTCAGTTCTCCCATCTCTGAAATGCACAAAATAAGTTCGGGTCTTCATTCTTCATGGTAGTGAGTTGTTACTCACAAACGGACCAGCCCTGTGTGCTGTCCATGATCTCAGCATTTGGAGCACCTGAGGGCATCTGGGCGCACTTGAACCTGGCACAGTTCCTCACCAACCCATCTTCATGCATTTGCTCCATCATCTGGTATCTGGCCTTTGACAGGGCTCTTTTCTGCTCTGGGCTGAAAGCTGCACACTTCAGACTCACAAGCCTTTAAATATTTCATAGCAGACTGGCTGGGAATTAATATTTAATCACAGACTCCTTGGCACTTAAATATTTAATCACTGATGTGGCTGATAAGTAATGAATCAGCGCCCAGAAAAAACTTTTGGTCTCTGGTGCCAGTTTTAAAGGATCTTCGGTTCTGGTCTCAGAGAACAGATAGATACTTGACAAGTTTATTTCTATACCAAGTTTACTCACATTTAATATTTTTAAGTGTCAAAAAAATTTGCTTCAATACCAACCTGAGACTTTGGATCAGAAAATCTCATTGTGGAAGACCATAAGCCATTAGGAATAGCCATGGATGGTTAAAGTAATAAACATTTGTGTCAGTTCACAACCTAAGAAAAGAGAGGTGCTGGGTATGACATAAAGATATCCTCAGAGGTACAAGAGTCGGGGTGGGAGTGGGAAACAGAACTCCTTATATTTCCAGTGGTGATTTAAAGTATGGAGTGAAGAGAAGGTTTCAGGAAAAAAAAACAAAACAACAAAAAAACAAAAAAAGAACAGAAATTCTTGGAGTCAAAAGAGTAGGTAGAGAAAAAAGAAAAAAGTGAAGTGGGAAAAATTCATGGAGCTCCATGTTGAAAAAGTAAGGGACGTGAACATTGTGAGTTGAACATCAGAGACTGCTGATATTCATGTCTGTGGTAACAACAGCTCCATCACCAGAAAGAAGGATGTTTCTAGAATTCAGCTTTAAAGGACTTTATTTCTCAACAGTGGCAGATACCCATCTTCATTACCCAACAGTCATTGTCCTCATTCCTCCTTATTCCTAGTAGAGCCCTAAATTTGTTCACACACTCACCCTTCCATATGCTTTGGGGAGAGGGACATTCTGTTGCCTAGGATGAATGCTGATTAATCTAACTGACCAGGGAAGCTCCATTCCCCTTTCTTGTCACTCCTTTACCCATGGGTGTGTAATGCAATTCTGACCAATACAGTATGAAGGGTATGAAGGAAAGCAGGGACACCTGATCAAAGGGCCTCTAGGGGAAGTATTTCTCACTGAACAAGAGGCACAGGAGGAGGACTTACCTTCCTGCCTGTGGGTGAGATTGTGTAGAGTTGTGGGGCAGTGAATTTGCTATCGTGAGAAGACAAGCTGAATACCAAAGCTCAAGATGGTGGAGAAGAAAAATGGAAGCACCTGGTCCTAGTGCTACTAAATTGACCAACTATAAAACAAACCCTACCTTTAGGCTTCTTGTTATGTGTTTCAGCTGCTTCTGAGTGTTTCATTATTTGTAGCCAAGAGTATCTAATTAATGGACCACATGAATAAGGGAGGTGGCAAGATAAAGATTAAAGGCAAATAAGGAGTAAATGAGAAACTGTTTCACACCCATCAGATTGGCTAATAATTAAGCCTGATACACGCTGACCTTGGGTGAGCAGTGCAGCCACGGGACCTCTCCTACACGGCCAGCGGAAGTGTAACCTGCTCGATAACTTCAGGGAACCAGTTGGCAGCATCCAGTGAAGCAAGAGACGCAAGGAATCCACGATCAAGCAATTCTCCTCTGTAGCTTAGAGCTAGAGATACTGTGGTCCATGGATGGAGAGAAACATCGATAGTCATGCTTATTACAGCATTCTTTGTGATAAAGGAAATTGGAATAATATATATTCTATATAATAATATAGAATGTATATTATATATAATAATACAGAATATTATACTATATATAATAATATATAATATAATATTAAAAATAATAATATGTAACATAATATTAAATATAATAATATATAATATAATATTAAATATAATAATATTTAATATAATAAATATAATAATATATAATATTGTATTATACATAATAATATATAATATTATATTATACATATTATTACATATAATACATAATAATATATAATATATTATATATTATGTATTATATCTAATATATTATATCTAATGTATAATATCTAATATATTATATACTACATATTATATCTAATATATTATATACTATGTATTATATCTAATATATTACATACTGTGTATTATATCTAATATATTATATATTATGTATTATATCTAATATATTATATATTATGTATTATATCTAATATATTATATATTACGTATTATATCTAATATATTATATACAATGTATAATATATTATATTATATATTATGTATAATATATATAATATATATTGTACATTGTATAATATATATAATATATTATACATTACGTATAATATATTTTATATTATATATAATATATAATATGTTATATTATATTATAATATATATTATATATTATGTATACTATATGTCATATATTAAAATATATTACATTATATCATATATAATATATTAATATTACTATATTAATATTAAATTAATATAGTAATATTAACATTAATATAAAATTAATATATAATATTAAAATTGATATATAATATATAATGTATTATATATTATGTATACTATATTATATAATATTAACATAATGTAATTAATATAATATAATATATTATAATATATTATTTTATATTTATTGTATTACAAATATATTATATTTATATATAATACAATACATATATTTATATCAATATATAAATATATACATTTATATAAAATATAATATATTATATTATATGATACTATACTATATTATATGATAATATAAATATTTGTAATAAAGGTATAAATATTTATATTATAAAAATATATTAATTTATTATATTCATATGAATATAATATAATATAATTAATATTACATAAAATTAATATATATTATATTATATATTATATTGTATACATTATAATAAATAATATATGATATAATATTGTACTGCATATTATATAATAATATGTGATATTATATTATCTTATATATTATATAATAATATGTGATATTATGTTATATTATATATTATACAATAATATATATTATATTATATCATATATTATATAATAATATAAATTATATTATATCATATATTATATATTATATAATAATATATGATATTATATTATATCATATATTATATATTATATAATAATATATGATATTACATTATATACTACATAATCATATATATTACATTATATATTATATAATAATATATAATATTATATTATATATTATATAATAACATATGACATTATATTATATAATATATAATTATGTATCATATTATATCATATTATATATTATATAATAATATATTATATTATATCATATATTATGTAATAATGTATTATATTATATCATATATTAATATTAATATGTTAATATTTTATCAATAATTTATATTACTAATTATAATATATAACATATAATTACATTATATTAATACTTTAATATTATGTATTATATATTTTCTTATATTAATATTTTAATATTATATATTAATTTAATATTAATAAATTACTATTAATAT